>NC_000005.10:47309184-47635210 GCF_000001405.40 Homo sapiens
ATCATTTCCACAAACTGCGTTGTGATGTGTTCGTTCAACTCACAGAGTTTAACTTTTCTTTTCATAGAGCAGTTAGGAAACACTCTGTTGGTAAATTCTGTAAGTGGATATTCTGACATCTTGTGGCCTTCGTTGGAAACGGGATTTCTTCATATTCTGCTAGACAGAAGAATTCTCAGTAACTTCCTTGTGTTGTGTTTATTCAACTCTGTGAGTTGAATGATCCTTTACACAGAGCAGACTTGAAACACTCTTTTTGTGGAATTTGCAAGTGGAGATTTCAGCCGCTTTGAGGTCAATGGTAGAAAAGTAAATATCTTCGTATAAAGACTAGACAGAATGATTCTCAGAAACTCCTTTGTGATGTGTGCGTTCAACTCACAGAGTTTAACTTTTCTTTTAATAGAGCAGTTAGGAAACACTCTGTTTGTAAAGTCTGCAAGTGGATATTCAGACCTCTTTGAGGCCTTCGTTGGAAACGGGATTTCTTCATATTATGCTAGACAGAAGAATTCTCAGTAACCTTCCTTGTGTTGTGTGTATTCAACTCACAGAGTTGAACGATCCTTTACAGAGAGCAGGCTTGAAACACTCTTTTTGTCGAATTTGCAAGTGGAGATTTCAGCCGCTTTGAGGTCAATGGTAGAATAGGAAATATCTTCTTATAGAAACTAGACAGAATGATTCTCATAAACTCCTTTGTGATGTGTGCGTCCAACTCACAGAGTTTAACCTTTCTTTTCATAGAGCAGTTAAGAAACACTCTGTTTGTAAAGTCTGCAAGTGGATATTCAGACCTCCTTGAGGCCTTCGTTGGAAACGGGGTTTCTTCATATTCTGCTAGACAGAAGAATTCCCAGTAACTTTCTTGTGTTGTGTGTGTTCAACTCACAGAGTTGAACTTTCATTTACACAGAGCAGATTTGAAACACCCTTTTTGTGGAATTTGCAAATGGAGATTTCAAGCGCTTTGAGGCCAAAGGCAGAAAAGGAAATATCTTCGTATAAAAACTAGACAGAATCATTCTCAGAAACTGCTCTGCGATGTGTGCGTTCAACTCTCAGAGTTTAACTTTTCTTTTCATTCAGCAGTTTGGAAACACTCTGTTTGTAACGTCTGCACGTGAATAATTTGACCACTTAGAGGCCTTCGTTGGAAACGGGTTTTTTTCATGTAAGGCTAGACAGAAGAATTCTCAGTAACTTCCCTTGTGTTGTGTGTATTCAACTCACAGAATTGAACGATCCTTTACACAGAGCAGACTTGAAACACTCTTTTTGTGGAATTTGCAAGTGGAGATTTCAGCCGCTTTGAGGTCAATGGTAGAATAGGAAATATCTTCGTAGAAAAACTAGACAGAAATGATTCTCAGAAACTTCTTTGTGATATGTGCGTTCAACTCACAGAGTTTAACCTTTCTTTTCATAGAGCAGTTAGGAAACACTCTGTTTGTAAACTCTGCAAGTGGATATTCAGACCTCTTTGAGGCCTTCGTTGGAAACGGGATTTCTTCATACTGTGCTAGACAGAAGAATTCTCAGTAACTTCCTTGTGTTGTGTGTATTCAACTCACAGAGTTGAACGATCCTTTACAGAGAGCAGACTTGAAACACTGTTTTTGTGGAATTTGCAAGTGGAGATTTCAAGAGCTTTGGGGCCAAAGGCAGAAAAGGAAATATCTTCGTATAAAAACTAGACAGAAATCATTCTCAGAAACTGCTCTGCGATGTGTGCGTTCAACTCTCAGAGTTTAACTTTTCTTTTCATTCAGCAGTTTGGAAACACTCTGTTTCTAAAGTCTGCACGTGGATATTTTGACCACTTAGAGGCCTTCGTTGGAAACGGGTTTTTTTCCTGTAAGGCTAGACAGAAGAATTCCCAGTAACTTCCTTGTGTTGTGTGCATTCAACTCACAGAGTTGAACGTTCCCTTAGACAGAGCACATTTGAAACACTCTATTTGTGCAATTTGCAATTGTAGATTTCAAGCGCTTTAAGGTCAATGGCAGAAAAGGAAATATCTTCGTTTTAAAACTAGACAGAATCATTCCCACAAACTGCGTTGTGATGTGTTCGTTCAACTCACAGAGTTTAACCTTTCTGTTCATAGAGCAGTTAGGAAACACTCTGTTTGTAAAGTCTGCAAGTGGATATTCAGACCTCCTTGAGGCCTTCTTTGGAAAAGGGATTTCTTCATATTCTGCTAGACAGAAGAATTCTCAGTAACTTCCTTGTGTTGTGTGTATTCAACTCACAGAGTTCAACGATCCTTTCCACAGAGCAGACTTGAAACACTCTTTTTGTGGAATTTGCAAGTGGAGATTTCAGCGGCTTTGAGGTCAATGGTAGAATAGGAAATATCTTCCTATAGAAACTAGACAGAATGACTCTCAGAAACTTCTTTGTGATGTGTGCGTTCAACTCACAGAATTTAACCTTTCTTTTCATAGAGCAGTTAGGAAACACTCTGTTTGTAAACTCTGCAAGTGGATATTCAGACCTCTTTGAGGCCTTCGTTGGAAACGGGATTTCTTCATACTATGCTAGACAGAAGAATTCTCAGTAACTTTCTTGTGTTGTGTGTATTCAACTCACAGAGTTGAATGATCCTTTACACAGAGCAGACTTGAAACACTCTTTTTGTGGAATTTGCAAGTGGAGATTTCAGCCGCTTTGAGTTCAATGGTAGAATAGGAAATATCTTCCTATAGAAACTAGACAGAATGATTCTCAGAAACTCCTTTGTGATGTGTGCGTTCAACTCACAGAGTTTAACCTTTCTTTTCATAGAGCAGTTGGGAAACACTCTGTTTGTATAGTCTGCAAGTGGATATTCAGACCTCTTTGAGGCCTTCGTTGGAAACGGGATTTCTTCATATTCTGCTAGACAGAAGAATTCCCAGTAACTTCCTTGTGTTGTGTGTGTTCAACTCACAGAGTTGAACTTTCATTTACACAGAGCAGATTTGAAACACTCTTTTTGTGGAATTTGCAAGTGGAGATTTCAAGCGCTTTGAGGTCAAAGGCAGAAAAGGAAATATCTTCGTATAAAAACTAGACAGAAATCTTTCTCAGAAACTGCTCTGGGATGTGTGCGTTCAACTCACAGAGTTTAACTTTTCTTTTCATTCAGCAGTTTGGAAACACTCTGTTTGGAAAGTCTGCACGTGGATATTTTGACCTCTTTGAGGCCTTCGTTGGAAACGGGTTTTTTTCATGTAAGGCTAGACAGAAGAATTCCCAGTAACTTCCTTGTGTTGTGTACATTCAACTCACAGAGTTGAACGTTCCCTTAGACAGAGCAGATTTGAAACACCCTTTTTGTGCAATTGGCAAGTGGAGATTTCAAGCGCTTTAAGGTCAATGGCAGAAAAGGAAATATCTTCGTTTCAAAACTAGACAGAATCATTCCCACAAACTGCGTTGTGATGTGTTCGTTCAACTCACAGAGTTTAACCTTTCTGTTCATAGAGCAGTTAGGAAACACTCTGTTTGTAAAGTCTGCAAGTGCATATTCAGACCTCTTTGAGGCCTTCGTTGGAAACGTTATTTCTTCATATTATGCTAGACAGAAGAATTCTCAGTAACTTCCTTGTGTTGTGTGTATTCACCTCACAGAGTTGAACGATCCTTTACACAGAGCAGACTTGTAACACTCTTTTTGTGGAATTTGCAAGTGGAGATTTCAGCCGCTTTGAAGTCAAAGGTAGAAAAGGAAAAATCTTCCTATAAAAACTAGACAGAATGATTCTCAGAAACTCCTTTGTGATGTGTGCGTTCAACTCACAGAGTTTAACCTTTCTTTTCATAGAGCAGTTAGGAAACACTCTGTTTGTAAAGTCTGCAAGTGGATATTGAGACCTCTTCGAGGCCTTCGTTGGAAACGGGTTTTTTTCATATAAGGCTAGACAGAAGAATTCTCAGTAACTTCCTTGTGTTGTGTGTATTCAACTCACAGAGTTGAACGATCCTTTACACAGAGCAGACTTGTAACACTCTTTTTGTGGAATTTGCAAGTGGAGATTTCAGCCGCTTTGAAGTCAAAGTTAGAAAAGGAAATATCTTCCTATAAAACCTAGACAGAATGATTCTCAGAAACTCCTTTGTGATGTGTGCGTTCAACACACAGAGTTTAACTTTTCTTTTCATAGAGCAGTTAGTAAACACTCTGTTTATAAAGTCTGCAAGTGGATATTCAGACCCCTTTGAGGCCTTCGTTGGAAACGGGATTTCTTCATATTATGATAGACAGAAGAATTCCCAGTAACTTCCTTGTGTTGTGTGTGTTCAACTCACGGAGTTGAACTTTGATTTACACAGAGCAGATTTGAAACACTCTTTTTGTGGAATTTGCAAGTGGAGATTTCAAGCGCTTTGAGGCCAAAGGCAGGAAAGGGAATATCTTCGTATAAAAACTAGACAGAATCATTCTCAGAAACTGCTCTGTGATGTGTGCGTTCAACTCTCAGAGTTTAACTTTTCTTTTCATTCAGCAGTTTGGAAACACTCTGTTTGTAAAGTCTGTACGTGGATAATTTGACCACTTAGAGGCCTTCGTTGGAAACGGGTTTTTTTCATGTAAGGCTAGACAGAAGAATTCTCAGTAACTTCCTTGTGTTGTGTGCATTCAACTCACAGAGTTGAACGATCCTTTACACAGAGCAGACTTGAAACACTCTTTTTGTGGAATTTGCAAGTGGAGATTTCAGCCGCTTTGAGTTCAATGGTAGAATAGGAAATATCTTCCTATAGAAACTAGACAGAATGATTCTCAGAAACTCCTTTGTGATGTGTGCGTTCAACTCACAGAGTTTAACCTTTCTTTTCATAGAGCAGTTAGGAAACACTGTGTTTGTAAAGTCTGCAAGTGGATAATCAGACCTCTTTGAGGCCTTCGTTGGAAACGGGATTTCTTCATATTCTGCAAGACAGAGGAATTCTTAGTAACTTCTTTGTATTGTGTGTATTCAACTCACAGAGTTGAACCTTCTTTTAGATAGAGTAGATTTGAAACACACTTTTTGTGGAATTCCCAATTGGAGATTTCAAGCGCTTTGGGGCCAATGGTAGAAAAGGAAAAATCTTCACATAAAAACTAGACAAAATCATTCTCAGAAACTGCTCTGCGATGTGTGCGTTCAACTCTCAGAGTTTAACTTTTCTTTTCATTCAGCAGTTTGGAAACACTCTGTTTGTAAAGTCTGCACGTGGATATTTTGACCACTTAGAGGGCTTCGTTGGAAATGGGTTTTTTTCCTGTAAGGCTAGACACAAGAATTCTCAGTAACTTCCTTGTGTTGTGTGTATTCAACTCACAGATTTGAACGATCCTTTACACAGAGCAGACTTGAAACACTCTTTTTGTGGAATTTGCAAGTGGAGATTTCAGCCGCTTTGAGGTCAATGGTAGAAAAGGAAATATCTTCGTATAGAAACAAGACAGAATGATTCTCAGAAAATCCTTTGTGATGTGTGCGTTCAACTCACAGAATTTAACTTTTCTTTTCATAGAGCCGTTTGGAAACACTCTGTTTGTAAAGTCTGCAAGTGGATATTCAGACCTCTTTCAGGCCTTCGTTGGAAACGGGATTTCTTCATATTATGCTAGACAGAGGAATTCCCAGTAACTTCCTTGTGTTGTGTGTGTTCAACTCACAGAGTTGAACTTTCATTTACACAGAGCAGATTTGAAACACTCTTTTTGTGGAATTTGCAAATGGAGATTTCAAGCGCTTTGAGGCCAAAGGAAGAAAAGGAAATATCTTCGTTTCAAAACTAGACAGAATCATTCTCAGAAACTGCTGCGTGATGTGTGCGTTCAACTCTCAGAGTTTCACTTTTCTTTTCATTCAGCGGTTTGGAAACACTCTGTTTGTAAAGTCTGCACGTGGATATTTTGACCACTTAGACGCCTTCGTTGGAAACGGGTTTTTTTCATGTAAGGCTAGACAGAAGAATTCCCAGTAACTTCCTTGTGTTGTGTACATTCAACTCACAGCGTTGAACGTTCCCTTAGACAGAGCAGATTTGAAACACTCTTTTTGTGCAATTGGCAAGTAGTGATTTCAGCCGCTTTGAGGTCAATGGTAGAAAAGGAAATATCTTCGTATAAAAACTAGACAGAATCATTCCCACAAACTGCGATGTGATGTGTTCGTTCAACTCACAGAGTTTAACCTTTCTGTTCATAGAGCAGTTAGGAAACACTCTGTTTGTAAAGTCTGTAAGTGGATATTCTGACATCTTGTGGCCTTCGTTGGAAACGGGATTTCTTCATATTCTGCTAGACAGAATAATTCTCAGTAACTTCCTTGTGTTGTGTGTATTCAACTGACAGAGTTGAAGGATCCTTTACAGAGAGCAGGCTTGAAACACTCTTTTTGTCGAATTTGCAAGTGGAGATTTCAGCCGCTTTGAGGTCAATGGTAGAATAGGAAATATCTTCTTATAGAAACTAGACAAAATGATTCTCAGAAACTTCTTTGTGATGTGTGCGTTCAACTCACAGAGTTTAACCTTTCTTTTCATAGAGCAGGTAGGAAACACTCTGTTTGTAAACTCTGCAAGTGGATATTCAGACCTCTTTGAGGCCTTCGTTGGAAACGGGATTTCTTCATACTATGCTAGACAGAAGAATTCTCAGAATCTTCCTTGTGTTGTGTGTATCCAACTCACAGAGTTGAACGATGGTTTACACAGAGCAGATTTGAAACACTCTTTTTGTGGAATTTGCAAGTGGAGATTTCAGCCGCTTTGAGGTCCATGGTAGAAAAGGAAATATCTTCGTATAAAAACTAAACAGAATGATTCTCATAAATTCCTTTGTGATGTGTGCGTTCAACTCACAAAGTTTAACCTTTCTTTTCATAGAGCAGTTAGGAGACACTCTGTTTGTAAAGTCTGCAAGTGGATATTCAGACCTCTTTGAGGCCTTCGTTGGAAACGGGATTTCTTCATATTATGCTAGACAGAAGATTTCTCAGTAACTTCCTTGTGTTGTGTGTATTCAACTGACAGAGTTGAACTTTCATTTAGAGAGAGCAGATTTGAAACACTCTTTTTGTGGAATTTGCAAGTGGAGATTTCAAGCGCTTTGGGGCCAAAGGCAGAAAAGGAAATATCTTCGTATAAAAACTAGACAGAATCATTCTCATAAACTGCTCTGCGATGTGTGCGTTCAACTCTCCGAGTTTAACTTTTCTTTTCATTCAGCAGTTTGGAAACACTCTGTTTGTAAAGTCTGCACGTGGATAATTTGACCACTTAGAGGCCTTCGTTGGAAACGGTTTTTTTTTCATGTAAGGCTAGACAGAAGAATTCCCAGTAACTTCCTTGTGTTGTGTGCATTCAGCTCACAGAGTTGAACGTTCCCTTAGAGAGAGCAGATTTGAAACACACTTTTTGTGCAATTGGCAAGTGGAGATTTCAAGCGCTATAAGGTCAATGGCAGAAAAGGAAATATCTTCGTTTCAAAACTAGACAGAATCATTCCCACAAACTGCGTTGTGATGTGTTCGTTCAACTCACAGAGTTTAACCTTTCTGTTCATAGAGCAGTTAGGAAACACTCTGTTTCTAAAGTCTGAAAGTGCATAGTCTGACATCTTGTGGCCTTCGTTGGAAACGGGATTTCTTCATATTCTGCTAGACAGAAGAATTCTCAGAATCTTCCTTGTGTTGTGTGTATTCAACTCACAGAGTTGAACGATCCTTTACACAGAGCAGACTTGAAACACTCTTTTTGTGGAATTTGCAAGTGGAGATTTCAGCCGCTTTGAGGTCGATGGTAGAAAAGGAAATATCTTCGTATAAAAACTAGACAGAATCATTCTCAGAAACTGCTCTGCGATGTGTGCGTTCAACTCTCAGAGTTTAACTTTTCTTTCCATTCAGCAGTTTGGAAACACTCTGTTTGTAAAGTCTGCACGTGGATATTTTGACCACTTAGAGGCCTTCGTTGGAAACGGGTTTTTTTCATGTAAGGCTAGACAGAAGAATTCTCAGTAACTTCCTTGTGTTGTGTGTATTCAACTCCCAGAGTTGAACGATCCTTTACACAGAGCAGACTTGTAACACTCTTTTTGTGGAATTTGCAAATGGAGATTTCAGCCGCTTTGAAGTCAAAGGTAGAAAAGGAAATATCTTCCTATAAAAACTAGACAGAATGATTCTCAGAAACTCCTTTGTGATGTGTGCGTTCAACTCACAGAGTTTAACTTTTCTTTTCAT
Organism: Homo sapiens; assembly: GCF_000001405.40. Lineage (NCBI taxonomy): Eukaryota > Metazoa > Chordata > Mammalia > Primates > Hominidae > Homo > Homo sapiens. Next base: position 47,317,413 of record NC_000005.10, read on the forward strand.
AGAGCAGTTAGGAAACACTCTGTTTGTAAAGTCTGCAGGTGGATATTCAGACCTCTTTGAGGCCTTCGTTGGAAACGGGATTTCTTCATATTATGCTAGGCAGAAGAATTCTCAGTAACTTCCTTGTGTTGTGTGTATTCAACTGACAGAGTTGAACTTTCATTTAGAGAGAGCAGATTTGAAACACTGTTTTTGTGGAATTTGCAAGTGGAGATTTCAAGCGCTGTGGGGCCAAAGGCAGAAAAGGAAATATCTTCGTATAAAAACTAGACATAATCATTCTCAGAATCTGCTCTGTGATGTGTGCGTTCAACTCTCAGAGTTTAACTTTTCTTTTCATTCAGCAGTTTGGAAACACTCTGTTTGTAAAGTCTGCACGTGGATAATTAGACCACTTAGAGGCCTTCGTTGGAAACGGGTTTTTTTCATGTAAGGCTATACAGAAGAATTCCCAGTAACTTCCTTGTGTTGTGTACATTCAACTCACAGAGTTGAACGTTCCCTTAGACAGAGCAGATTTGAAACACTCTTTTTGTGCAATTGGGAAGTGGAGATTTCAAGCGCTTTAAGGTCAATAGCAGAAAAGGAAATATCTTCGTTTCAAAACTAGACAGAATCATTCCCACAAACTGCGTTGTGATGTGTTCGTTCAACTCACAGAGTTTAACCTTTCTGTTCATAGAGCAGTTAGGAAACACTCTGTTTGTTAAGTCTGTAAGTGGATATTCTGACATCTTGTGGCCTTCGTTGGAAACGGGATTTCTTCATATTCTGCTAGACAGAAGAATTCCCAGTAACTTCCTTGTGTTGTGTGTGTTCAACTCACAGAGTTGAACTTTCATTTACACAGAGCAGATTTGAAACACTCTTTTTGTGGTATTTGCAAATGGAGATTTCAGCCGCGTTGAGGTCAATGGTAGAAAAGGAAATATCTTCGTTTCAAAACTAGACAGAACGATTCTCAGAAACTCCTTTGTGATGTGTGCGTTCAACTCACAGAGTTTAACCTTTCTTTTCATAGAGCAGTTAGGAAACACTCTGTTTGTAAAGTCTGCAAGTGGATATTCAGACCTCCTTGAGGCCTTCGTTGGAAACGGGATTTCTTCATATTCTGGTAGACAGAAGAATTCTCAGTAACTTCCTTGTGTTGTGTTTATTCAACTCACAGAGTTGAATGATCCTTTACACAGAGCAGACTTGAAACACTCTTTTTGGGGAATTTGCAAGTGGAGATTTCAGCCGCTTTGAGGTCAATGGTAGAAAAGTAAATATCTTCGTATAAAGACTAGACAGAATCATTCTCAGAAACTGCTGCGTGATGTGTGCGTTCAACTCTCAGAGTTTAACTTTTCTTTTCATTCAGCGGTTTGTAAACACTCTGTTTGTAAAGTCTGCACGTGGATATTTTGACCACTTAGAGGCCTTCGTTGGAAACGGGTTTTTTGCATGTGAGGCTAGACAGAAGAATTCCCAGTAACTTCCTTGTGTTGTGTGCATTCAACTCACAGAGTTGAACGTTCCCTTAGACAGAGCAGATTTGAAACACTCTATTTGTGCAATTTGCAAGTGTAGTTTTCAAGCTCTTTAAGATCAACGGCAGAAAAGGAAATATCTTCGTTTCAAAACTAGACAGAATCATTCCCACAAACTGCGTTGTGATGTGTTCGTTCAACTCACAGAGTTTAACTTTTCCGTTCATAGAGCAGTTAGGAAACACTCTGTTTGTAAAGTCTGCAAGTGGATATTCAGACCTCCTTGAGGCCTTCGTTGGAAACGGGATTTCTTCATATTCTGCTAGACAGAAGAATGCTCAGTAACTTCCTTGTGTTGTGTTTATTCAACTCACAGAGTTGAACGATCCTTTACACAGAGCAGACTTGAAACACTCTTTTTGTGGAATTTGCAAGTGGAGATTTCAGCCGCTTTGAGGTCAATGGTAGAAAAGGAAACTATCTTCATATAAAGATTAGACAGAATGATTCTCAGAAACTCCTTTGTGATGTGTGTGTTCAACTCACAGAGTTTAACCTTTCTTTTCATAGAGCAGTTAGTAAACACTCTGTTTATAAAGTCTGCAAGTAGATATTCAGACCCCTTTGAGGCCTTCGTCGGAAACGGGATTTCTTCATATTATGCTAGACAGAAGAATTCTCAGTAACTTCCTTCTGTTGCGTGTATTCAACTCACAGAGTTGAACGATCCTTTACACAGAGCAGACTTGAAACACTCTTTTTGTGGAATTTGCAAGTGGAGATTTCAGCCGCTTTGAGGTCAATGGTAGAATAGGAAATATCTTCCTATAGAAACTAGACAGAATGATTCTCAGAAACTCCTTTGTGATGTGTGCATTCAACTCACAGAGTTTAACCTTTCTTTTCATAGAGCAGTTAGGAAACACTCTGTTTCTAAAGTCTGCAAGTGGATATTCAGACATCTTTGGGGCCTTCGTTGGAAACGGGATTTCTTCATGTTCTGCTAGACAGAAGAATTCTCAGTAACTTTCCTTGTGTTGTGTGTGTTCAACTCACAGAGTTGAACGATCCTTTACACAGAGCAGACTTGTCACACTCTTTTTGTGGAATTTGCAAGTGGAGATTTCAGCCGCTTTGAAGTCAAAGGTAGAAAAGGAAATATCTTCCTATAAAAACTAGACAGAATGATTCTCAGAAACTCCTTTGTGATGTGTGTGTTCAACTCACAGAGTTCAACCTTTCTTTTCATAGAGCAGTTAGTAAACACTCTGTTTATAAAGTCTGCAAGTGGATATTCAGACCCCTTTGAGGCCTTCGTTGGAAACGGGATTTCTTCTTATTATGCTAGACAGAAGAATTCTCAGAATCTTCCTTGTGTTGTGTGTATTCAACTCACAGATTTGAACGATGGTTTACACAGAGCAGATTTGAAACACTCTTTTTGTGGAATTTGCAAGTGGAGATTTCAGCCGCTTTGAGGTCAATGGTAGAAAAGGAAATATCTTCGTATAAAAACTAGACAGAACGATCCTCAGAAACTCCTTTGTGATGTGTGCGTTCAACTCACAGAGTTTAACTTTTCTTTTCATAGAGCCGTTAGGAAACACTCTGTTTGTAAAGTCTGCAAGTGGATATTCAGACCTCTTTGAGGCCTTCGTTGGAAACGGGATTTCTTCCTATTCTGCTAGACAGAAGAATTCTCAGAAACTTCCCCTGTGTTGTGTGAATTCAACTCACAGAGTTGAACGATCCTTTACACAGAGCAGACTTGAAACACTCTTTTTGTGGAATTTGCAAGTGGAGATTTCAGCCGCTTTGAGGTCAATGGTAGAATAGGGAATATCTTCCTATAGAAACTAGACAGAATGATTCTGAGAAACTCCTTTGTGATGTGTGCGTTCAACTCACAGAGTTCAACCTTTCTTTTCCTAGAGCAGTTGGGAAACACTCTGTTTGTAAAGTCTGCAAGTGGATATTCAGACTTCTTTGAGGCCTTCGTTGGAAGCGGGATTTCTTCATATTCTGCCATACAGAAGAATTCTCAGTAACTTCATTGTGTTGTCTGTATTCAACTCACAGAGTTCAACGATCCTTTACACAGAGCAGACTTGAAACACTCTTTTTCTGGAATTTGCAAGTGGAGATTTCAGCCGCTTTGAGGTCAATGGTAGAAAAAGAAATATCTTCCTATAAAAACTAGACAGAATCATTCCCACAAACTGCGTTGTGATGTGTTCGTTCAACTCACAGAGTTTAACCTTTCTGTTCATAGAGCAGTTAGGAAACACTCTGTTTGTAAAGTCTGTAAGTGGATATTCTGACATCCTGTGGCCTTCGTTGGAAACGGGATTTCTTCATATTCTGCTAGACAGAAGAATTCTCAGTAACTTCCTTGTGTTGTGTGTATTCAACTCACAGAGTTGAACAATCCTTTACACAGAGCGGACTTGAAACACTCTTTTTGTGGAATTTGCAAGTGGAGATTTTAGCCGATTTGAGGTCAATGGTAGAATAGGAAATATCTTCCTATAGAAACTAGACAGAATGATTCTCAGAAACTCCTTTGTGATGTGTGCGTTCAACTCACAGAGTTTAACCTTTCTTTTCATAGAGCAGTTAGGAAACACTCTGTTTGTAAAGTCTGTAAGTGGATATTCAGACCTCTTTGAGGCCTTCGTTGGAAACGGGATTTCTTCATATTGTGCTAGACACAAGAATTCTCAGTAACTTCCTTGTGTTGTGTGGATTCAACTCACAGAGTTGAACGATCCTTTACACAGAGCAGACTTGAAACACTCTTTTTGTGGAATTTGCAAGTGGAGATTTCAGCCGCTTTGGGTTCAATGGTAGAATAGGAAATATCTTCCTATAGAAACTAGACAGAATCATTCCCACAAACTGCGTTGTGATGGGTTCGTTCAACTCACAGAGTTTAACCTTTCCGTTCATAGAGCAGTTAGGAAACACACTGTTTGTAAAGTCTGTAAGTGGATATTCTGACATCTTGTGGCCTTCGTTGGAAACGGGATTTCTTCATATTCTGCTAGACAGAAGAATTCTCAGTAACTTTCCTTGTGTTGTGTGTATTCAACTCACAGAGTTGAACGATCCTTTACAGAGAGCAGACTTGAAACACTCTTTTTGTGGAATTTGCAAGTGGAGATTTCAGCCACTTTGAGGTCAATGGTAGAAAAGGAAATATCTTCGTATAAAGACTAGACAGATTGATTCTCAGAAACTCCTTTTTGATGTGTGTCTTCAACTCACAGAGTTTAAACTTTCTTTTCATAGAGCAGTTAGGAAACACTCTGTTTGTATACTCTGCAAGTGGATATTCAGACCTCTTTGAGGCCTTCTTTGGAAAAGGGATTTCTTCATATTGTGCTAGACAGAAGAATTCTCAGTAACTTTCCTTGTGTTGTGTGTATTCAACTCACAGAGTTGAACGATCCTTTACACAGAGCGGACTTGAAACACTCTTTTTGTGGAATTTGCAAGTGGAGATTTAAGCCGCGTTGAGGTCAATGGTAGAAAAGGAAATATCTTCGTATAAAAACTAGACAGAATGATTCTCCGAAACTCCTTTGTGATGTGTGCGTTCAACTCACAGAGTTTAACCTTTCTGTTCATAGAGCTGTTAGGAAACACTCTGTTTGTAAAGTCTGCAAGTGGATATTCAGACCTCCTTGAGGCCTTCGTTGGAAACGGGATTTCTTCATATTCTGCTAGACAGAAGAATTCTCAGTAACTTCCTTGTGTTGTGTGTATTCAACTCACAGAGTTGAACTGATCCTTTACACAGAGCAGACTTGAAACACTCTTTTTGTGGAATTTGCAAGTGGAGATTTCAGCCGCTTTGAGGTCAGTAGTAGAAAAGGAAATATCTTCGTAGAAAAACTAGACAGAATGATTCTCAGAAACTCCTTTGTGATGTGGGCGTTCAACTCACAGAGTTTAACCTTTCTTTTCATAGAGCAGTTAGGAAACACTCTGTTTGTAAAGTCTGCAAGTGGATACTTGGACTTCTTTGAGGCCTTCGTTGGAAACGGGTTTTTTTCATGTAAGGCTAGACAGATGAATTCTCAGTAACTTCCTTGTGTTGTGTGTATTCAACTCACAGAGTTGAACGATCCTTTACACAGAGCAGATTTGAAACACTGTTTTTCTGGAATTTGCAAGTGGAGATTTCAGCCGCTTTGAGGTCAATGGTAGAAAAGGAAATATCTTCGTATAAAAACTAGACAGAATGATTCTCAGAAACTCCTTTGTGATGTGTGCGTTCAACTCACAGAGTTTAACCTTTCTTTTCATAGAGCAGTTAGGAAACACTCTGTTTGTAAAGTCTGCAAGTGGATATTCAGACATCTTTGAGGCTTTCGTTGGAAACGGGATTTCTTCATATTCTGCTAGACAGCAGAATTCTCAGTAACTTCCTTGTGTTGTGTGTATTCAACTAACAGAGTTGAACGATCCTTTACACAGAGCAGACTTGAAACACTCTTTTTGTGGAATTTGCAAGTGGAGATTTCAGCCGCTTTGAGTTCAATGGTAGAATAGGAAATATCTTCCTATAGAAACTAGACAGAATGATTCTCAGAAAATCCTTTTTGATGTGTGCGTTCAACTCACAGAGTTTAACTTTTCTTTTCATAGAGCAGTTAGGAAACACTCTGTTTGTAAAGTCTGCAAGTGGATATTCAGACCTCTTTGAGGCCTTCGTTGGAAACGTTATTTCTTCATATTATGCTAGACAGAAGAATTCTCAGTAACTGCCTTGTGTTGTGTGTATTCAACTCACAGAGTTGAACGATCCTTTACACAGAGCAGACTTGAAACACTCCTTTTGTGGAATTTGCAAGTGGAGATTTCAGCCGCTTTGAAGTCAATGGTAGAATAGGAAATATCTTCCTATAGAAACTAGACAGAATGATTCTCATAAACTCCTTTGTGATGTGTGCGTTCAACTCACAGAGTTTAACCTTTCTTTTCATAGAGCATTTAGGAAACACTCTGTTTGTAAAGTCTGCAAGTGGATATTCAGACCTCTTTGAGGCCTTCGTTGAAAACGGGATTTCTTCATATTCTGCTAGACAGAAGAATTCTCAGAAACTTCCTTGTGTTGTGTGTTTTCAACTCACAGAGTTGAACGATCCTTTACACAGAGCAGACTTGAAACACTCCTTTTGTGGAATTTGCAAGTGGAGATTTCAGCCGCTTTGAGGTCAATGGTAGAATAGGAAATATCTTCCTATAGAAGGTAGACAGAATGATTCTCATAAACTCCTTTGTGATGTGTGCGTTCAACTCACAGAGTTTAACCTTTCTTTTCATAGAGCAGTTAGGAAACACTCTGTTTGTAAAGTATGCAAGTGGATATTCAGACCTCTTTGAGGCCTTCGTTGGAAACGGGATTTCTTCATATTATGCTAGACAGAAGAATTCTCAGTAACTTCCTTGTGTTGTGTGTATTCAACTCACAGAGTTGAACGATCCTTTACACAGAGCAGACTTGAAACACTCTTTTTGTGAAATTTGCAAGTGGAGATTTCAGCCGCTTTGAGGTCAATGGTAGAAAAGGGAATATCTTCGTATAGAAACTAGACAGAATGATTCTCAGAAACTCCTTTGTGATGTGTGCGTTCGACTCACAGAGTTGAACCTTTCTTTTAATAGAGCAGTTGGGAAACACTCTGTTTGTAAAGTCTGCAAGTGGATATTCAGACTTCTTTGAGGCCTTCGTTGGAAGCGGGATTTCTTCATATTCTGCTAGACAGAAGAATTCTCAGTAACTTCCTTGTGTTGTGTGTATTCAACTGACAGAGTTGAACGATCCTTTACACAGAGCAGACTTGAAACACTCTTTTTGGGGAATTTGCAAGTGGAGATTTCAGCCGCTATGGGGTCAATGGTAGAATAGGAAATATCTTCCTATAGAAACTAGACAGAATGATTCTCAGAAACTCCTTTGTGATGTGTGCGTTCAATTCACAGAGTTTAACTTTTCTTTTCATAGAGCAGTTAGGAAACACTCTGTTTGTAAAGTCTGCAAGTGAATATTCAGACCTCTTTGAGGCCTTCGTTGGAAACGGGATTTCTTCATATTATGCTAGACAGAAGAATTCTCAGTAACTTCCTTGTGTTGTGTGTATTCAATTCACAGAGTTGAACGATCCTTTACAGAGAGCAGGCTTGAAACACTCTTTTTGTGGAATTTGCAAGTGGAGATTTCATCCGCTTTGAGGTCAATGGTAGAATAGGAAATATCTTCCTATAGAAACTTGACAGAATGATTCTCAGAAACTCCTTTGTGATGTGTGCGTTCAACTCACAGAGTTCAACCTTTCTTTTCCTAGAGCAGTTGGGAAACACTCTGTTTGTAAAGTCTGCAAGTGGATATTCAGACATCCTTGAGGCTTTCGTTGGAAACGGGATTTCTTCATATTCTGCTATACAGAAGAATTCTCAGAAACTTCCTGGTGTTGTGTGTTTTCAACTCACAGAGTTCAACGATCCTTTACACAGAGTAGACTTGAAACACTCTTTTCGTGGAATTGGCAAGTGGAGATTTCAGCCGCTTTGAGGTCAATGGTAGAAAAGGAAATATCTTCGTATAAAAACTAGACAGAATGATTCTCAGAAACTCCTTTGTGATGTGTGCGTTCAACTCACAGAGTTTAACCTTTCTTTTCATAGAGCAGTTAGGAAACACTCTGTTTGTAAACTCTGCAAGTGGATATACAGACCTCTTTGAGGCCTTCGTTGGAAACGGGATTTCTTCATACTATGCTAGACAGAAGAATTCTCAGTAACTTCCTTGTGTTGTGTGTATTCAACTCACAGAGTTGAACGATCCTTTACACAGAGCAGACTTGATACATTCTTTTTGTGGAATTTGCAAGTGGAGATTTCAGCCGCTTTGAGGTCAATGGTAGAATAGGAAATATCTTCCTATAGAAACTAGACAGAATGATTCTCAGAAACTCCTTTGTGATGTGTGCGTTCAACTCACAGAGTTTAACCTTTCTTTTCATAGAGCAGTTAGGGAACACTCTGTTTGTAAAGTCTGCAAGTGGATATTCAGACCTCTTTGAGGCCTTCGTAGGAAACGGGATTTCTTCATATTATGCTAGACAGAAGAATTCTCAGTAACTTCCTTGTGTTGTGTGTATTCAACTCACAGAGTTGAACGATCCTTTACAGAGAGCAGACTTGAAACACTCTTTTTGTGGAATTTGCAAGTGGAGATTTCAGCCGCTTTGAGGTCAATTGTAGAAAAGGAAATATCTTCGTATAAAGACTAGACAGAATGATTCTCAGAAACTTCATTGTGATGTGTGCGTTCAACTCACGGAGTTTAACCTTTCTTTTCATAGAGCAGTTAGGAAACACTCTGTTTGTAAACTCTGCAAGTGGATATTCAGACCTCTTTGAGGCCTTCGTTGGAAACGGGATTTCTTCATACTATGCTAGACAGAAGAATTCTCAGTAACTTCCTTGTGTTGTGTGTATTCAACTCACAGAGTTGAACGATCCTTTACACAGAGCAGACTTGAAACACTCTTTTTGTGGAATTTGCAAATGGAGATTTCAAGCGCTTTGAGGCCAAAGGCAGAAAAGGAAATATCTTCGTATAAAAACTAGACAGAATGATTCTCAGAAACTCCTTTGTGATGTGTGCGTTCAACTCACAGAGTTTAACCTTTCTTTTCATAGAGCAGTTAGCAAACACTCTGTTTGTAAAGTCTGCAAGTGGATATTCAGACCTCTTTGAGGCCTTCGTTGGAAACGGGATTTCTTCATATTATGCTAGACAGAAGAATTCTCAGTAACCTCCTTGTGTTGTGTGTATTCAACTCACAGAGTTGAACGATGGTTTACACAGAGCAGAATTGAAACACTCTTTTTGTGGAATTTGCAAGTGGAGATTTCAGCCGCTTTGAGGACAATGGTAGAAAAGGAAATATCTTCGTATAAAAACTAGACAGAATGATTCTCAGAAACTCCTTTGTGATGTGTGCGTTCAACTCACAGAGTTTAACCTTTCTGTTCATAGAGCAATTGGGAAACACTCTGTTTGTAAAGTCTGCAAGTGGATATTCAGACCTCTTTGAGGCCTTCGTTGGAAACGGGATTTCTTCATATTCTGCTAGACAGAAGAATTCTCAGTAACTTCCTTGTGTTGTGTGTATTCAACTCACAGAGTTGAATGATCCTTTACACAGAACAGACTTGAAACACTCTTTTTGTGGAATTTGCAAGTGGAGATTTCAGCCGCTTTGAGGTCGACGGTAGAATAGGAAATATCTTCCTATAGAAACTAGACAGAATGATTCTCAGAAACTTCATTGTGATTTGTGCGTTCAACTCACAGAACTTTAACCTTTCTTTTCATAGAGCAGTTAGGAAACACTCTGTTTGTAAAGTCTGCAAGTGGATATTCAGACCTCTTTGAGGCCCTCGTTGGAAACTGGTTTTTTTCATGTAAGGCTAGACAGTAGAATTCTCAGAAACTTCCTTGTGTTGTGTGTTTTCAACTCCCAGAGTTGAACGATGCCTTACACAGAGTAGACTTGAAAAACTCTTTTTGTGGAATTTGCAAGTGGAGATTTCAGGCGCTTTGAGGTCAATAGTAGAAAAGGAAATATCTTCGTATAAAAACTAGACAGAATGATTCTCAGAAACTCCTTTGTGATGTGTGTGTTCAACTCACAGAGTTTAACCTTTCTTTTCATAGAGCAGTTAGGAAACACTCTGTTTGTAAAGTCTGCAAGTGGATATTCAGACCTCTTCGAGGCCTTCGTTGGAAACGGGTTTTTTTCATATAAGGCTAGACAGAAGAATTCTCAGTAACTTCCTTGTGTTGTGTGTATTCAACTCACAGAGTTGAACGATCCTTTACACAGAGCATACTTGAAACACTCTTCTTGTGGAATTTGCAAGTGGAGATTTCAGCCGCTTTGAGGTCCATGGTAGAATAGGAAATATCTTCCTATAGAAACTAGACAGAATGATTCTCAGAAACTCCTTTGTGATGTGTGCGTTCAACTCACACAGTTTAACCTTTCTTTTCATAGAGCAGTTAGGAAACACTCTGTTTGTAAAGTCTGCAAGTGGATATTCAGACCTCCTTGAGGTCTTCGTTGGAAACGGGATTTCTTCATATTTTGCTAGACAGAAGAATTCTCAGAAACTTCCTTGTGTTGTGTGTTTTCAACTCACAGAGTTCAACGATGCTTTACACAGAGTAGACTTGACACACTCTTTTTGTGGAATTTGCAAGAGGAGATTTCAGCCGCTTTGAGGTCAATGGTAGAAAAGGAAATATCTTCGTATAAAAACTAGACAGAATGATTCTCAGAAACTCCTTTGTGATGTGTGCGTTCAACTCACAGAGTTCAACCTTTCTTTTCATAGAGCAGTTGGGAAACACTCTGTTTGTAAAGTCTGCAAGTGGATATTCAGACTTCTTTGAGGCCTTCGGTGGAAGCGGGATTTCTTCATATTCTGCTAGACAGAAGAATTCTCAGTAACTTCCTTGTGTTGTGTGTATGCAACTCACAGAGTTGAACGATCCTTTACACAGAGCAGACTTGTAACACTCTTTTTGTGGAATTTGCAAGTGGAGATTTCAGCCGCTTTGAAGTCAAAGGTAGAAAAGGAAATATCTTCCTATAAAAACTAGACAGAATGATTCTCATGAACTCCTTTGTGATGTGTGCGTTCAACTCACAGAGTTTAACCTTTCTTTTCATAGAGCAGTTAGGAAACACTCTGTTTGTAAAGTCTGCAAGTGGATATTCAGACCTCCTTGAGGCCTTCGTTGGAAACGGTATTTCTTCATATTCTGCTAGACAGAAGAATTCTCAGTAGCTTCCTTGTGTTGTGTTTATTCAACTCACAGAGTTGAATGATCCTTTACACAGAGCAGACTTGAAACACTCTTTTTGTGGAATTTGCAAGTGGAGATTTCAGCCGCTTTGAGGTCAATGGTAGAAAAGTAAATATCTTCGTATAAAGACTAGACAGAATGATTCTCAGAAACTTCATTGTGATGTGTGCGTTCAACTCACAGAGTTTATCCTTTCTTTTCATAGAGCAGTTAGGAAACACTCTGTTTGTAAACTCTGCAAGTGGATATTCAGACCTCTTTGAGGCCTTCGTTGGAAACGGGATTTCTTCATACTGTGCTAGACAGAAGAATTCTCAGTAACTTCCTTGTGTTGTGTGTATTCAACTCACAGAGTTGAACGATCCTTTACACAGAGCGGACTTGAAACACTCGTTTTGTGGAATTTGCAAGTGGAGATTTCAGCCGTGTTGAGATAAATGGTAGAAAAGGAAATATCTTCGTATAAAAACTAGACAGAATGATTCTCAGAAACTCTTTTGTGATGTGTGCGTTCAACTCACAGAGTTTAACCTTTCTTTTCATAGAGCAGTTAGGAAACACTCTGTTTGTAAAGTCTGCAAGTGGATATTCAGACCTCCTTGAGGCCTTCGTTGGAAACGGGATTTCTTCATATTCTGCTAGACAGAAGAATTCTCAGTAACTTCCTTGTGTTGTGTGTATTCAACTCACAGAGTTGAACGACCCTTTACACAGAGCGGACTTGAAACACTCTTTTTGTGGAATTTGCAAGTGGAGATTTCAGCCGCGTTGAGGTCAATGGTAGAAAAGGAAATATCTTCGTACAAAAACTAGACAGAATCATTCCCACAAACTGCATTGTGATGTGTTCGTTCAACTCACAGAGTTTAACCTTTCTTTTCATAGAGCAGTTAGGAAACAGTCTGTTTGAAAATTCTGTAAGTGGATATTCTGACATCTTGTGGCCTTCGTTGGAAACGGGATTTCTTCATATTCTGCTAGACAGAAGAATTCTCAGAATCTTCCTTGTGTTGTGTGTATTCAACTCACAGAGTTGAACGATGGTTTACACAGAGCAGATTTGAAACACTCATTTGGTGGAATTTGCAAGTGGAGATTTCAGCCGCTTTGAGGTCAATGGTAGAAAAGGAAATACCTTCGTATAACAACTAGACAGAATGATTCTCATAAACTTCTTTGTGATGTGTGCATTCAACTCACAGAGTTTCACCTTTCTTTTCATAGAGCAGTTAGGAAACACTCTGTTTGTAAAGTCTGCAAGTGGATATTCAGACCTCCTTGAGGTCTTCGTTGGAAACGGGATTTCTTCATATTCTGCTAGATAGAAGAATTCTCAGTAACTTCCCTTGTGTTGTGTGTATTCAACTCACGGAGTTGAACGATCGTTTACACAGAGCAGACTTGAAACACTCTTTTTGTGGAATTTGCAAGTGGAGATTTCAGCCGCGTTGAGGTCAATGGTAGAAAAGGAAATATCTTCGTATAAAAACTAGACAGAATGATTCTGAGAAACTCCTTTGTGATGTGTGCGTTGAACTCACAGAGTTTATCTTTTCTTTTCATAGAGCAGTTAGGAAACACTCTGTTTGTAAAGTCTGCAAGTGGATATTCAGACCTCCTTGAGGCCTTCGTTGGAAACGGGATTTCTTCATATTATGCTAGACAGAATAATTCTCAGTAACTTCCTTGTGTTGTGTGTATTCAACTCACAGAGTTGAACGATCCTTTACACAGAGCAGACTTGAAACAATCTTTTTGTGGAATTTGCAAGTGGAGATTTCAGCCGCTTTGAGGTCAATGGTAGAATAGGAAATATCTTCCTATAGAAACTAGACAGAATGATTCTCAGAAACTCCTTTGTGATGTGTGCGTTCAACTCACAGAGTTCAACCTTTCTTTTCATAGAGCAGTTGGGAAACACTCTGTTTGTAAAGTCTGCAAGTGGATATTCAGACTTCTTTGAGGCCTTCGTTGGAAGCGGGATTTCTTCAAATTCTGCTAGACAGAAGAATTCTCAGAAACTTCCTTGTGTTGTGTGTATTCAACTCACAGAGTTGAACGATCGTTTACACAGAGCAGACTTGAAACACTCTTTTTGTGGAATTTGCAAGTGGAGATTTCAGCCGCTTTGAGGTCAATGGTAGAATAGGAAATATCTTCCTATAGAAACTAGACAGAATGATTCTCAGAAACTCCTTTGTGATGTGTGCGTTCAACTCACAGAGTTTAACCTTTCTTTTCATAGAGCAGTTAGGAAACACTCTGTTTGTAAAGTCTGCAAGTGGATATTCAGACCTCCTTGAGGCCTTCTTTGGAAACAGGATTTCTTCATATTCTGCTAGAAAGAAGAATTCTCAGTAACTTCCTTGTGTTGTGTGTATTCAACTCACAGAGCTGAACGATCCTTTACACAGAGCAGACTTGTAACACTCTTTTTGTGGAATTTGCAAGTGGAGATTTCAGCCGCTTTGAAGTCAAAGGTAGAAAAGGAAATATCTTCCTATAAAAACTAGACAGAATGATTCTCAGAAACTCATTTGTGATGTGTGTGTTCAACTCACAGAGTTTAACCTTTCTTTTCATAGAGCAGTTAGTAAACACTCTGTTTATAAAGTCTGCAAGTGGATATTCAGACCCCTTTGAGGCCTTCGTTGGAAACGGCATTTCTTCATATTATGCTAGACAGAAGAATTCTCAGAAACTTCCCTTGTGTTGTGTTTATTCAACTCACAGAGTCGAACGATCCTTTACTCAGAGCAGACTTGAAACACTCCATTTGTGGAATTTGCAAGTGGAGATTTCAGCCGCTTTGAGGTCAATGGTAGAATAGGAAATATCTTCCTATGGAAACTAGACAGAATGATTCTAAGAAACTCCTTTGAGATGTGTGCGTTCAACTCACAGAGTTTAACCTTTCTTTTCATAGAGCAGTTAGGAAACACTCTGTTTGTAAAGTCTGCAAGTGGATATTCAGACCTCTTTGAGGCCTTCCTTGGAAACGGGATTTCTTCATATTATGCTAGACAGAAGAATTCTCAGTAACTTCCTTGTGTTGTGTGTATTCAACTGACAGAGTTGAACTTTCATTTAGAGAGAGCAGATTTGAAACACTGTTTTTGTGGAATTTGCAAGTGGAGATTTCAAGCGCTTTGGGGCCAAAGGCAGAAAAGGAAATACCTTCGTATAAAAACTAGACAGAATCATTCTCAGCAAACTGCTCTGTGATGTGTGCGTTCAACTCTCAGAGTTTAACTTTTCTTTTCATTCAGCAGTTTGGAAACACTCTGTTTGTAAAGTCTGCACGTGGATAATTTGACCACTTAGAGGCCTTCGTTGGAAACGGGTTTTTTTCATGTAAGGCTAGACAGAAGAATTCCCAGTAACTTCCTTGTGTTGCGTGCATTCAACTCACAGAGTTGAACTTTCCCTTAGACAGAGCAGATTTGAAACACTCTATTTGTGCAATTTGCAAGTGTAGATTTCAAGCGCTTTAAGGTCAATGGCAGAAAAGGAAATATCTTCGTTTCAAAACTAGACAGAATCATTCCCACAAACTGCGTTGTGATGTGTTCGTTCAACTCACAGAGTTTAACCTTTCTGTTCATAGAGCAGTTAGGAAACACTCTGTTTGTAAAGTCTGCAAGTGGATATTCAGACCTCCTTGAGGCCTTCGTTGGAAACGGGATTTCTTCATTTTCTGCTAGACAGAAGAATTCTCAGTAACTTCCTTGTGTTGTGTGTATTCAACTCACAGAGTTGAAGGATCCTTTACAGAGAGCAGGCTTGAAACACTCTTTTTGTCGAATTTGCAAGTGGAGATTTCAGCCGCTTTGAGGTCAATAGTAGAAAAGGAAATATCTTCGTAGAAAAACTAGACAGAATGATTCTCAGAAACTCCTTTGTGATGTGTGCGTTCAACTCACAGAGTTTAAACTTTCTTTTCATAGAGCAGTTGGGAAACACTCTGTTTGTAAAGTCTGCAAGTGGATATTCAGACATCCTTGAGGCTTTCGTTGGAAACGGGATTTCTTCATATTCTGCTAGAAAGAAGAGTTCCCACTAACTTCCATGTGTTGTGTGTGTTCAACTCACAGAGTTGAACTTTCATTTACACAGAGCAGATTTGAAACACTCTTTTTGTGGAATTTGCAAATGGAGATTTCAAGCGGTTTGAGGCCAAAGGCAGAAAAGGAAATATCTTCGTATAAAAACTAGACAGAATCATTCTGAGAAACTGCTCTGCGATGTGTGCGTTCAACTCTCAGAGTTTAACTTTTCTTTTCATTCAGCAGTTTGGAAACACTCTGTTTGTAAAGTCTGCACGTGGATAATTTGACCACTTAGAGGCCTTCGTTGGAAACGGGTTTTTTTCATGTAAGGCTAGACAGAAGAATTCTCAGTAACTTCCTTGTGTTGTGTGTATTCAACTCACACAGTTGAACGATCCTTTACACAGAGCAGACTTGTAACACTCTTTTTGTGGAATTTGAAAGTGGAGATTTCAGCCGCTTTGAAGTCAAAGGTAGAAAAGGAAATATCTTCCTATAAAAACTAGACAGAATGATTCTCAGAAACTCCTTTGTGATGTGTGCGTTCAACTCACAGAGTTTAACCTTTCTTTTCATAGAGCAGTTAGGAAACACTCTGTTTGTAAAGTCTGCAAGTGGATATTCAGACCTCTTTGAGGCCTTCGTTGGAAACGGGTTTTTTTCATATAAGGCTTGACAGAAGAATTCTCAGTAACTTCCTTGTGTTGTGTGTATTCAAGTGACAGAGTTGAACGATCCTTTACACAGAGCAGACTTGAAACACTCTTTTTGTGGAATTTGCAAGGGGAGATTTCAAGCGCTTTGGGGCCAAAGGCAGAAAAGGAAATATCTTCGTATAAAAACTAGACAGAATCATTCTCAGAAACTGCTCTGCGATGTGTGCGTTCAACTCTCAGGGTTTAACTTTTCTTTTCATTCAGCAGTTTGGAAGCACTCTGTTTGTAAAGTCTGCAAGTGGATATTTTGACCTCTTTGAGGCCTTCGTTGGAAACGGGTTTTTTTCATGTAAGTCTAGACAGAAGAATTCCCAGTAACTTCCTTGTGTTGTGTGCATTCAACTCACAGAGTTGAACGTTCCCTTAGACACAGCAGATTTGAAACACTCTATTTGTGCAATGTGCAAGTGTAGATTTCAAGCGCTTTAAGGTCAATGGCAGAAAAGGAAATATCTTCGTTTCAAAACTAGACAGAATCATTCCCACAAACTGCGTTGTGATGTGTTCGTTCAACTCACAGAGTTTTACCTTTCTGTTCATAGAGCAGTTAGGAAACACTCTGTTTGTAAAGTCTGTAAGTGGATATTCTGACATCCTTGTGGCCTTCGTTGGAAAAGGGATTTCTTCATATTCTGCTAGACAGAAGAATTCTCAGTAACTTCCTTGTGTTGTGTGTATTCAACTCACAGAGTTGAACGATCCTTTACACAGAGCAGACTTGAAACGTTCTTTTTGTGGAATTTGCAAGTGGAGATTTCAGCCGCTTTGAGGTCAATCGTAGAATAGGAAATATCTTCCTATAGAAACTAGACAGAATGATTCTCAGAAACTCCTTTGTGATGTGTGCGTTCAACTCACAGAGTTTAACCTTTCTTTTCATAGAGCAGTTAGGAAACACTCTGTTTGTAAAGTCTGCAAGTGGATATTCAGACATCCTTGAGGCTTTCGTTGGAAACGGGATTTATTCATATTCTGCTAGACAGAAGAATTCTCAGTAACTTCCTTGTGTTGTGTGTGTTCAACTCACAGAGTTGAACTTTCATTTACACAGAGCAGATTTGAAACACTCTTTTTGTGGAATTTGCAAGTGGAGATTTCAGCCGCTTTGAAGTCAAATGTAGAAAAGGAAATATCTTCCTATAAAAACTAGACAGAATGATTCTCAGAAACTCCTTTGTGATGTGTGCGTTGAACTCACAGAGTTTAACCTTCCTTTTCATAGAGCAGTTAGGAAACACTCTGTTTGTAAAGTCTGCAAGTGGATATTCAGACCTCTTTGAGGCCTTCGTTGGAAACGGGTTTTTTTCATATAAGGCTAGACAGAAGAATTCCCAGTAACTTCCTTGTGTTGTGTGTGTTCAACTCACAGAGTTGAACTTTCATTTACAGAGAGCAGATTTGAAACACTCTTTTTGTGGAATTTGCAAGTGGAGATTTCAAGCGCTTTGAGGCCAACGGCAGAAAAGGAAATATCTTCGTATAAAAACTAGACAGAATGATTCTCAGAAACTTCTTTGTGATGTGTGCGTTCAACTCACAGAGTTTAACCTTTCTTTTCATAGAGCAGTTAGGAAACACTCTGTTTGTAAACTCTGCAAGTGGATAGTCAGACCTCTTTGAGGCCTTCGTTGGAAACGGGATTTCTTCATACTATGCTAGACAGAAGAATTCTCATTAACTTCCTTGTGTTGTGTGTATTCAACTCACAGAGTTGAACGATCCTTTACACAGAGCGGACTTGAAACACACTTTTTGTGGAATTTGCAAGTGGAGATTTCAGCCGCGTTGAGGTCAATGGTAGAAAAGGAAATATCTTCGTATAAAAACTAGACAGAATGATTCTCAGAAAATCCTTTGTGATGTGTGCGTTCAACTCACAGAGTTTAACTTTTCCTTTCATAGAGCAGTTAGGAAACACTCTGTTTGTAAAGTCTGCAAGTGGATATTCAGACCTCTTTGAGGCCTTCGTTGGAAACGGGATTTCTTCATATTATGCTAGACAGAAGAATTCTCAGAAACTTCCTTGTGTTGTGTGTATTCAACTCACAGAGTTGAACGATCCTTTACACAGAGCAGACTTCTAACACACTTTTTGTGGAATTTGCAAGTGGAGATTTCAGCCGCTTTGAGGTCAATGGTAGAAAAGGAAATATCTTCGTATAAAAACTAGACAGAATGATTCTCAGAAACTCCTTTGTGATGTGTGCGTTGAACTCACAGAGTTTAACTTTTCTTTTCATTCAGCAGTTTGGATACACTCTGTTTGTAAAGTCTGCACGTGGATATTTTGAGCACTTAGAGGCCTTCGTTGGAAACGGGTTTTTTTCATGTAAGGCTAGGCAGAAGAATTCCCAGTAACTTCCTTGTGTTGTGTGAATTCAACTCACAGTGTTGAACGTTCCCTTAGACAGAGCATATTTGAAACACTCTATTTGTGCAATTTGCAAGTGTAGATTTCAAGCGCTTTAAGGTCAATGGCAGAAAAGGAAATATCTTCGTTTCAAAACTAGACAGAATCATTCCCACAAACTGCGTTGTGATGTGTTCGTTCAACTCACAGAGTTTAACCTTTCTGTTCATAGAGCATTTAGGAAACACTCTGTTTGTAAAGTCTGTAAGTGGATATTCTGACATCTTGTGGCCTTCGTTGGAAACGGGATTTCTTCATATTCTGCTAGACAGAAGAATTCTCAGTAACTTTCCTTGTGTTGTGTGTATTCAACTCACAGAGTTGAACGATCCTTTACACAGAGCAGACTTGAAACACTCTTTTTGTGGAATTTGCAAGTGGAGATTTCAGCCGCGTTGAGGTCAATGTTAGAAAAGGAAATATCTTCGTATAAAAACTAGACAGAATGATTCTCAGAAACTCCTTTGTGATGTGTGCGTTCAACTCACAGAGTTTAACCTTTCTTTTCATAGAGCAGTTAGGAAACACTCTGTTTGTAAACTCTGCAAGTGGATATTCAGACCTCTTTGAGGCCTTCGTTGGAAACGGGATTTCTCCATACTGTGCTAGACAGAAGAATTCTCAGTAACTTCCTTGTGTTGTGTGTATTCAACTCACAGAGTTGAACGATCCTTTACACAGAGCAGACTTGAAACACTCTTTTTGTGGAATTTGCAGGTGGAGATTTCAGCCGCTTTGAGGTCAATGGTAGAAAAGGAAATATCTTCGTATAAAGACTAGACAGAATGATTCTCAGAAACTCCTTTGTGATGTGTGCGTTCAGCTCACAGAGTTTAACGTTTCTTTTCATAGAGCAGTTAGGAAACACTCTGTTTGTAAAGTCTGCAAGTGGATATTCAGACCTCTTTGAGGCCTTCGTTGGAAACGGGTTTTTTTCATATAAGGCTAGACAGAAGAATTCCCAGTAACTTCCCTTGTGTTGTGTGTGTTCAACACACAGAGTTGAACTTTCATTTACACAGAGCAGATTTGAAACACTCTTTTTGTGGAATTTGCAAGTGGAGATTTCAAGCGCTTTGAGGCCAAAGGCAGAAAAGGAAATATCTTCGTTTCAAAACTAGACAGAATCATTCTCAGAAACTGCTGCGTGATGTGTGCGTTCAACTCTCAGACTTTAACTTTTCTTTTCATTCAGCGGTTTGGAAACACTCTTTTTGTAAAGTCTGCACGTGGATATTTTGACCACTTAGAGGCCTTCGTTGGAAACGGGTTTTTTTCATGTAAGGCTAGACAGAAGAATTCCCAGTAACTTCCTTGTGTTGTGTGCATTCAACTCACCAATTTGAACGTTCCCTTAGACAGAGCAGATTTGAAACACTCTATTTGTGCAATTTGCAATTGTAGATTTCAAGCCCTTTAAGGTCAACGGCAGAAAAGGAAATATCTTCGTTTCAAAACTAGACAGAATCATTCCCACAAACTGCGTTGTGATGTGTTCGTTTAACTCACAGAGTTTAACCTTTCTTTTCATAGAGCAGTTAGGAAACAGTCTGTTTGTAAATTCTGTAAGTGGATATTCTGACATCTTGTGGCCTTCGTTGGAAACGGGATTTCTTCATATTCTGCTAGACAGAAGAATTCTCAGAAACTTCGTTGTGTTGTGTGTTTTCAACTCACAGAGTTCAACGATCCTTTACACAGAGTAGACTTGAAACACTCTTTTTGTGGAATTGGCAGGGTGGAGATTTCAGCCGCTTTGAGGTCAATGGTAGAAAAGGAGATATCTTCGTATAAAAACTAGACAGAATGATTCTCAGAAACTCCTTTGTGATGTGTGCTTTCAACGCACAGAGTTTAACCTTTCTTTTCATAGAGCAGTTAGGAAACACTCTGTTGGTAAAGTCTGCAAGTGGATATTCAGACCTCCTTGAGGCCTTCGTTGGAAACGGGATTTCTTCCTATTATGCTAGACAGAAGAATTCTGAGTATCTTCCTTGTGTTGTGTGTATTCAACTCACAGAGTTGAACGATCCTTTACACAGAGCAGACTTGAAACACTCTTTTTGTGGAATTTGCAAGTGGAGATTTCAGCCGCTTTGAGGTCAATGGTAGAAAAGGGAATATCTTCGTATAGAAACTAGACAGAATTATTCTCAGAAACTCCTTTGTGATGTGTGCGTTCAACTCACAGAGTTTAACCTTTCTTTTCATAGAGCAGTTAGGAAACACTCTGTTTGTAAAGTCTGCAAGTGGATATTCAGACATCTTTGAGGCTTTCGTTGGAAACGGGATTTCTTCATATTCTGCTAGACAGAAGAATTCCCAGTAACTTCCTTGTGTTGTGTGTGTTCAACTCACAGAGTTGAACTTTCATTTACACAGAGCAGATTTGAAACACTCTTTTTGTTGAATTTGCAAGTGGAGATTTCAAGCGGTTTGAGGCCAAAGGTAGAAAAGGAAATATCTTCGTTTCAAAACTAGACAGAATCATTCTCAGAAACTGCTCTGCGATGTGTGCGTTGAACTCTCAGAGTTTAACTTTTCTTTTCATTCAGCAGTTTGGAAACACTCTGTTTGTAAAGTCTGCACGTGGATATTTTGACCACTTAGAGGCCTTCGTTGGAAACGGGTTTTTTTCCTATAAGGCTAGACAGAAGAATTCCCAGTAACTTCCTTGTGTTGTGTGCATTCAACTCACAGAGATGAACGTTCCCTTAGACAGAGCAGATTTGAAACACTCTATTTGTGCAATTTGCAAGTGTAGATTTCAAGCGCTTTAAGGTCAAAGGCAGAAAAGAAAATATCTTCGTTTCAAAACTAGACAGAATCATTCCCACAAACTGCGTTGTGATGTGTTCGTTGAACTCACAGAGTTTAACCTTTCTGTTCATAGAGCAGTTAGGAAACACTCTGTTTGTAAAGTCTGTAAGTGGATATTCTGACCTCTTGTGGCCTTCGTTGGAAACGGGATTTCTTCATATTCTGCTAGACAGAAGAATTCTCAGTAACTTCCTTGTGTTGTGTGTATTCAACTCACAGAGTTGAACGATCCCTTACACAGAGCAGACTTGAAACACTCTTTTTGTGGAATTTGCAAGTGGAGATTTCAGCCGCTTTGAGGTCAATGGTAGAAAAGGAATTATCTTCGTATAAAGACTAGACAGAATGATTCTCAGAAACTTCTTTGTGATGTGTGCGTTCAACTCACAGAGTTTAACCTTTCTTTTCATAGAGCAGTTAGGAAACACTCTGTATGTAAACTCTGCAAGTGGATATTCAGACCTGTTTGAGGCCTTCGTTGGAAACGGGATTTCTTCATACTATGCTAGACAGAAGAATTCTCAGTAACTTCCTTGTGTTGTGTGTATTCAACTCACAGAGTTGAACGATCCTTTACACAGAGCAGACTTGAAACACTCTTTTTGTGGAGTTTGCAATTGGCGATTTCAGCCGCTTTGAGGTCAATGGTAGAATAGGAAATATCTTCCTATAGAAACTAGACAGAATGATTCTCAGAAACTCCTTTGTGATGTGTGCGTTCAACTCACAAAGTTTAACCTTTCTTTTCATAGAGCAATTAGGAAACACTCTGTTTTTAAAGTCTGCAAGTGGATATTCAGACCTCTTAGCGGCCTTCGTTGGAAACGGGATTTCTTCATATTATGCTAGACAAAAGAATTCTCAGTAACTTCCTTGTGTTGTGTGTATTCAACTGACAGAGTTGAACTTTCATTTAGAGAGAGCAGTTTTGTAACACTGTTTTTGTGGAATTTGCAAGTGGAGATTTCAAGCGCTTTGGGGCCAAAGGCAGAAAAGGAAATATCTTCGAATAAAAACTAGACAGAATCATTCTCAGAAACTGCTCTGCGATGTGTGCGTTCAACTCTCAGAGTTTAACTTTTCTTTTCATTCAGCAGTTTGGAAACACTCTGTTTGTAAAGTCTGCACGTGGATAATTTGACTACTTAGAGGCCTTCGTTGGAAACGGGTTTTTTTCATGTAAGGCTAGACAGAAGAATTCTCAGTAACTTCCTTGAGTTGTGTGTATTCAACTCACAGAGTTGCACGATCCTTTACACAGAGCAGACTTGTAACACTCTTTTTGTGGAATTTGCAAGTGGAGATTTCAGCCGCTTTGAAGTCAAAGGTAGAAAAGGAAATATCTTCCTATAACAACTAGACAGAATCATTCCCACAAACTGCGTTGTGATGTGTTCGTTCATCTCACAGAGTTTAACCTTTCTTTTCATAGAGCAGTTAGGAAACACTCTGTTTGTAAATTCTGTGAGTGGATATTCTGACATCTTGTGGCCTTCGTTGGAAACGGGATTTCTTCATATTCTGCTAGACAGAAGTATTCTCAGTAACTTCCTTGTGATGTGTGTATTCAACTCACAGAGTTGAACGATCCTTTACACAGAGCAGACTTGAAACACTCTTTTTGTGGAATTTGCAAGTGGAGATTTCAGCCGCTTTGAGTTCAATGGTAGAATAGGAAATATCTTCCTATAGAAACTAGACAGAATGATTCTCAGAAACTCCTTTGTGATGTGTGTGTTCAACTCACAGAGTTTAACCTTTCTTTTCATAGAGCAGTTAGTAAACAGTCTGTTTATAAAGTCTGCAAGTGGATATTCAGACCCCTTTGAGGCCTTCGTTGGAAACGGGATTTCTACATATTATGCTAGACAGAAGAATTCTCAGTAACTTCATTGTGTTGTGTGTATTCAACTCACAGAGTTGAACGATCCTTTACACAGAGCAGACTTGAAACACTCTTTTTCTGGAATTTGCAAGTGGAGATTTCAGCCGCTTTGAGGTCAATGGTAGAATAGGAAATATCTTCCTATAGAAACTAGACAGAATGATTCTCAGAAACTCCTTTGTCATGTGTGCGTTCAACTCACAGAGTTTAACCTTTCTTTTCATAGAGCAGTTAGGAAACACTCTGTTTCTAAAGTCTGCAAGTGGATATTCAGACCTCTTTGAGGCCTTCGTTGGAAACGGGTTTTTTTCATATAAGGCTAGAGAGAAGAATTCCCAGTAACTTCCTTGTGTTGTGTGTGTTCAACTCACAGAGTTGAACTTTCATTTACACAGAGCAGATTTGAAACACTCTTTTTGTGGAATTTGCAAGTGGAGATTTCAAGCGCTTTGAGGCCAAAGGCAGAAAAGGAAATATCTTCGTGTAAAAACTAGACAGAATCATTCTCAGAAACTGCTCTGCGATGTGTGTGTTCAACTCTCAGAGTTTAACTTTTCTTTTCATTCAGCAGTTTGGAAGCACTCTGTTTGTAAAGTCTGCACGTGGATAATTTGACCACTTAGAGGCCTTCGTTGGAAACGGGTTTTTTTCCTGTAAGGCTAGACAGAAGAATTCCCAGTAACTTCCTTGTGTTGTGTACATTCAACTCACAGAGTTGAACGTTCCCTTAGACAGAGCAGATTTGAAACACTCCTTTTGTGCAATTGGCAAGTGGAGATTTCAAGCGCTTTAAGGTCAATGGCAGAAAAGGAAATATCTTCGTTTCAAAACTAGACAGAATCATTCCCACAAACTGCGTTGTGAGGTGTTCGTTCAACTCACAGAGTTTAACCTTTCTTTTCATAGAGCAGTTAGGAAACAGTCTGTTTGTAAATTCTGTAAGAGGATATTCTGACATCTTGTGGCCTTCGTTGGAAACGGGATTTCTTCATATTCTGCTAGACAGAAGAATTCTCAGTAACTTCCTTGTGTTGTGTGTATTCAACTCACAGAGTTGAATGATCCTTTACACAGAACAGTCTTGAAACACTCTTTTTGTGGAATTTGCAAGTGGAGATTTCAGCCGCTTTGAGGTCAATGGTAGAATAGGAAATATCTTCCTATAGAAACTAGGCAGAATGATTCTCAGAAACTTCTTTGTGATGTGTGTGTTCAACTCACACAGTTTAACCTTTCTTTTCATAGAGCAGTTAGGAAACACTGTGTTTTTAAACTCTGCAAGTGGATATTCAGACCTCTTTGAGGCCTTCGTTAGAAACGGGTTTCTTCATACTGTGCTAGACAGAAGAATTCTCAGTAACTTCCTTGTGTTGTGTGTATTCAACTCACAGAGTTGAACGATCCTTTACACAGAGCAGACTTGTAACACTCTTTTTGTGGAATTTGCAAGTGGAGATTTCAGCCGCTTTGAAGTGAAAGGTAGAAAAGGAAATATCTTCCTATAAAAACTAGACAGAATGATTCTCAGAAACTCCTTTGTGATGTGTGCGTTCAACTCACAGAGTTTAACGTTTCTTTTCATAGAGCAGTTAGGAAACACTCTGTTTGTAAAGTCTGCAAGTGGATATTCAGACCTCTTTGAGGCCTTCGTAGGAAACGGGTTTTTTTCATATAAGGCTAGACAGAAGAATTCCCAGTAACTTCCTTGTGTTGTGTGTGTTCAACTCACAGAGTTGAACTTTGATTTACACAGGAGCAGATTTGAAACACTCTTTTTGTGGAATTTGCAAGTGGAGATTTCAAGCGCTTTGAGGCCAAAGGCAGAAAAGGAAATATCTTCGTATAAAAACTAGACAGCATCATTCTCAGAAACTGCTCTGCGATGTGTGCGTTCAACTCTCAGAGTTTAACTTTTCTTTTCATTCAGCAGTTTGGAAACACTCTGTTTGTAAAGTCTGCACGTGGATATTTTGACCACTTAGAAGCCTTCGTTGGAAATGGGTTTTTTTCCTGTAAGGCTAGACAGAAGAATTCCCAGTAACTTCCTTGTGTTGTGTGCATTCCACTCACAGAGTTGAACGTTCCCTTAGACAGAGCAGATTTGAAACACTCTATTTGTGTAATTTGCAAGTGTAGATTTCAAGCGCTTTAAGGTCAACGGCAGAAAAGGAAATATCTTCGTTTCAAAACTAGACAGAATGATTCCCACAAACTGCGTTGTGATGTGTTCGTACAACTCACAGAGTTTAACCTTTCTGTTCATAGAGCAGTTAGGAAACACTCTGTTTGTAAAGTCTGTAAGTGGATATTCAGACATCTTGTGGCCTTCGTTGGAAACGGGATTTCTTCATATTCTGCTAGACAGAAGAATTCTCAGAATCTTCCTTGTGTTGTTTGTATTCAACTCACACAGTTGAACGATCCTTTACACAGAGCAGATTTGAAACACTCATTTGGTGGAATTTGTAAGTGGAGGTTTCAGCCGCTTTGAGGTCCATGGTAGAAAAGGAAATATCTTCGTATAACAACTAGACAGAATGATTCTCAAAAACTTCTTTGTGATGTGTGCGTTCAACTAACAGAGTTTAACCTTTCTTTTCATAGAGCAGTTAGGAAACACTCTGTTTGTAAACTCTGCAAGTGGATATTCAGACCTCTTTGAGGCCTTCGTTGGAAACGGGATTTCTTCATACTGTGCTAGACAGAAGAATTCTCAGTAACTTCTTTGTGTTGTGTGTATTCAACTCACAGAGTTGAACGATCCTTTACACAGAGCAGACTTGAAACACTCTTTTTGTGGAATTTGCATGTGGAGATTTCAGCCGCTTTGAGGTCAATGGTAGAATAGGAAATATCTTCCTATAGAAACTAGACAGAATGATTCTCAGAAACTCCTTTGTGATGTGTGCGTTCAACTCACAGAGTTCAACCTTTCTTTTCATAGAGCAGTTGGGAAACACTCTGTTTGTAAAGTCTGCAAGTGGATATTCAGAGTTCTTTGAGGCCTTCGTTGGAAGCGGGATTTCTTCATATTCTGCTAGACAGAAGAATTCTCAGTAACTCCCTTGTGTTGTGTGTATTCAACTCACAGAGTTGAACGATCCTTTACACAGAGCAGACTTGTAACACTCTTTTTGTGGAATTTGCAAGTGGAGATTTCAGCCACTTTGAAGTCAAAGGTAGAAAAGGAAATAACTTCCTATAAAAACTAGACAGAATGATTCTCAGAAACTCCTTTGTTATGTGTGCGTTCAACTCACAGAGTTTAACCTTTCTTTTCATAGAGCAGTTAGGAAACACTCTGTTTGTAAAGTCTGCAAGTGGATATTCAGACCTCCTTGAGGCCTTCGTTGGAAGCGGGATTTCTTCATGTTCAGCTAGACAGAAGAATTCTCAGTAACTTTCCTTGTGTTGTGTGTATTCAACTCACAGAGTTGAACGATCCTTTACACAGAGCAGACTTGAAACACTCTTTTTGTGGAATTTGCAAGTGGAGATTTCAGCCGCTTTGAGGTCAAAGGTAGAAAAGGAAACTATGTTCGTATAAAGAGTAGACAGAATGATTCTCAGAAACTCCTTTGTGATATGTGCGTTCAACTCACAGAGTTTAACCTTTATTTTCATAGAGCAGTTAGGAAACACTCTGTTTGTAAAGTCTGCAAGGGGATATTCAGACCTCTTTGAGGCTTTCGTTGGAAACGGGATTTCTTCATATTCTGCTAGACAGAAGAATTCTCAGTAACTTCCTTGTGTAGTGTGCATTCAACTCACAGAGTTCAACGATCCTTTACACAGAGCTGATTAGAAACACTTTTTTTGTTGAATTTGCAAGTGGAGATTTCAGCCGCTTTGAGGTCAATGGTAGAAAAGGAAATATCTTCGTATAAAAACTAGACAGAATGATTCTCAGAAACTCCTTTGTGATGTGTACGTTCAACTCACAGAGTTTAACCTTTCTTTTCTTAGAGCAGTTAGGAAACACTCTGTTTGTAATGTCTGCAAGTGGATATTCAGACCTCTTTGAGGCCTTCGTTGGAAACGGGTTTTTTTCATATAAGGCTAGACAGAAGAATTCTCAGAAACTTCCTTGTGTTGTGTGTTTTCAACTCACAGAGTTGAACGATCCTTTACACAGAGCAGACTTGAAACACTTCTTTTGTGGAATTTGCAAGTGGAGATTTCATCCGCTTTGAGGTCAATGGTAGAATAGGAAATATCTTCCTATAGAAAGTAGACAGAATGATTCTCAGAAACTCCTTTGTGCTGTGTGCGTTCAGCTCACAGAGTTTAACCTTTCTTTTCATAGAGCAGTTAGGAAACACTCTGTTTGTAAAGTCTGCAAGTGGATATTCAGACCTCTTTGAGGCCTTCGTTGGAAACGGGATTTCTTCATATTCTGCTAGACAGAAGAATTCTCAGAATCTTCCTTGTGTTGTGTGTATTCAACTCACAGAGTTGAAAGACCCTTTACACAGAGCGGACTTGAAACACTCTTTTTGTGGAATTTGCAAGTGGAGATTTCAGCCGCGTTGAGGTCAATGGTAGAAAAGGAAATATCTTCGTATAAAAACTAGACAGAATGATTCTCAGAAACTCCTTTGTGATGTGTGCGTTCAACTCACAGAGTTTAACCTTTCTTTTCATAGAGCAGTTAGGAAACACTCTGTTTGTAAAGTCTGCAAGTGGATATTCAGACCTCTTTGAGGCCTTCGTTGGAAACGGGATTTCCTCATATTATGCTAGACAGAAGAATTCTCAGTAACTTCCTTGTGTTGTGTGTATTCAACTCACAGAGTTCAATGATCCTTTACACAGAACAGACTTGAAACACTCTTGTTGTGGAATTTGCAAGTGGAGAATTCAGCCGCTTTGAGGTCAACGGTAGAAAAGGAAATATCTTCCTATAGAAACTAGACAGAATGATTCTCAGAAACTCCTTTGTGATGTGTGCGTTCAACTCACAGAGTTTAGCCTTTCTTTTCATAGAGCAGTTAGGAAACACTCTGTTTGTAAAGTCTGCAAGTGGATATTCAGACCTCTTTGAGGCCTTCGTTGGAAACGGGATTTCTTCATATTCTGCTAGACAGAAGAATTCTCAGTAACTTCCTTGTGTTGTGTGTATTCAACTCACAGAGTTGAACGATCCTTTACACAGAGCGGACTTGAAACACTCTTTTTGTGGAATTTGCAAGTGGAGATTTCAGCCGCATTGAGGTCAATGGTAGAAAAGGAAATCTCTTCGTATAAAAACTAGACAGAATGATTGTCAGAAACTCCTTTGTGATGTGTGCGTTCAACTCACAGAGTTTAACCTTTCTTTTCATAGAGCAGTTAGGAAACACTCTGTTTGTAAAGTCTGCAAGTGGATATTCAGACATCTTTGAGGCTTTCGTTGGAAACGGGATTTCATCATATTCTGCTAGACAGAAGAATTCTCAGAAACTTCCTTGTGTTTTGTGTTTTCAACTCACGGAGTTGAACGATGCTTTACACAGAGTAGACTTGAAACACTCTTTTTGTGGAATTTGCAATTGGAGATTTCAGCCGCTTTGAGGTCAATGGTAGAAAAGGAAATATCTTCGTATAAAAACTAGACAGAATGATTCTCAGAAACTTCTTTGTGATGTGTGCGTTCAACTCACAGAGTTTAACCTTTCTTTTCATAGAGCAGTTAGGAAACACTCTGTTTCTAAACTCTGCAAGTGGATATTCAGACCTCCTTGAGGCCTTCGTTGGAAACGGGATTTCTTCATACTATGGTAGACAGAAGAATTCTCAGAATCTTCCTTGTGTTGTGTGTATTCAACTCACAGAGTTGAACGATCCTTTACACAGAGCAGACTTGAAACACTCTTTTTGTGGAATTTGCAAGTGGAGATTTCAGCCGCTTTGAGGTCAATGGCAGAAAAGGAAATATCTTCGTATGAAAACTAGACAGAATGATTCTCAGAAACTCCTTTGTGATGTGTGCGTTCAACTCACAGAGTTTAACCTTACTTTTCATAGAGCAGTTAGGAAACACTCTGTTTGTAAAGTCTGCAAGTGGATATTCAGACCTCTTTGAGGCCTTCGTTGGAAACGGGATTTCTTCATATTCTGCTAGACAGAAGAATTCTCAGTAACTTCCTTGTGTTGTGTGTATTCAACTCACAGAGTTGAACGATCCTTTACACAGAGCAGACTTGAAACACTCCTTTTGTGGAATTTGCAAGTGGAGATTTCAGCCGCTTTGAGGTCAATAGTAGAAAAGGAAATATCTTCGTAGAAAAACTAGACAGAATGATTCTCAGAAACTCCTTTGTGATGTGTGCGTTCAACTCACAGAGTTTAACTTTTCTTTTCATAGAGCAGTTAGGAAACATTCTGTTTGTAAAGTCTGCAAGTGGATATTCAGACCTCTTTGTGGCCTTCGTTGGAAACGGGATTTCTTCATATTCTGCTAGACAGAAGAATTCTCAGTAACTTCCTTGTGTTGTGTGTATTCAACTGACAGAGTTGAACTTTCATTTAGAGAGAGCAGATTTGAAACACTGTTTTTGTGGAATTTGCAAGTGGAGATTTCAAGCTCTTTGGGGCCAAAGGCAGAAAAGGAAATATCTTCGTAGAAAAACTAGACAGAATCATTCTCAGAAACTGCTCTGCGATGTGTGCGTTCAACTCTCAGAGTTTAACTTTTCTTTTCATTCAGCAGTTTGGAAACACTCTGTTTGTAAAGTCTGCACGTGGATAATTTGACCACCGAGAGACCTTCGTTGGAAACGGGTTTTTTTCATGTAAGGCTAGACAGAAGAATTCCCAGTAACTTCCTTGTGTTGTGTGCATTCAACTCACAGAGTTGAACGTTCCCTTAGACAGAGCAGATTTGAAACACTCTATTTGTGCAATTTGCAAGTGTAGATTTCAAGATCTTTAAGGTCAACGGCAGAAAAGGAAATATCTTCGTTTCAAAACTAGACAGAATGATTCTCATAAACTCCTTTGTGATGTGTGCGTTTAACTCACAGAGTTTAACTTTTCTTTTCATAGAGCAGTTAGGAAACACTCTGTTTGTAAAGTCTATAAGTGGATATTCTGACATCTTGTGGCCTTCGTTGGAAACGGGATTTCTTCATATTCTGCTAGACAGAATAATTCTCAGTAAATTCCTTGTGTTGTGTGTATTCAAGTCACAGAGTTGAACGATCCTTTACAGAGAGCAGACTTGAAACACTCTTTTTGTGGAATTTGCAAGTGGAGATTTCAGCCGCTTTGAGGTCAATAGTCGAAAAGGAAATATCTTCGTAGAAAAACTAGAAAGAATGATTCTCAGAAAATCTTTTGTGATGTGTGCGTTCAACTCACAGAGTTTTACTTTTCTTCTCATAGAGCAGTTAGGAAACACTCTGTTTGTAAAGTCTGCAAGTGGATATTCAGACCTCTTTGAGGCCTTCGTTGGAAACGGGATTTCTTCATATTATGCTAGACAGAATAATTCTCAGTAACTTCCTTGTGTTGTGTTTATTCAACTCACAGAGTTGAATGATCCTTTACACAGAGCAGACTTGAAACACTCTTTTTGTGGAATTTGCAAGTGGAGATATCAGCCGCTTTGAAGTCAATGGTAGAAAAGTAAATATCTTCGTATAAAGACTAGACAGAATGATTCTCATAAACTCCTTTGTGATGTGTGCGTTCAACTCACAGTAGTTTAACCTTTCTTTTCATAGAGCAGTTAGGAAACACTCTGTTTGTAAAGTCTGCATGTGGATATTCAGACCTCTTTGAGGCCTTCCTTGGAAACGGGATTTCTTCATATTCTGCTAGACAGAATAATTCTCAGTAACTTCCTTGTGTTGTGTGTATTCAACTCACAGAGTTGAACGATCCTTTACAGAGAGCAGACTTGAAAAACTCTTTTTGTGGGATTTGCAAGTGGAGATTTCAGCCGCTTTGAGCTCAATGGTAGAATAGGAAATATCTTCCTAAAGAAACTAGACAGAAAGATTCTCAGAAACTCCTTTGTGATGTGTGCGTTCAACTCACAGAGTTTAACCTTTCTTTTCATAGAGCAGTTAGGAAACACTCTGTTTGTAAAGTCTGCAAGTGGATATTCAGACCTGTTTGAGGCCTTCGTTGGAAACGGGTTTTTTTCATATAAGGCTAGACAGAAGAATTCTCAGTAACTTCCTTCTGTTGTGTGTATTCAACTCACAGAATTGAACGATCCTTTACACAGAGCAGACTTGACACACTCTTTTTGTGGAATGTGCAAGTGGAGATTTCAGCCGCTTTGAGGTCAATGGTAGAAAAGGAAAAATCTTCGTATAGAAACAAGACAGAATGATTCTCATAAACTCCTTTGTGATGTGTGCGTTCAACTCACAGAGTTTAACCTTTCTTTTCATAGAGCAGTTAGGAAACACTCTGTTTGTAAAGTCTGCAAGTGGATATTCAGACCTCCTTGAGACCTTCGTTGGAAACGGGATTTCTTCATATTCTGCTAGACAGAAGAATTCTCAGTAACTTCCTTGTGTTGTGTGTATTGAACTCGCAGAGTTGAACGATCCTTTACACAGAGCAGACTTGAAACACTCTTTTTGTGGAATTTTCAAGTGCAGATTTCAGCCGCTTTGAGGTCAATAGTAGAAAAGGAAATATCTTCGTAGAAAAACTAGACAGAATGATTCTCAGAAACTCCTTTATGATGTGTGCATTCAACTCACAGAGGTTAACCTTTCTTTTCATAGAGCAGTTAGGAAACACTCTTTTTGTAAAGTCTGCAAGTGGATAATCAGACCTCTTTGAGGCCTTCGTTGGAAACGGGATTTCTTCATACTATGCTAGACAGAAGAATTCTCAGTAACTTCCCTGTGTTGTGTGTATTCAACTGACAGAGTTGAACTTTCTTTTAGAGAGAGCAGATTTGAAACACTGTTTTTGTGGAATTTGCAACTGGAGATTTCAAGCGCTTTGGCGCCAAAGGCAGAAAAGGAAATATCTTCGTATAAAAACTAGACAGAATCATTCTCAGAAACTGCTCTGCGATGTGTGCGTTCAACTCTCAGAGTTAAACTTTTCTTTTCATTCAGCAGTGTGGAAACACTCTGTTTGTAAAGTCTGCACGTGGATATTTTGACCGCTTAGAGGCCTTCGTTGGAAACGGTTTTTTTTCATGTAAGGCTAGACAGAAGAATTCCCAGTAACTTCCTTGTGTTGTGTGCATTCAACTCACAGAGTTGAACGTTCCCTTAGACAGAGCAGATTTGAAACACTCTATTTGTGCAATTTGCAAGTGTAGATTTCAAGCGCGTTAAGGTCAACGGCAGAAAAGGAAATATCTTCGTTTCAAAACTAGACAGAATCATTCCCACAAACTGCGTTGTGATGTGTTCGTTCAACTCACAGAGTTTAACCTTTCTGTTCATAGAGCAGTTAGGAAACACTCTGTTTGTAAAGTCTGTAAGTGGATATTCTGAAATCTTGTGGCCTTCGTTTTAAACGGGATTTCTTCATATTCTGCTAGACAGAAGATTTCTCAGTAACTTCCTTGTGTTGTGTGTATTCAACTCACAGAGTTGAATGATCCTTTACACAGAACAGTCTTGAAACACTCTTTTTGTGGAATTTGCAAGTGGAGATTTCAGCCGCTTTGGGGTCAATGGTAGAATAGGAAATACCTTCCTATAGAAACTAGACAGAATGATTCTCAGAAAATCTTTTGTGATGTGTGCGTTCAACTAACAAAGTTTAACTTTTCTTCTCATAGAGCAGTTACGAAACACTCTGTTTGTAAAGTCTGCAAGTGTATATTCAGACCTCTTTGAGGCCTTCGTTGGAAACGGGATTTCTTCATATTATGCTAGACAGAATAATTCTCAGTAACTTCCTTGTGTTGTGTGTATTTAACTCACAGAGTTGAAGGATCCTTTACAGAGAGCAGGCTTGAAACACTCTTTTTGTCGAATTTGCAAGTGGAGATTTCAGCCGCTTTGAGGTCAATGGTAGAATAGGAAATATGTTCTTATAGAAACTAGACAGAATGATTCTCAGAAACTCCTTTGTGATGTGTGCGTTCAACTCAGAGTTTAACCTTTCTTTTCATAGAGCAGTTAGGAAACACTCTGTTTGTAAAGTCTGCAAGTGGATATTCAGACCTCTTTGAGGCCTTCGTTGGAAACGGGATTTCTTCATATTATGCTAGACAGAAGAATTCTCAGTAACTTCCTTGTGTTGTGTTTATTCAACTCACAGAGTTGAATGATCCTTTACACAGAGCAGACTTGAAACACTCTTTTTTTGGAATTTGCAAGTGGAGATTTCAGCCGCTTTGAAGTCAATGGTAGAAAAGTAAATATCTTCGTATAAAGACTAGACAGAATGATTCTCAGAAACTTCTTTGTGATGTGTGCGTTCAACTCACAGAGTTTAACCTTTCTTTTCATAGAGCAGTTAGGAAACACTCTGTTTGTAAAGTCTGCAAGTGGATATTCAGTCCTCCTTGAGGCCTTCGTTGGAAGCGGGATTTCTTCATGTTCTGCTAGACAGAAGAATTCTCAGTAACTTCCTTGTGTTGTGTGTATTCAACTCTCAGAGTTCAACGATCCTTTACACAGAGCAGACTTGAAGCACTCTTTTTGTGGAATTTGCAAGTGGAGATTTTAGCCGCTTTGAGGTCAATGGTAGAATAGGAAATATCTTCCTATAGAAACTAGACAGAATGATTCTCAGAAACTCCTTTGTGATGTGTGCGTTCAACTCACAGAGTTTAACTTTTCTTTTCATAGAGCAGTTAGGAAACACTCTGTTTGTAAAGTCTGCAAGTGGATATTCAGACCTCTTTGAAGCCTTCGTTGGAAACGGGATTTCTTCATATTCTGCTAGACAGAAGAATTCCCAGTAACTTCCTTGTGTTGTGTGTGTTCAACTCACAGAGTTGAACTTTGATTTACACAGAACAGATTTGAAACACTCTTTTTGTGGAATTTGCAAGTGGAGATTTCAAGCGCTTTGAGGCCAAAGGCAGAAAAGGAAATATCTTCGTATAAAAACTAGACAGAATCATTCTGAGAAACTGCTCTGTGATTTGTGCGTTCAACTCTCAGAGTTTAACTTTTCTTTTCATTCAGCAGTTTGGAAACTCTCTCTTTGTAAAGTCTGCACGTGCATATTTTGAACACTTAGAGGCCTTCGTTGGAAACGGGTTTTTTTCATGTAAGGCTAGACAGAAGAATTCCCAGTAACTTCCTTGTGTTGTGTGCATTCAACTCACAGAGATGAACGTTCCCTTAGACAGAGCAGATTTGAAACACTCTATTTGTGCAATTTGCAAGTGTAGATTTCAAGCGCTTTAAGGTCAATGACAGAAAAGGAAATATCTTCGTTTCAAAACTAGACAGAATCATTCCCACAAACTGCGTTTTGATGTGTTCGTTCAACTCACAGAATTTAACCTTTCTTTTCATAGAGCAGTTAGGAAACACTCTGTTTGTAAATTCTGTAAGTGGATATTCTGAAATCTTGCAGCCTTCGTTGGAAACGGGCTTTCTTCATATTCTGCTAGACAGAAGAATTCTCAGTAACTTCCTTGTGTTGTGTGTATTCAACTCACAGAGTTGAACGATCCTTTACACAGAGCAGACTTGAAACACTCTTTTTGTGGAATTTGCAAGTGGAGATTTCAGCCGCTTTGAGGTCAATGGTAGAAATGGAAATATCTTCGTATAAAGACTAGACAGAATGATTCTCAGAAACTCCTTTGTGATGCGTGCGTTCAACTCACAGAGTTTAACCTTTCTTTTCATAGAGCAGTTAGGAAACACTCTGTTTGTAAAGTCTGCAATTGGATATTCAGACCTCTATTAGGCCTTCGTTGGAAACGGGATTTCTTCATATTCTGCTAGACAGAAGAATTCTCAGTAACTTCCTTGTGTTGCGTGTTTTCAAATCACAGAGCTGAACGATCCTTTACAAAGAGCAGACTTGAAACACTCTTTTTGTGGAATTTGCAAGTGGAGATTTCAGCCGCTTTGAGGTCAATAGTAGAATAGGAAATATCTTCCTATAGAAACTAGACAGAATGATTCTCAGAAACTCCTTTGTGATGTGTGCGTTCAACTCACAGAGTTTAACTTTTCTTTTATTAGGGCAGTTAGGAAACACTCTGTTTGTAAAGTCTTCAAGTGGATATTCAGACCTCTTTGAGGCCTTCGTTGGAAACGGGATTTCTTCATATTCTGCTAGACAGAAGAATTCTCAGTAACTTCCTTGTGTTGTGTGTATTCAACTCACAGAGTTGAACGATCCTTTACAGAGAGCAGACTTGAAAAACTCTTTTTGTGGAATTTGCAAGTGGAGATTTCAGCCGCTTTGAGGTCAATGGTAGAATAGGAAATATCTTCCTATAGAAACTAGACAGAATGATTCTCAGAAACTCCTTTGTGATGTGTGCGTTCAACTCACATAGTTCAACCTTTCTTTTCATAGAGTAGTTGGGAAACACTCTGTTTGTAAAGTCTGCAAGTGGATATTCAGACTTCTTTGAGGCCTTCGTTGGAAGCGGGATTTCTTCATATTCTGCTAGACAGAAGAATTCTCAGAAACTTCCTTGTGTTGTGTGTTTTCAACTCACAGAGTTGAACGACCCTTTACACAGAGCAGAATTGAAACACTCTCTTTGTGGAATTTGCAAGTGGAGATTTCAGCCGCTTTGAGGTCAATGGTAGAAAAGGAAATATCTTCGTATAAAAACTAGACAGAATGATTCTCAGAAACTCCTTTGTGATGTGTGCGTTCAACTCACAGAGTTTAACCTTTCTTTTCATAGAGCAGTTGGGAAACACTCTGTTCGTAAACTCTGCAAGTGGATATTCAGACCTCTTTGAGGCCTTCGTTGGAAACGGGATTTCTTCATATTCTGCTAGACAGAAGAATTCTCAGAAACTTCCTTGTGTTGTGTGTATTCAACTCACACAGTTGAACGATCCTTTACACAGAGCAGACTTGAAACACTCTTTTTGTGGAATTTGCAAGTGGAGATTTCAGCCGCTTTGAGGTCAATGGTAGAATAGGAAATATCTTCCTATAGAAACTAGACAGAATGATTCTCAGAAACTCCTTTGTGATGTGTGCGTTCAACTCACAGAGTTTAACCTTTCTTTTCATAGAGCAGTTAGGAAACACTCTGTTTATAATGTCTGCAAGTGGATATTCAGACCTCTTTGAGGCCTTCGTTGGAAACGGGATTTCTTCATATTATGCTAGACAGAAGAATTCTCAGTAACTTCCTTGTGTTGTGTGTATTCAACCCACAGAGTTGAACGATCCTTTACACAGAGCATACTTGGAACACTCTTCTTGTGGAATTTGCAAGTGGAGATTTCAGCCGCTTTGAGATCAATGGTAGAATAGGAAATATCTTCGTATAAAAACTAGACAGAATGATTCTCAGAAAATCCTTTGTGATGTGTGTGTTCAACTCACAGCAGTTTAACCTTTCTTTTCATAGAGCAGTTAGTAAACACTCTGTTTATAAAGTCTGCAAGTGGATATTCAGACACCTTTGAGGACTTCGTTGGAAATGGGATTTCTTCATATTATGCTAGACAGAAGAATTCTCAGTAACTTCCTTGTGTTGTGTGTATTCAACTCACAGACTTGAACGATCCTTTACACAGAGCAGACTTGAAACACTCTTTTTGTGGAATTTGCAAGTGGAGATTTCAGCCGCTTTGAGGTCAATGGTAGAAAAGGTAACTATCTTCGTATAAAGACTAGACAGAATGTTTCTCAGAAACTCCTTTGTGATGTGTGCGTTCAACTCACAGAGTTTAACCTTTCTTTTCATAGAGTAGTTAGGAAACACTCTGTTTGTAAAGTCTGCAAGTGGATATTGAGACCTCTTTGAGGCCTTCGTTGGAAACGGGATTTCTTCATATTCTGCTAGACAGAAGAATTCTCAGTAACTTCCTTGTGTTGTGTGTATTCAACTCACAGAGTTGAACGATCCTTTACACAGAGCAGACTTGGAACACTGTTTTTGTGGAATTTGCAAGTGGAGATTTCAGCCGCGTTGAGGTCAATGGTAGAAAAGGAAATATCTTCGTATAAAAACTAGACAGAATGATTCTCAGAAACTCCTTTGTGATGTGTGCGTTCAACTCACAGAGTTGAAGTTTTCTTTTCTTAGAGCAGTTAGGAAACACTCTGTTTGTAAAGTCTGCAAGTGGATATTCAGACCTCTTTGAGGCCTTCGTTGGAAACGGGGTTTCTTCATATTCTGCTAGACAGAAGAATTCTCAGTAACTTCCTTGTGTTGTGTGTATTCAACTCACAGAGTTGAACGATCCTTTACACAGAGCAGACTTGAAACACTCTTTTTGTGGGATTTGCAAGTGGAGATTTCAGCCGCTTTGAGGTCAATGGTAGAAAAGGAAATATCTTCGTATAAAGACTAGACAGAATGATTCTCAGAAACTCCTTTGTGATGTGTGTGTTCAACTCACAGAGTTTATCCTTTCTTTTCATAGAGCAGTTAGGAAACACTCTGTTTGTAAAGTCTGCAAGTGGATATTCAGACATCCTTGGGGCTTTCGTTGGAAACGGGATTTCTTCATATTCTGCTAGAAAGAAGAATTCTCAGTAACTTCCTTGTGTTGTGTGTATTCAACTCACAGAGTTGAACGATCCTTTACACAGAGCAGACTTCAAACACTCTTTTTGTGGAATTTGCAAGTGGAGATTTCAGCCGCTTTGAGGTCAATGGTAGAAAAGGAAACTATCTTCATATAAAGACTAGACAGAATGATTCTCAGAAACTCTTTTGTGATGTGTGCATTCAACTCACAGAGTTTAACCTTTCTTTTCATAGAGCAGTTAGGAAACACTCTGTTTGTAAAGTCTGCAAGTGGATATTCAGACCTCTTTGAGGCCTTCGTTGGAAACGGGATTTCTTCATATTATGCTAGAAAGAAGAATTCTCAGTAACTTCCTTGTGTTGTGTGTATTCAACTCACAGAGTTGAACGATCCTTTACACAGAGCAGACTTGAAACACTCTTTTTGTGGAATTTGCAATTGGAGATTTCAGCCCCTTTGAGGTCAATGGTAGAATAGGAAATATCTTCCTATAGAAACTAGACAGAATGATTCTCAGAAACTCCTTTGTGATGGGTGTGTTCAACTCACAGAGTTTAACCTTTCTTTTCATAGAGCAGTTAGTAAACACTCTGTTTATAAATTCTGCATGTGGATATTCAGATCCCTTTGAGGCCTTCGTTGGAAACGGGATTTCTTCATATTATGCTAGACAGAAGAATTCTCAGAAACTTCCTTGTGTTGTGTGTTTTCAACTCACAGAGTTGAACGATCCTTTACACAGAGCAGACTTGAAACACTCTTTTTGTGGAATTTGCAAGTGGAGATTTCAGCCGCTTTGAGGTCAATGGTAGAATAGGAAATATCTTCGTATAAAAACTAGACAGAATGATTCTCAGAAACTCCTTTGTGATGTGTGCGTTCAACTCACAGAGTTTAACCTTTCTCTTCATAGAGCAGTTAGGAAACACTCTGTTTGTAAAGTCTGCAAGTGGATATTCAGACCTCTTTGAGGCCTTCGTTGGAAACGGTATTTCTTCATATTCTGCTAGACAGAAGAATTCTCAGTAACTTCCTTGTGTTGTGTGTATTCAACTCACAGAGTTGAATGATCCTTTACACAGAACAGACTTGAATCACTCTTGTTGTGGAATTTTCAAGTGGAGATTTCAGCCGCTTTGTGGTCAACGGTAGAATAGGTAATATCTTCCTATAGAAACTAGACAGAATGATTCTCAGAAACTCCTTTGTGATGTGTGCGTTCAAATCACAGAGTTTAACCTTTCTTTTCATAGAGCAGTTAGGAAACACTCTGTTTGTAAAGTCTGCAAGTGGATATTCAAACCCCTTTGAGGCCTTCGTTGGAAACGGTATTTCTTCATATTCTGCTAGACAGAAGAATTCTCAGTAACTTCCTTGTGTTGTGTGTATTCAACTCACAGAGTTGAACGATCCTTTACACAGAGCAGAATTGAAACACTCTTTTTGTGGAATTTGCAAGTGGAGATTTCAGCCGCGTTGAGGTCAATGGTAGAAAAGGAAATATCTTCGTATAAAAACTAGACAGAATGATTCTCAGAAACTCCTTTGTGATGTGTGCATTCAACTCACAGAGTTTAACCTTTCTTTTCATAGAGCAGTTAGGAAACACTCTGTTTGTAAAGTCTGCAAGTGGATATTCAGACCTCTTTGAGGCCTTCGTTGGAAATGGGATTTCTTCATATTCTGCTAGAGAGAAGAATTCTCAGTAACTTCATTGTGTTGTGTGTATTCAACTCACAGATTTCAACGATCCTTTACACAGAGCAGACTTGAAACACTCTTTTTCTGGAATTTGCAAGTGGAGATTTCAGCCGCTTTGAGGTCAATGGTAGGATAGGAAATATCTTCCTATAGAAACTAGACAGAATGATTCTCAGAAACTCCTTTGTGATGTGTGCGTTCAACTCACAGAGTTTAACCTTTCTTTTCATAGAGCAGTTAGGAAACACTCTGTTTGTGAAGTCTGCAAGTGGATATTCAGACCTCTTTGAGGCCTTCGTTGGAAACGGGTTTTTTTCATATAAGGCTAGACAGAAGAATTCTCAGAAACTTCCTTGTGTTGTGTGTATTCAACTCACAGAGTTGAACGATCCTTTACACAGGGCAGACTTGAAACACTCTTTTTGTGGAATTTGCAAATGGAAATTTCAGCCGCTTTGAGGTCAATGGTAGAAAAGGAAATATCTTCGTATAAAAACTAGACAGAATGATTCTCAGAAACTACTTTGTGCTGTGTGCGTTCAGCTCACAGAGTTTAACCTTTCTTTTCATAGAGCAGTTAGGAAACACTCTGTTTGTAAAGTCTGCAAGTGGATATTCAGACATCTTTGTGGCTTTCGTTGGAAACGGGATTTCTTCATATTCTGCTAGACAGAAGAATTCTCAGAAACTTCCTTGTGTTGTGTGTTTTCAACTCACAGAGTTCAACGATCCATTACACAGAGTAGACTTGAAACACTCTTTTTGTGGAATTGGCAAGTGGAGATTTCAGCCGCTTTGAGGTCAATGGTAGAAAAGGAAATATGCTTCGTATAAAAACTAGACAGAACGATTCTCAGAAACTCCTTTGTGATGTGTGCGTTCAACTCACAGAGTTTAACCTTTCTTTTCATAGAGCAGTTAGGAAACACTCTGTTTGTAAAGTCTGCAAGTGGATATTCAGACCTCTTTGAGGCCTTCATTGGAAACGGGATTTCTTCCTATTCTGCTAGACAGAAGAATTCTCAGTAACTTCCTTGTGTTGTGTGTATTCAACTCACAGAGTTGGACGATCCTTTACACAGAGCAGACTTGAAACACTCTTTTTGTGGAATTTGCAAGTGGAGGTTTCAGCCGCTTTGAGGTCAGTAGTAGAAAAGGAAATATCTTCGTAGAAAAACTAGACAGAATGATTCTCAGAAACTCCTTTGTGATGTGTGCGTTCAGCTCACAGAGTTTAACCTTTCTTTTCATAGAGCAGTTAGGAAACACTCTGTTTGAAAAGTCTGCAAGTGGATATTCTGACCTCCTTCAGGGCTTCGTTGGAAATGGGATTTCTTCATATTATGATGGACAGAAGAATTCTCAGTAACTTCCTTGTAGTGTGTGTATTCAACTCACAGAGTTAAACGATCCTTTACACAGAGCAGACTTGAAACACTCTTGTTGTGGAATTTCCAAGTGGAGATTTCAGCCGCTTTGAGGTCAATGGTAGAATAGGAAATATCTTCCTATAGAAACTAGACAGAAGGATTCTCAGAAACTCCTTTGTGATGTGTGCGTTCATCTCACAAAGTTTAACCTTTCTTTCCATAGAGCAGTTAGGAAACACTCTGTTTGTAAAGTCTGCAAGTAGATATTCAGACCTTTTTCAGGCCTTCGTTGGAAACGGGATTTCTTCATACTCTGCTAGACAGAAGAATTCTCAGAAACTTCCTTGTGTTGTGTGTTTTCAACTCACAGAGTTGAACGATGCTTTACACAGAGTAGACCTGAAACACTCTTTTTGTGTAATTTGCAAGTGGAGATTTCAGCCGCTTTGAGGTCAATGGTAGAAAAGGGAATATCTTCGTATAAAAACTAGACAGAATGATTCTCAGAAACTCCTTTGTGATGTGTGTGTTCAACTCACAGAGTTTAACCTTTCTTTTCATAGAGCAGTTAGGAAACACTCTGTTTGTAATGTCTGCACGTGGATATTTGGACTTCTTTGAGGCCTTCGTTGGAAACGGGTTTTTTTCATTTAAGGCTAGACAGAAGAATTCTCAGAAACTTCCTTGTGTTGTGTGTATTCAACTCACAGAGTTGAACGATCCTTTACACAGAGCAGACTTGAAACACTCTTTTTGTGGAATTTGCAAGTGGAGATTTCAGCCGCTTTGAGTTCAATGGTAGAATAGGAAATATCTTCCTATAGAAGCTAGACAGAATGATTCTCAGAAACTTCTTTGTGATGTGTGCGTTCAACTCACAGAGTTCAACCTTTCTTTTCATAGAGCAGTTAGGAAACACTCTGTTTGTAAACTCTGCAAGTGGATATTCAGACCTGTTTGAGGCCTTCGTTGGAAACGGGATTTCTTCATACTATGCTAGACAGAAGAATTCTCAGTAACTTCCTTGTGTTGTGTGTATTCAACTCACAGAGTTGAACGATCCTTTACACAGAGCAGACTAGAAACATTCTTTTTGTGGAATTTGCAAGAGGAGATTTCAGCCGCTTTGAGGTCAATGGTAGAATAGGAAATATCTTCCTATAGAAACTAGACAGAACGATTCTCAGAAACTCCTTTGTGATGTGTGCGTTCAACTCACAGAGTTTAACCTTTCTTTTCATACAGCAGTTAGGAAACACTCTGTTTGTAAAGTCTGCAAGTGGATATTCAGACCTCTTTGAGGCCTTCGTTGGAAACGGGATTTCTTCCTATTCTGCTAGACAGAATAATTCTCAGTAACTTCCTTGTGTTGTGTGTATTCAACTCACAGAGTTGAACGATCCTTTACACAGAGCAGACTTGAAACTCTCTTTTTGTGGAATTTGCAAGTGGAGATTTCAGCCGCTTTGAGGTCAATAGTAGAAAAGGAAATATCTTCGTAGAAAAACTAGACAGAATGATTCTCAGAAACTCCTTTGTGATGTGTGTGTTCAACTCACAGAGTTTAACCTTTCTTTTCATAGAGCAGTTAGTAAACACTCTGTTTATAAAGTCTGCAAGTGGATATTCAGAACCCTTTGAGGCCTTCGTTGGAAACGGGATTTCTTCATATTATGCTAGACAGAAGAATTCCCAGTAACTTCCTTGTGTTGTGTGTGTTCAATTCACAGAGTTGAACTTTGATTTACACAGAGCAGATTTGAAACACTCTTTTTGTGGAATTTGCAAGTGGAGATTTCAAGCGCTTTGAGGCCAAAGGCAGAAAAGGAAATATCTTCGTATAAAAACTATACAGAATCATTCTCAGAAACTGCTGCGTGATGTGTGTGTTCAACCCTCAGAGTTTAACTTTCCTTTTCATTCAGCGGTTTGGAAACACTCTGTTTGTAAAGTCTGCACGTGGATATTTTGACCACTTAGAGGTCTTCGTTGGAAACGGGTTTTTTTCATGTAAGGCTAGACAGAAGAATTCCTAGTAACTTCCTTGTGTTGTGTACATTCAACTCACAGAGTTGAACGTTCCCTTAGACAGAGCAGATTTGAAACACTCTTTTTGTGCAATTGGCAAGTGGTGATTTCAGCCGCTTTGAGGTCAATGGTAGAAAGGGAAATATCTTCGTATTAAAACTAGACAGAATGATTCTCAGAAACTCCTTTGTGATGTGTGCGTTCAACTCACAGAGTTTAACCTTTCTGTTCATAGAGCAGTTAGGAAACACTCTGTTTGTAAAGTCTGCAAGTGGATATTCAGACCTCCT
This sequence comes from Homo sapiens, assembly GCF_000001405.40. Classification (NCBI taxonomy): domain Eukaryota; kingdom Metazoa; phylum Chordata; class Mammalia; order Primates; family Hominidae; genus Homo; species Homo sapiens. Next base: position 47,360,655 of record NC_000005.10, read on the forward strand.
TGAGGCCTTCGTTGGAAACGGGATTTCTTCATGTTCTGCTAGACAGAAGAATTCTCAGTAACTTCCTTGTGTTGTGTGTATTCAACTCACAGAGTTGAACGATCCTTTACACAGAGCAGACTTGAAACACTCTTTTTGTGGAATTGGCAAGTGGAGATTTCAGCCGCTTTGAGGTCAATGGTAGAAAAGGAAATATCTTCGTATAAAGACTAGACAGAATGATTCTCAGAAACTTCATTGTGATGTGTGCGTTCAACTCACAGAGTTTAACCTTTCTTTTCATAGAGCAGTTAGGAAACACTCTGTTTGTAAAGTCTGCAAGTGGATATTCAGACCTCTTTGAGGCCTTCGTTGGAAACGGGTTTTTTTCATAAAAGGCTAGACAGAAGAATTCTCAGTAACTTCCTTGTGTTGTGTGTATTCAACTGACAGAGTTGAACTTTCATTTAGAGAGAGCAGATTTGAAACACTGTTTTTGTGGAATTTGCAAGTGGAGATTTCAAGCGCTTTGGAGCCAAAGGCAGAAAAGGAAATATCTTCGTATAAAAACTAGACAGAATCATTCTCAGAAACTGCTCTGCGATGTGTGCGTTCAACTCTCAGAGTTTAACTTTTCTTTTCATTCAGCAGTTTGGAAACACTCTGTTGGTAAAGTCTGCACGTGGATATTTTGACCACTTAGAGGCCTTCGTTGGAAACGGGATTTTTTCCTGTAAGGCTAGACAGAAGAATTCCCAGTAACTTCCTTGTGTTGTGTGCATTCAACTCACAGAGTTGAACGTTCCCTTAGACAGAGCAGATTTGAAACATTCTATTTGTGTAATTTGAAAGTGTAGATTTCAAGCGCTTTAAGGTCAATGGCAGAAAAGGAAATATCTTCGTTTCAAAACTAGACAGAATCATTCCCACAAACTGCGTTGTCATGTGTTCGTTCAACTCACAGAGTTTAACCTTTCTTTTCATAGAGCAGTTAGGAAACAGTCTGTTTGTAAATTCTGTAAGTGGATATTCTGACATCTTGTGGCCTTCGTTGGAAACGGGATTTCTTCATATTCTGCTAGACAGAAGAATTCTCAGTAACTTCTTGGTGTTGTGTGTATTCAACTCACAGAGTTGAACGATGCTTTACACAGAGCAGACTTGAATCACTCGTTTTGTGGAATTTGCAAGTGGAGATTTCAGCCGCTTTGAGGCCAAAGGCAGAAAAGGAAATATCTTCGTATAAAAACTAGACAGAATGATTCTCAGAAACTCCTTTGTGATGTGTGCGTTCAACTCACAGAGTTTAACCTTTCTTTTCATAGAGCAGTTAGGAAACACTCTGCTTGTAAAGTCTGCAAGTGCATATTCAGCCCTCTTTGAGGCCTTCGTTGGAAACGGGTTTTTTTCATATAAGGCTAGACAGAAGAATTCTCAGTAACTTCCTTGTGTCGTGTGTATTCAACTCACAGAGTTGAATGATCCTTTACAAAGAGCAGACTTGAAACACTCTTTTTGTGGAATTTGCAAGTGGAGATTTCAGCCGCTTTGAGGTCAGTGGTAGAATAGGAAATATCTTCGTATAAAAACTAGACAGAATGATTCTCAGAAACTCCTTTGTGATGTGTGCGTTCAACTCACAGAGTTTAACCTTTCTTTTCATAGAGCAGTTAGGAAACACTCTGTTTATAAAGTCTGCAAGTGGATATTCAGACCTCTTTGAGGCCTTCGTTGGAAACGGGATTTCTTGATACTATGCTAGACAGAAGAATTCTCAGTAACTTCCTTGTGTTGTGTGTATTCAACTGACAGAGTTGAACTTTCATTTAGACAGAGGAGATTTGAAACACTCTTTTTGTGGAATTTGCAAGTGGAGATTTCAAGCGCTTTGATTCCAAAGGCAGAAAAGGAAATATCTTCGTATAAAAACTAGACAGAATCATTCTCAGAAACTGCTCTGCGATGTGTGAGTTCAACTCTCAGAGTTTAACTTTTCTTTTCATTCAGCAGTTTGGAAACACTCTGTTTGTAAAGTCTGCACGTGGATAACTTGACCACTTAGAGGCCTTCGTTGGAAACGGGTTTTTTTCTTGTAAGGCTAGACAGAAGAATTCCCAGGAACTTCCTTGTGTTGTGTACATTCAACTCACAGAGTTGAACGTTCCCTTAGACAGAGCAGATTTGAAACACTCTTTTTGTGCAATTGGCAAGTGGTGATTTCAGCCGCTTTGAGGTCAATGGTAGAAAAGGAAATATCTTCTTATAAAAACTAGACAGAATCATTCCCAAAAACTGCGTTGTGATGTGTTCCTTCATCTCACAGAGTTTAACCTTTCTTTTCATAGAGCAGTTAGGAAACAGTCTGTTTGTAAATTCTGTAAGTGGATATTCTGACATCTTGTGGCCTTCGTTGGAAACGGGATTTCTTCATATTCTGCTAGACAGAAGAATTCTCAGTAACTTCCTTGTGTTGTGTGCATTCAACTCACAGAGTTGAACGATACTTTACACAGGGCAGACTTAAAACACTCTTTTTGTGGAATTTGCAAGCGGAGATTTCAGCCTCTTTGAGGTTAATGGTAGAAAATGAAATATCTTCGTATAGAAACTAGACAGAATGATTCTCATAAACTCCTTTGTGATGTGTGCCTTCAACTCACAGAGTTTAACCTTTCTTTTCATAGAGCAGTTAGTAAACACTCTGTTTATAAAGTCTGCAAGTGGATATTCAGACCCCTTTGAGGCCTTCGTTGGAAACGGGATTTCTTCATATTATGCTAGACAGAAGAATTCTCAGTAACTTCCTTGTGTTGTGTGTATTCAACTCGCAGAGTTGAACGATCCTTTACACAGAGCAGACTTGAAACACTCTTTTTGTGGAATTTGCAAGTGGAGATTTCAGCCGCTTTGGGTTGAATGGTAGAATAGGAAATATCTTCCTATAGAAACTAGACAGAGTGATTCTCAGAAACTCCTTTGTGATGTCTGCGTTCAACTCACAGAGTTTAACCTTTCTTTTCATAGAGCAGTTAGGAAACACTCTGTTTGTAAAGTCTGCAAGTGGATATTCAGACCTCCTTGAGGCCTTCGTTGGAAACGGTATTTCTTCATATTCTGCTATACAGAAGAATTCCCAGTAACTTCCTTGTGTTGTGTGTGTTCAACTCTGTGAGTTGAACTTTCATTTACACAGAGCAGATTGGAAACACTCTTTTTGTGGAATTTGCAAGTGGAGATTTCAAGCGCTTTGAGGCCAAAGGCAGAAAAGGAAATATCCTTCGTATAAAAACTAGACAGAATCATTCTCAGAAACTGCTCTGCGATGTGTGCGTTCAACCCTCAGAGTTTAACTTTTCTTTTCATTCAGCAGTTTGGAATCACTCTGTTTGTAAAGTCTGCACGTGGATATTTTGACCACTTAGAGGCCTTCGTTGGAAACTGGTTTTTTTCCTGTAAGGCTAGACAGAAGAATTCCCAGTAAATTCCATGTGTTGTGTGCATTCAACTCACAGAGTTGAACGTTCCCTTAGACAGAGCAGATTTGAAACACTCTATTTGTGCAATTTGCAAGTGTAGATTTCAAGCGCTTTAAAGGTCAATGGCAGAAAAGGGAATATCTTCGTTTCAAAACTAGACAGAATCATTCCCACAAACTGAGTTGTGATGTGTTCGTTCAACTCACAGAGTTTAACCTTTCTGTTCATAGAGCAGTGAGGAAACACTCTGTTTGTAAAGTCTGTAAGTGGATATTCTGACATCTTGTGGCCTTCGTTGGAAACAGGATTTCTTCATATTCTGCTAGACAGAATAATTCTCAGTAACTTCCTTGTGTTGTGTGTATTCAACTGTCAGAGTTGAACGATCCTTTACAGAGAGCAGACTTGAAACACTCTTTTTGTGGAATTTGCAAGTGGAGATTTCAGCCGCTTTGAGGTCAATGGTAGAATAGGAAATATCTTCCTATAGAAACTAGACAGAATGATTCTCAGAAACTCCTTTGTGATGTGTGCGTTCAACTCACAGAGTTTAACCTTTCTGTTCATAGAGCAGTTAGGAAACACTCTGTTTGTAAAGTCTGCAAGTGGATATTCAGACCTCCTTGAGGTCTTCGTTGGAAACGGGATTTCTTTATATTCTGCTAGACAGAAGAATTCTCAGTAACTTCCTTGTGTTGTGTGTATTCAACTGACAGAGTTGAACTTTCATTTAGAGAGAGCTGATTTGAAACACTGTTTTTGTGGAATTTGCAAGTGGAGATTTCAAGCGCTTTGGGGCCAAAGGCAGAAAAGGAAATATCTTTGTATAAAAACTAGACAGAATCATTCTCAGAAACTGCTCTGCGATGTGTGCGTTCAACTCTCAGAGTTTAACTTTTCTTTTCATTCAGCAGTTTGGAAACACTCTTTTTTTAAAGTCTGCACGTGGATAATTTGACCACTTAGAGGCCTTCGTTGGAAACGGGTTTTTTTCATGTAAGGCTAGACAGAAGTATTCCCAGTAACTTCCTTGTGTTGTGTGCATTCAACTCACAGAGTTGAACGTTCCCTAGGACAGAGCAGGTTTGAAACACTCTATTTGTGCAATTTGCAAGTGTAGATTTCAAGCGCATTAAGGTCAATGGCAGAAAAGGAAATATCTTCGATTCAAAACTAGACAGAATCATTCCCACAAACTGCGTTGTGATGTGTTCGTTCAACTCACAGAGTTTAACCTTTCTGTTCATAGAGCAGTTAGGAAACACTCTGTTTATACAGTCTGCAAGTGGATATTCAGACCTCCTTGAGGCCTTCGTTGGAAACGGGATTTCTTCATATTCTGCTAGACAGAAGAATTCTCAGTAACTTCCTTGTGTTGTGTGTATTCAACTCACACAGTTGAACGATCCTTTACACAGAGCAGACTTGAAACACTCTTTTTGTGGAATTTGCAAGTGGAGATTTCATCCGCTTTGAGGTCAATGGTAGAATAGGAAATATCTTCCTATAGAAACTAGACAGAATGATTCTCATAAACTCCTTTGTGATGTGTGCGTTCAACTCACAGAGTTTAACCTTTCTTTTCATAGAGCAGTTAGGAAACACTCTGTTTGTAAAGTCTGCAAGTGGATATTCAGACCTCTTTGAGTCCTTCGTTTGAAACGGGATTTCTTCATATTCTGCTAGACAGAAGAATTCTCAGTAACTTCCTTGTGTTGTGTGTATTCAACTCACAGATTTGAACGATCCTTTACACAGAGCAGACTTGTAACACTCTTTTTGTGGAATTCGCAAGTGGAGATTTCAGCAGCTTTGAAGTCAAAGGTAGAAAAGGAAATATCTTCCTATAAAAACTAGACAGAATGATTCTCAGAAACTCCTTTGGGATGTGTGCGTTCAACTCACAGAGTTTAACCTTTCTTTTAATAGAGCAGTTAGGAAACACTCTGGTTATAAAGTCTGCAAGTGGATATTCAGACCTCTTTGAGGCCTTCGTTGGAAACGGGATTTCTTCATATTCTGCTAGACAGAAGAATTCCCAGTAACTTCCTTGTGTTGTGTGTGTTCAACTCACAGAGTTGAACTTTCATTTACACAGAGCAGATTTGAAACACTCTTTTTGTGGAATTTGCAAGTGGAGATTTCAAGCGCTTTGAGGCCAAAGGCAGAAAAGGAAATATCTTCATTTCAAAACTAGACAGAATCATTCTCAGAAACTGCTCTGCGATGTGTGCGTTCAACTCTCAGAGTTTAACTTTGCTTTTCATTCAGCAGTTTGGAAACACTCTGTTTGTAAAGTCTGCACGTGGATAATTTGACCACTTAGAGGCCTTCGTTGGAAACGGGTTTTTTTCATGTAAGGCTAGAGAGAAGTATTCCCAGGAACTTCCTTCTGTTGTGTACATTCAACTCACAGAGTTGAACGTTCCCTTAGACAGAGCAGATTTGAAACACTCTTTTTGTGCAATTGGCAAGTGGTGATTTCAGCCGCTTTGAGGTCAATGGTAGAAAAGGAAATATCTTCGTATAAAAACTAGACAGAATGATTCTCAGAAACTTCATTGTGACGTGTGCGTTCAAGTCACAGAGTTTAACCTTTCTTTTCATAGAGCAGTTAGGAAACACTCTGTTTGTAAAGTCTGCAAGTGGATATTCAGACCTCTTTGAGGCCTTCGTTGGAAACGGGATTTCTTCATACTGTGCTAGACAGAAGAATTCTCAGTAACTTCCTTGTGTTGTGTGTATTCAACTCACAGAGTTGAACGATCCTTTACAGAGAGCAGACTTGAAACACACTTTTTGTGGAATTTGCAAGTGGAGATTTCAGCCGCTTTGAGGTCAATGGTAGAAAAGGAAATATCTTCGTATAAAGACTAGACAGAATGATTCTCAGAAACTCCTTTGTGATGTGTGCGTTCAACAAACAGAGTTTAACTTTTCTTTTCATAGAGCAGTTAGGAAACACTCTGTTTGTAAAGTCTGCAAGTGGATATTCAGAGCTCTTTGAGGCCTTCGTTGGAAACGGGATTTCTTCATATTCTGCTAGACAGAAGAATTCTCAGTAACTTCCTTGTGTTGTGTGTGTTCAACTCACAGAGTTCAACGATGCTTTACACAGAGTAGACTTGAAACACACTTTTTGTTGAATTTGCAAGTGGAGATTTCAGCCGCTTTGAGGTCAATGGTAGAATAGGAAATATCTTCCTATAGAAACTAGACAGAATCATTCTCAGAAACTGCTCTGCGATGTGTGCGTTCAACTCTCAGAGTTTAACTTTTCTTTTCATTCAGCAGTGTGGAAACACTCTGTTTGTAAAGTCTGAAGGTGGATATGTTGACCACTTAGAGGCCTTCGTTGGAAACGGGTTTTTTTCCTGTAAGGCTAGACAGAGGAATTCTCAGTAACTTCCTTGTGTTGTGTGTATTCAACTCACAGAGTTGAACGATCCTTTACACAGAGCAGACTTGAAACACTCTTTTTGTGGAATTTGCAAGTGGAGATTTCAGCCGCTTTGAGTTCAATGGTAGAATAGGAAATATCTTCCTATAGAAACTAGACAGAATGATTCTCAGAAACTCCTTTGTGATGTGTGCGTTCAACTCACAGAGTTTAACGTTTCTTTTCATAGAGCAGTTAGGAAACACTCTGTTTGTAAAGTCTGCAAGTGGATATTCAGACCTCCTTGAGGCTTTCGTTGGAAACGGGATTTCTTCCTATTCTGCTAGACAGAAGAATTCTCAGTAACTTCCTTCTGTTGTGTGTATTCAACTGACAGAGTTGAAGTTTCATTTAGAGAGAGCAGATTTGAAACACTGTTTTTGTGGAATTTGCAAGTGGAGATTTCAAGCGCTTTGGGGCCAAAGGCAGAAAAGGAAATATCTTCGTATAAAAACTAGACAGAATCATTCTCAGAAACTGCTCTGCGATGTGTGCGTTCAACTCTCAGAGTTTAACATTTCTTTTCATTCAGCAGTTTGGAAACACTCTGTTTGTAAAGTCTGCACGTGGATATTTTGACCACTTAGAGGCCTTCGTTGCAAACGGGTTTTTTTCCTGTAAGGCTAGACAGAAGAATTCTCAGTAACTTCCTTGTGTTGTGTGTATTCAACTCACAGAGTTGAACGATCCTTTACACAGAGCAGTCTTGAAACACTCTTGTTGTGGAATTTGCAAGTGGAGATTTCAGCCGCTTTGAGGTCAATGGTAGAATAGGAAATATGTTCCTATAGAAACTAGACAGAATGATTCTCAAAAACTCCTTTGTGATGTGTGCGTTCAACTCACAGAGTTCAACCTTTCTTTTCCTAGAGCAGTTGGGAAACACTCTGTTTGTAAAGTCTGCAAGTGGATATTCAGACATCCTTGAGGCTTTCGTTGGAAACGGGATTTCTTCATGTTCTGCTAGACAGAAGAATTCTCAGTAACTTCCTTGTGTTGTGTGTATTCAACTGACAGAGTTGAACATTCATTTAGAGAGAGCAGATTTGAAACACTGTTTTTGTGGAATTTGCTAGTGGAGATTTCAAGAGCTTTGGGGCCAAAGGCAGAAAAGGAAATATCTTCGTATAAAAACTAGACAGAAATCATTCTCAGAAACTGCTCTGCGATGTGTGCGTTCAACTCTCAGAGTTTAACTTTTCTTATCATTCAGCAGTTTGGAAACACTCTGTTTGTAAAGTCTGCACGTGGATAATTTGACCACTTAGAGGCCTTCCTTGGAAACGGGTTTTTTTCATGTAAGGCTAGACAGAAGAATTCCCAGTAACTTCCTTGTGTTGTGTACATTCAACTCACAGAGTTGAACGTTCCCTTAGAGAGAACACATTTGAAACACTCTTTTTGTGCAATTGGCAAGTGGTGATTTCAGCCGCTTTGGGGTCAATGGTAGAAAACGAAATATCTTCGTATAAAAACTAGACAGAGTGATTCTCAGAAACTCCTTTGTGATGTGTGCATTCAACTCACAGAGTTTAACCTTTCTTTTCATAGAGCAGTTAGGAAACACTCTGTTTGTAAAGTCTGCAAGTGGATATTCAGACCTCTTTGAGGCCTTCGTTGGAAACGGGATTTTTTCATATAAGGCTAGACAGAAGAATTCTCAGTAACTTCCTTGTGTTGTGTGTATTCAACTCACAGGAGTTGAACGATCCTTTACACAGAGCAGACTTGAAACACTCTTTTTGCGGAATTTGCAAGTGGAGATTTCAGCCGCTTTGAGGTCAATGGTAGAATAGGAAATATCTTCCTATAGAAACTAGACAGAATGATTCTCAGAAACTCCTTTGTGATGTGTGCGTTCAACTCACACAGTTTAACCTTTCTTTTCATAGAGCAGTTGGGAAACACTCTGTTTGTAAAGTCTGCAAGTGGATATTCAGACCTCCTTGCGGCCTTCGTTGGAAACGGGATTTCTTCATATTATGCTAGACAGAAGAATTCTCAGTAACTTCCTTGTGTTGTGTGTATTCATCTGACACAGTTGAACTTTCATTTAGAGAGAGCAGATTTGAAACACTATTTTTGTGGAATTTGCAAGTGGAGATTTCAAGCGCTTTGGGGCCAAAGGCAGAAAAGTAAATATCTTCGCATACAAACTAGACAGAATCACTCTCAGAAACTGCTCTGTGATGTGTGCGTTCAACTCTCAGAGTTTAACTTTTCTTTTCATTCAGCAGTTTGGAAACACTCTGTTTGTAAACTCTGCACGTGGATATTTTGACCACTTAGAGGCCTTCTTTGGAAACGGGTTTTTTTCATGTAAGGATAGACAGAAGAATTCTCAGTAACTTCCTTGTGTTGTGTGCTTTCAACTCACGGAGTTGAACGATCCTTTACACAGAGCAGATTAGAAACACTCTTTTTGTGGAATTTGCAAGTGGAGATTTCAGACACTTTGAGGTCAATGATAGAAAAGGAAATATCTTCGTATAAAAACTAGACAGAACGATTCTCAGAAACTCCTTTGTGATGTATGCGTTCAACTCACAGAGTTTAACCTTTCTTTTCATAGAGCAGTTAGGAAACACTCTGTTTGTAAAGTCTGCAAGTGGATATTCAGACCTCTTTGAGGCCTTCGTTGGAAACGGGATTTCTTCATATTCTGCTAGACAGAAGAATTCTCAGTAACTTCCTTGTGTTGTGTGTATTCAACTGACAGAGTTGAACTTTCATTTAGAGAGAGCAGATTTGAAAAACTGTTTTTGTGGAATTTGCAAGTGGAGATTTCAAGCGCTTTGGGGCCAAAGGCAGAAAAGGAAATATCTTCGTATAAAAACTAGACAGAATCATTCTCAGAAACTGCTCTGCGATGTGTGCGTTCAGCTCTCAGAGTTTAACTTTTCTTTTCATTCAGCAGTTTGGAAACACTCTGTTTGTAAAGTCTGCACGTGGATATTTTGACCACTTAGAGGCCTTCGTTGGAAACGGGTTTTTTTCATGTAAGGCTAGACAGAAGAATTCTCAGTAACTTCCTTGTGTTGTGTGTATTCAACTCACAGAGTTGAACGATTCTTTACACAGAGCAGACTTGTAACACTCTTTTTGTGGAATTTGCAAGTGGAGATTTCAGCCGCTTTGAAGTCAAAGGTAGAAAAGGAAATATCTTCCTATAAAAACTACACAGAGTGATTCTCAGAAACTCCTTTGTGATGTGTGCGTTCAACTCACAGAGTTTAACCTTTCTTTTCATAGAGCAGATAGGAAACACTCTGTTTGTAAAGTCTGCAAGTGGATATTCAGACCTCCTTGAGGCCTTCATTGGAAACGGGATTTCTTCATATTCTGCTAGACAGAAGAATTCCCAGTAACTTCCTTGTGTTGTGTGTGTTCAACTCACAGAGTTGAACTTTCATTTACACAGAGCAGATTTGAAACACTCTTTTTGTGGAATTTGCAAGTGGAGGTTTCAAGCGCTTTGAGGCCAAAGGCAGAAAAGGAAATACCTTCGTATAAAAACTAGACAGAATCATTCTCAGAAACTGCTCTGCGATGTGGGCGTTCAACTCTCAGAGTTTAACTTTTCTTTTCATTCAGCAGTTTGGAAACACTCTGTTTGTAAAGTCTGCACGTGGATATTTTGACCATTTAGAGGCCTTCGTTGGAAACGGGTTTTTTTCTTGTAAGGCTAGACAGAAGAATTCCCAGTAACTTCCTTGTGTAGTGTACATTCAACTCACAGAGTTGAACGTTCCCTTAGACAGAGCAGATTTGAAACACTCTTTTTGTGCAACTGGCAAGTGGAGATTTCAAGCGCTTTGAGGTCAATGGCAGAAAAGGAAATATCTTCGTTTCAAAACTAGACAGAATCATTCCCACAAACTGCGTAGTGATGTGTTCGTTCAACTCACAGAGTTTAACCTTTCTGTTCATAGAACAGTTAGGAAACACTCTGTTTGTAAAGTCTGCAAGTGGATATTCAGACCTCCTTGAGGCCTTCGTTGGAAACGGGATTTCTTCATATTCTGCTAGACAGAAGAATTCTCAGTAACTTCCTTGTGTTGTGTGTATTCAACTCACAGAGTTGAACGATCCTTTACACAGAGCAGACTTGAAACCCTCTTTTTGTGGAATTTGCAAGTGGAGATTTCAGACGCTTTGAGGTCAATGGTAGAAAAGGAAATATCTTCTTATAAAGACTAGACAGAATGATTCTCAGAAACTCCTTTGTGATGTGTGTGTTCAACTCACAGAGTTTAACCTTTCTTTTCATAGAGCAGTTAGGAAACACTCTGTTTGTAAAGTCTGCAAGTGGATATTCAGACCTCTTTGAGGCCTTCGTTGGAAACGGGTTTTTTTCATATAGGGCTAGACAGAAGAATTCTCAGTAACTTCTTTGTGTTGTGTGTATTCAACTCACGGAGTTGAACGATCCTTTACACAGAGCAGACTTGAAACACTCTTTTTGTGGAATTTGCAAGTGGAGATTTCTGCCGCTTTGAGGTCAATGGTAGAATAGGAAATATCTTCCTATAGAAAATACACAGAATGTTTCTCAGAAACTCCTTTGAGATGTGTTTGTTCAACTCACAGAGTTTAACCTTTCTTTTCATAGAGCAGTTAGGAATCACTCTGTTTGTAAAGTCTGCAAGTGGATATTCAGACCTCTTTGAGGCCTTCGTTGGAAACGGGTTTTTTTCATATAAGGCTAGACAGAAGAATTCCCAGTAACTTCCTTGTATTGTGTGTGTTCAACTCACAGAGTTGAACTTTCATTTACACAGAGCAGATTTGAAACACTCTTTTTGTGGAATTTGCAAATGGAGGTTTCAAGCGCTTTGAGGCCAAAGGCAGAAAAGGAAATATCTTCGTATAAAAACTAGACAGAATCATTCTCAGAAACTACTCTGCGATGTGTGCGTTCAACTCTCAGAGTTTAACTTTTCTTTTCATTCAGCAGTTTGGAAACACTCTGTTTGTAAAGTCTGCACGTGGATATTTTGACCACTTAGAGGCCTTCGTTGGAAATGGGTTTTTTTCCTGTAAGGCTAGACAGAAGAATTCCCAGTAACTTTCCTTGTGTTGTGTACATTCAACTCACAGAGTTGAAAGTTCCCTTAGACACAGCAGATTTGAAACACTCTTTTTGTGCAATTGGCAAATGGAGATTTCAAGCGCTTTAAGGTCAATGGCAGAAAAGGAAATATCTTCGTTTCAAAACTAGACAGAATCATTCCCACAAACTGCGTTGTGATGTGTTCGTTCAACTCACAGACTTTAAACTTTCTTTTCATAGAGCAGTTAGGAAACAGTCTGTTTGTAAATTCTGTAAGTGGATATTCTGACATCTTGTGGCCTTCGTTGGAAACGGGATTTCTTCATATTCTGCTAGACAGAAGAATTCTCAGTAACTTCCTTGTGTTGTGTGTATTCAACTTACAGAGTTGAATGATCCTTTACACAGAGCAGACTTGAAACACTCTATTTGTAGAATTTGCAATTGGAGATTTCAGCCGCTTTGAGGTCAGTAGTAGAAAAGGTAATATCTTCGTAGAAAAACTAAACAGAATGATTCTCATAAACTCCTTTGTGATGTGTGCATTCAACTCACAGAGTTTCACCTTTCTTTTCATAGAGCAGTTAGGAAACACTCTGTTTGTAAAGTCTGCAAGTGGATATTCCGACCTCCTTGAGGCCTTCCTTGGAAACGGGATTTCTTCATATTCTGCTAGACAGAAGAATTCTCACTAACTTCCTTGTGTTGTGTGTATTCAACTCACAGAGTTGAACGATCCTTTACACAGAGCAGACTTGAAACACTCTTTTTGTGGAATTTGCAAGTGGAGATTTCAGCCGCTTTGAGGTCAATGGTAGAAAAGGAAATATCATCGTATAAAGACTAGACAGAATGATTCTCAGAAACTCCTTTGTGATGTGTGCGTTCAACTCACAGAGTTTAACTTTTCTTTTCATAGACCAGTTAGGAAACACTCTGTTTGTAAAGTCTGCAAGTGGATATTCAGACCTCCTTTGTGGCCTTCGTTGGAAACGGGATTTCTTCATATTATGCTAGACAGAAGAATTCCCAGTAACTTCCTTGTGTTGTGTGTGTTCAACTCACAGTAGTTGAACTTCCATTTACACAGAGCAGATTTGAAACACTCTTTTTGTGGAATTTGCAAGTGGAGATTTCAAGCGCTTTGAGGCCAAAGGCAGAAAAGGAAATATCTTCCTTTCAAAACTAGACAGAATCATTCTCAGAAACTGCTCTGTGATGTGTGCGTTCAACTCTCAGAGTTTAACTTTTCTTTTCATTCAGCAGTTTGGAAACACTCTGTTTGTAAAGTCTGCACGTGGATAATTTGACAACTTAGAGGCCTTCTTTGGAAACGGGTTTTTTTCATGTAAGGCTAGACAGAAGAATTCTCAGTAACTTCCTTGTGTTGTGTGTATTCAACTCACAGAGTTGAACGATCCTTTACACAGAACAGACTTGTAACACTCTTTTTGTGGAATTTGCAAGTGGAGATTTCAGCCGCTTTGAAGTCAAAGTTAGAAAAGGAAATATCTTCCTATAAAAACTAGACAGAATCATTCCGACAAACTGCGTTGTGATGTGTTCGTTCAACTCACAGAGTTTAACCTTTCTGTTCATAGAGCAGTTAGGAAACACTCTGTTTGTAAAGTCTGTTAAGTGGATATTCTGACATCTTGTGGCCTTCGTTGGAAACGGGATTTCTTCATATTCTGCTAGACAGAAGAATTCTCAGAATCTTCCCTTGTGTTGTGTGTATTCAACTCACAGAGTTGAACGATGGTTTACACAGAGCAGAGTTGAAACACTCTTTTTGTGGAATTTGAAAGTGGAGATTTCAGCCGCTTTGAGGTCAAAGGTAGAAAAGGAAATATCTTCGTATAAAAACTAGACAGAATGATTCTCAGAAACTCCTTTGTGATGTGTGCGTTCAACTCACAGAGTTTAACTTTTCTTTTCATAGAGCAGTTAGGAAACATTCTGTTTGTAAAGTCTGCAAGTGGATATTCAGACCTCTTTGTGGCCTTCGTTGGAAACGGGATTTCTTCATATTATGCTAGACAGAAGAATTCTCAGAATCTTCCTTGTGTTGTGTGTATTCAACTCACAGAGTTGAACGATGGTTTACACAGAGCAGATTTGAAACACTCTTTTTGTGGAATTTGCAAGTGGAGATTTCAGCCGCTTTTTGGTCAATGGTAGAAAAGGAAATATCTTCGTATAAAAACTAGACAGAATGATTCTCAGAAACTCCTTTGTGATGTGTGCGTTCAACTCACAGAGTTTAACCTTTCTTTTCATAGAGCAGTTAGGAGACACTCTGTTTGTAAAGTCTGCAAGTGGATATTGAGACATCCTTGAGGCTTTCGTTGGAAACGGGATTTCTTCATATTCTGCTAGAAAGAGGAATTCCCAGTAACTTCCTTGTGTTGTGTGTGTTCAACTCACAGAGTTGAACTTTGATTTACACAGAGCAGATTTGAAACACTCTTTTTGTGGAATTTGCAAGTGGAGATTTCAAGCGCTTTGAGGCCAAAGGCAGAAAAGGAAATATCTTCGTATAAAAACTAGACAGAATCATTTTCAGAAACTGCTCTGCGATGTGTGCGTTCAACTCTCAGAGTTTAACTTTTCTTTTCATTCAGCAGTGTGGAAACACTCTGTTTGTAAAGTCTGCACGTGGATATTTTGACCACTTAGAGGCCTTCGTTGGAAACGGGTTTTTTTCCTGTAAGGCTAGACAGAAGAATTCCCAGTAACTTCCTTGTGTTGTGTGCATTCAACTCACAGAGTTGAACGTTCCCTTAGACAGAGCAGATTTGAAACACACTATTTGTGCAATTTGCAAGTGTAGATTTCAAGCGCTTTAAGGTCAATGGCAGAAAAGGAAATATCTTCGTTTCAAAACTAGACAGAATCATTCCCACAAACTGCGTTGTGATGTGTTCGTTCAACTCACAGAGTTTAACCTTTCTTTTCATAGAGCAGTTAGGAAACAGTCTGTTTGTAAATTATGTAAGTGGATATTCTGACATCTTGTGGCCTTCGTTGGAAACAGGATTTCTTCATATTCTGCTAGACAGAAGAATTCTCAGAATCTTCCTTGTGTTGTGTGTATTCAACTCACAGAGTTGAAGGATCCTTTACACAGAGCAGATTTGAAACACTCTTTTGGTGGAATTTGCAAATGGAGATTTCAGCCGCTTTGAGGTCAATGGTAGAAAAGGAAATATCTTCGTATAAAAACTAGACAGAATGATTCTCAGAAACTTCTTTGTGATGTGTGCGTTCAACTCACAGAGTTTAACCTTTCTATTCATAGAGCAGTTAGAAAACACTCTGTTTGTAAACTCTGCAAGTGGATATTCAGACCTCTTTGAGGCCTTCGTTGGAAACGGGATTTCTTCATACTATGTTAGACAGAAGAATTCTCAGTAACTTCCTTGTGTTGTGTGTATTCAACTCACAGAGTTGAACGATCCTTTACACAGAGCAGACTTGAAACACTCTTTTTGTGGAATTTGCAAGTGGAGATTTCAGCCGCTTTGTGGTCAATAGTAGAATAGGAAATATCTTCCTATAGAAACTAGACAGAAAGATTCTCAGAAACTACTTTGTGATGTGTGCGTTCAACTCACAGAGTTCAACCTTTCTTTTCATAGAGCAGTTAGGAAACACTCTGTGTGTAAAGTCTACAAGTGGATATTCAGACCTCCTTGAGGCCTTCGTTGGAAACGGGATTTCTTCATATTCTGCTAGACAGAAGAATTCCCAGTAACTTCCTTGTGTTGTGTGTGTTCAACTCACAGAGTTGAACTTTCATTTACACAGAGCAGATTTGAGACACTCTTTTTGTGAAATTTGCAAATGGAGATTTCAAGCGCTTTGAGGCCAAAGGCAGAAAAGGAAATATCTTCGTATAAAAACTAGACAGAATCATTCTCAGAAACTGCTCTGCGATGTGTGCGTTCAACTCTCAGAGTTTAACTTTTCTTTTCATTCAGCAGTTTGGAAACACTCTGTTTGTAAAGTCTGCACGTGCATAATTTGACCACTTAGAGGCCTTCGTTGGAAACGGGTGTTTTTCATGTAAGGCTAGACAGAAGAATTCCCAGTAACTTCCTTGTGTTGTGTGCATTCCACTCACAGAGATGAACGTTCCCTTAGACAGAACAGATTTGAAACACTCTATTTGTGCAATTTGCAAGTGTAGATTTCAAGCGCTTTAAGGTCAATGGCAGAAAAGGAAATATCTTCGTTTCAAAACTAGACAGAATCATTCCCACAAACTGCGTTGTGATGCGTTCGTTCAACTCACAGAGTTTAACCTTTCTTTTCATAGAGCAGTTAGGAAACAGTCTGTTTGTCAATTCTGTAAGTGGATATTCTGACATCTTGTGGCCTTCGTTGGAAACGGGATTTCTTCATATTCTGCTAGACAGAAGAATTCTCAGTAACTGCCTTGTGTTGTGTGTATTCAACTCACAGAGTTGAACGATCGTTTACACAGAGCAGACTTGAAACGCTCTTTTTGTGGAACTTGCAAGTGGAGATTTCAGCCGCTTTGAGGTCAATGGTAGAATAGGAAATATCTTCCTATAGAAACTAGACAGAATGATTCTCAGAAACTCCTTTGTGATGTGTGCGTTCAACTCACAGAGTTTAACCTTTCTTTTCATAGAGCAGTTAGGAAACACTCTGTTTGTAAAGTCTGCAAGTGGATATTCAGACCTCCTTGAGGCCTTCGTTGGAAACAGGATTTCTTCATATTATGCTAGACAGAAGAATTCTCAGTAACTTCCTTGTGTTGTGTGTATTCAATTCACAGAGTTGAACGATCCTTTACACAGAGCAGACTTGAAACACTCTTTTTGTGTAATTTGCAAGTGGAGATTTCAGCCGCTTTGAGGTCAATGGTAGAAAAGGAAATATCTTCGTATAAAAACTAGACAGAATGATTCTCAGAAACTCCTTTGTGATGTGTGCGTTCAACTCACAGAGTTTAACCTTTCTTTTCATAGAGCAGTTAGGAAACACTCTGTTTGTAAAGTCTGCAAGTGGATATTCAGACCTCTTTGAGGCCTTCGTTGGAAACGGGTTTTTTACTTATAAGGCTAAACAGAAGAATTCCCAGTAACTTCCTTGTGTTGTGTGTGTTCAACTCACAGAGTTGAACTTTCATTTACACAGAGCAGATTTGAAACACTCTTTTTGTGGAATTTGCAAATGGAGATTTCAAGCGCTTTGAGGCCAAATGCAGAAAAGGAAATATCTTCGTATAAAAATTAGACAGATAATCATTCTCAGAAACTGCTCTGCGATGTGTGCGTTCAACTCTCAGAGTTTAACTTTTCTTTTCATTCAGCAGTTTGGAAACACTCTGTTTGTAAAGTCTGCACGTGGATATTTTGACCACTTAGAGGCCTTCGTTGGAAACGGGTTTTTTTCCTGTAAGGCTAGACAGAAGAATTCCCAGTAACTTCCTTGTGTTGTGTGCATTCAACTCACAGAGTTGAACGTTCCCTTAGACAGAGCAGATTTGAAACACTCTATTTGTGCAATTTGCAAGTGTAGATTTCTAGCGCTTTAAGGTCAATGACAGAAAAGGAAATATCTTCGTTTCAAAACTAGACAGAATCATTCCCACAAACTGCGTTGTGATGTGTTTGTTCAACTCACAGAGTTTAACCTTTCTTTTCATAGAGCAGTTAGCAAACAGTCTGTTTGTCAATTCTGTAAGTGGATATTCTGACATCTTGTGGCCTTCGTTGGAAACGGGATTTCTTCATATTCTGCTAGACAGAATAATTCTCTGTAACTTCCATGTGTTGTGTGTATTCAACTCACAGAGTTGAACGATCCTTTACACAGAGCAGACTTGAAACACTCTTTTTGTGGAATTTGCAAGTGGAGATTTCAGCCGCTTTGAGGTCAATGGTAGAATAGGAAATATCTTCCTATAGAAACTAGACAGAATGATTCTCATAAACTCCTTTGTGATGTGTGCGTTCAACACACAGAGTTTAACCTTTCTGTTCATAGAGCAGTTAGGAAACACTCTGTTTGTAAAGTCTGTAAGTGGATATTCTGACACCTTGTGGCCTTCGTTGGAAACGGGATTTCTTCATATTCTGCTAGACAGAAGAATTCTCAGTAACTTTCCTTGTGTTGTGTGTATTCAACTCACAGAGTTGAACGATCCTTTACACAGAGCAGACTTGAAACACTCTTTTTGTGGAATTTGCAAGTGGAGATTTCAGCCGCTTTGAGTTCAATGGTAGAATAGGAAATATCTTCCTACAGAAACTAGACAGAATGATTCTCAGAAACTCCTTTGTGATGTGTGCGTTCAACTCACAGAGTTTAACTTTTCTTTTCATAGAGCAGTTAGGAAACACTCTGTTTGTAAAGTCTGCAAGTGGATATTCAGACCTCTTTGAGGCCTTCGTTGGAAACGGGTTTTCTTCATATTCTGCTAGACAGAAGAATTCTCAGTAACTTCCTTGTGTTGTGTGTATTCAACTGACAGAGTTGAACTTTCATTTAGAGAGAGCAGATTTGAAACCCTGTTTTTGTGGAATTTGCAAGTGGAGATTTCAAGCACTTTGGGGCCAAAGGCAGAAAAGGAAATATCTTCGTATAAAAACTAGACGGAATCATTCTCAGAAACTGCTCTGGGATGTGTGCGTTCAACTCTCAGAGTTTAACTTTTCTTTTCATTCAGCAGTTTGGAAACACTCTGTTTGTAAAGTCTGCACGTGGATAACTTGACCACTTGGAGGCCTTCGTTGGAAACGGGTTTTTTTCATGTAAGGCTAGACAGAAGAATTCTCAGTAACTTCCTTGTGTTGTGTGTATTCAACTCACAGAGTTGAATGATCCTTTACACAGAACAGTCTTGAAACACTCTTTTTGTGGAATTTGCAAGTGGAGATTTCAGCCGCTTTGAGGTCAATGGTACAATAGGAAATACCTTCCTATAGAAACTAGACAGAATGATTCTCAGAAACTCCTTTGTGATTTGTGCGTTTAACTCACAGAGTTTAACCTTTCTTTTCATAGAGCAGTTAGGAAACACTCTGTTTGTAAAGTCTACAAGTGGATATTCAGACCTCTTTGAGGCCTTCGTTGGAAACGGGTTTTTTTCATATAAGGCTAGACAGAAGAGTTCTCAGTAACTTCCTTGTGTTGTGTGTATTCAACTCACAGAGTTGAACTTTCATTTAGAGAGAGCAGATTTGAAACACTGTTTTTGTGGAATTTGCAATTGGAGATTTCAAGTGCTTTGGGGCCAAAGGCAGAAAAGGAAATATCTTCGTATAAAAACTAGACAGAGAATCATTATCAGAAACTGCTGCGTGATGTGTGCGTTCAACTCTCAGAATTTAACTTTTCTTTTCATTCAGCGGTTTGGAAACACTCTGTTTGTAAAGTCTGCACGTGGATATATTGACCACTTAGAGGCCTTCGTTGGAAACGGGTTTTTTTCATGTAAGGCTAGACAGAAGAATTCCCAGCAACTTCCTTGTGTTGTGTGCATTCAACTCACAGAGTTGAACGTTCCCTTAGACAGACCAGATTTGAAACACTCTATTTGTGCAATTTGCAAGTGTAGATTTCAAGCGCTTTGAGGTCAATGGCAGAAAAGGAAATATCTTCGTTTCAAAACTAGACAGAATCATTCCCACAAACTGCGTTGTGATGTGTTCGTTCAACTCACAGAGTTAAACTTTTCTTTTCATAGAACAGTTAGGAAACACTCTGTTTGTAAAGTCTGTAAGTTGATATTCTGACATCTTGTGGCCTTATTGGTAACGGGATTTCTTCATATTCTGCTAGACAGAAGAATTCTCAGTAACTTCCTTGTGTTGTGTGTATTCACCTCACAGATTTGAACGATCCTTTACAAAGAGCAGACTTGAAACACTCTTTTAGTGGAATTTGCAAGTGGAGGTTTCAGCCTCTTTGAGGTCAATGGTAGAATAGGAAATATCTTCCTATAGAAACTAGACAGAATGATTCTCACAAACTCCTTTGTGATGTGTGCGTTCAACTCACAGAGTTTAACCTTTGTTTACATAGAGCAGTTAGGAAACACACTGTTTGTAAAGTCTGCAAGTGGATATTCTGACCTCCTTGAGGCCTTCGGTGGAAACGGGATTTCTTCATATTCTGCTAGACAGAAGAATTCTCAGTAACTTCCTTGTGTTGTGTGTATTCAACTCAAAGAGTTGAACGACACTTTACACAGAGCAGACTTGAAACACTCTTTTTGTGGAATTTGCAATTGGAGATTTCAGCCGCTTTGAGGTCAATGGTAGGATAGGAAATATCTTCCTATAGAAACTAGACAGAATGATTCTCAGAAACTCCTTTGTGATGTGTGCGTTCAACTCACAGAGTTTAACCTTTCTTTTCTTAGAGCAGTTAGGAAACACTCTGTTTGTAAAGTCTGCAAGTGGATATTCAGACCTCCTTGAGGCCTTCGTTGGAAATGGGATTTCTTCATATTCTGCTAGACAGAAGAAATTCCCAGTAACTTCCTTGTGTTGTGTGTGTTCAACTCACAGAGTTGAACTTTCATTTACACAGAGCAGATTTGAAACACTCTTTTTGTGGAATTTGCAAATGGAGATTTCAAGCGCTTTGAGGCCAAAGGCAGAAAAGGAAATATCTTTGTATAAAAACTAGACAGAATCATTCTCAGAAACTGCTGCGTGATGTGTGCGTTCAACTCTCAGAGTTTAACTTTTCTTTTCATTCAGCGGTTTGGAAACACTCTGTTTGTAAAGTCTGCACGTGGAAATTTTGACCACTTAGGGGCCTTCGTTGGAAACGGGTTTTTTTCATGTAAGGCTAGACAGAAGTATTCCCAGTAACTTCCTTGTGTTGTGTGCATTCAACTCACAGAGTTGAACGTTCCCTTAGACAGAGCAGGTTTGAAACACTCTATTTGTGCAATTTGCAAGTGTAGATTTCAAGCGCTTTAAGGTCAATGGCAGAAAAGGAAATATCTTCGTTTCAAAACTAGACAGAATCATTCCCACAAACTGCGTTGTGATGTGTTCGTTCAACTCACAGAGTTTAACCTTTCTGTTCATAGAGCAGTTAGGAAACACTCTGTTTTTAAAGTCTGCCAGTGGATATTCAGACCTCTTTGAGGCCTTCGTTGGAAACGGGATTTCTTCATATTCTGCTAGACAGAAGAATTCTCAGTAACTTCCTTGTGTTGTGTGTATTCAACTCACAGAGTTGAACGATCCTTTACACAGAGGAGACTTGAAACACTCTTTTTGTGGAATTTGCAAGTGGAGATTTCACCCGCTTTGAGGTCAATGGTAGAATAGGATATATCTTCCTATAGAAAATAGACAGAATGATTCTCAGAAACTCTTTTGGGATGTGTGCGTTCAACTCACAGAGTTTAACCTTTCTGTTCATAGAGCAGTTAGGAAACACTCTGTTTGTAAAGTCTGCAAGTGGATATTCAGACCTCCTTGAGACCTTCGTTGGAAACGGGATTTCTTCATATTCCGCTAGACAGAAGAATTCTCAGTAACTTCCTTGTGTTGTGTGTATTCAACTCACAGAGTTGAACGATCCTTTACACAGAGCAGACTTGTAACACTCTTTTTGTGGAATTTGCAAGTGGAGATTTCAAGCGCTTTGAGGCCAAATGCAGAAAAGGAAATATCTTCGTTTCAAAACTAGACAGAATGATTCTCAGAAACTCCTTTGTGATGTGTGTGTTCAACTCACAGAGTTTAACCTTTCTTTTCATAGAGCAGTTAGGAAACACTCTGTTTATAAAGTCTGCAAGTGGATATTCAGACCCCTTTGAGGTCCTTCGTTGGAAACGGGATTTCTTCATATTATGCTAGACAGAAGAATTCTCAGTAACTTCCTTGTGTTGTGTGTATTCCACTCACAGAGTTGAACTTTCATTTATAGAGAGCAGATTTGCAACACTGTTTTTGTGGAATTTGCAAGTGGAGATTTCAAGCGCTTTGGGGCCAAAGGCAGAAAAGGAAATATCTTCGTATAAAAACTAGACAGAATCATTCTCAGAAACTGCTCTGCGATGTGTGCGTTCAACTCTCAGAGTTTGACTTTTCTTTTCATTCAGCAGTTTTGAAACACTCTGTTTGTAAAGTCTGCACGTGGATATTTTGACCACTTAGAGGCCTTCGTTGGAAACGGGTTTTTTTCCTGTAAGGCTAGACAGAAGAATTCCCAGTAACTTCTTTGTGTTGTGTGCATTCAACTCACAGAGTTGAACGTTCCTTTAGACAGAGCAGATTTGAAACACTCTTTTTGTGCAATTTGCAAGTGGAGATTTCAAGCGCTTTGAGGTCAATGGCAGAAAAGGAAATAACTTCGTTTCAAAACTAGACAGTATCATTCCCACAAACTGCATTGTGATGTGTGCGTTCAACTCACAGAGTTTAACCTTTCTTTTCATAGAGCCGTTTGTAAGCGCTCTGTTTGTCAAGTCTGCAAGTGGATATTCTGACCTCTTTGAGGACTTCGTTGGAAACAGGATTTCGTCCTATAATACTAGACAGAAGAATTCTCAGTAACTTCCTTGTGTTGTGTGTATTCAACTCACAGAGTTGAACGATCCTTTACACAGAGCAGACTTGAAACACTCTTTTTCTGGAATTTGCAAGTGGAGATTTCAGCCGATTTGAGGTCAATGGTAGAATAGGAAATATCTTCCTATAGATACTAGACAGAATGATTCTCAGAACCTCCTTTGTGATGTGTGCGTTCAACTCACAGAGTTTAACCTTTCTTTTCATAGAGCAGTTAGGAAACACTCTGTTTGTAAAGTCTGCAAGTGGATATTCAGACATCCTTGAGGCTTTCCTTGGAAACGGGATTTCTTCATATTCTGCTAGAAAGAAGAATTCTCAGAAACTTCGTTGTGTTGTGTGTTTTCAAATCACAGAGTTCAACGATCCTTTACACAGAGTAGACTTGAAACACTCTTTTTGTGGAATTGGCAGGGTGGAGATTTCAGCTGCTTTGAGGTCAATGGTAGAAAAGGAAATATCTTCGTATAAAAACTAGACAGAATGATTCTCGGAAACTCCTTTGTGAAGTGTGTGTTCAACTCACAGAGTTTAACCTTTCTTTTCATAGAGCAGTTAGGAAACACTCTGTTTGTAAAGTCTGCAAGAGGATATTCAGACCTCTTTGAGGCCTTCGTTGGAAACGGGTTTTTTTCATATAAGGCTAGACAGAAGAATTCCCAGTAACTTCCTTGTGTTGTGTGTGTTCAACTCACAGAGTTGAACTTTCATTTACACAGAGCAGATTTGAAACACTCTTTTTGTGGAATTTGCAAGTGGAGATTTCAAGCGCTTTGAGGCCAAAGGCAGAAAAAGAAATATCTTCGTTTCAAAACTAGACAGAATGATTCTCAGAAACTTCTTTGTGATGAGTGCGTTCAACTCACAGATTTTAACCTTTCTTTTCATAGAGCAGTTAGGAAACACTCTGTTTGTAAAGTCTGCACGTGGATATTTTGACCTCTTTTAGGCCTTCCTTGGAAACGGGTTTTTTTCATGTAAGCCTAGACAGAAGAATTCCGAGTAACTTCCTTGTGTTGTCTGCATTCAACTCACAGAGTTGAACGTTCCCTTAGACAGAGCAGATTTGAAACACTCTATTTGTGCAATTTGCAAGTGTAGATTTCAAGCTCTTTAAGGTCAATTGCAGAAAAGGAAATATCTTCGTTTCAAAACTAGACAGAATCATTCCCACAAACTGCGTTGTGATGTGTTCGTTCAACTCACAGAGTTTAACCTTTCTGTTCATAGAGCAGTTAGGAAACACTCTGTTTGTAAAGTCTGTAAGTGGATATTCTGACATCTTGTGGCCTTCGTGGGAAACGGGATTTCTTCATATTCTGCTAGACAGAAGAATTCTCAGAATCTTCCTTGTGTTGTGTGTATTCAACTCACACAGTTGAACGATTGTTTACACAGAGCAGATTTGAAACACTCTTTTTGTGGAATTTGCAAGTGGAGATTTCAGCCGCTTTGAGGTCAATGGTAGAAAAGGAAATATCTTCATATAAAAACTAGACAGAATGATTCTCAGAAACTCCTTTGTGATGTGTGCGTTCAACTCACAGAGTTTACCCTTTCTGTTCATAGAGCAGTTAGGAAACACTCTGTTTGTAAATTCTGCAAGTGGATATTCAGACCTACTTGAGGTCTTCGGTGGAAACGGGATTTCTTCATATTCTGCTAGACAGAAGAATTCTCACTAACTTCCTTGTGTTGTGTGTATTCAACTCACAGAGTTGAACGATCCTTTACACAGAGCAGACTTGAAACACTCTTTTTGTGGAATTTGCAAGTGGAGCTTTCAGCCGCTTTGAGGTCAATAGTAGAAAAGGAAATATCTTCGTAGAAAAACTAGACAGAAAGATTCTCAGAAACTCCTTTGTGATGTGTGCGTTCAACTCACAGAGTTTAACCTTTCTTTTAATAGAGCAGTTGGGAAACACTCTGTTTGTATACTCTGCAAGTGGATATTCAGACCTCTTTGAGGCCTTCGTTGGAAACGGGATTTCTTCATATTCTGCTAGACAGAAGAATTCTCAGTAACTTCCTTGTGTTGTGTGTATTCAACTGACAGAGTTGAACTTTCATTTAGACAGAGCAGATTTGAAACACTCTTTTTGTGGAATTTGCAAGTGGAGATTTCAAGCGCTTTGAGGCCAAAGGGAGAAAAGGAAATATCTTCGTATAAAAACTAGACAGAATCATTCTCAGAAACTGCTCTGCGATGCGTGCGTTCAGCTCTCAGAGTTTACCTTTTCTTTTCATTCAGCAGTTTGGAAACACTCTGTTTGTAAAGTCTGCACGTGGATATTTTGAACACTTAGAGGCCTTCGTTGGAAACCGGTTTTTGTCATGTAAGGCTAGACAGAAGAATTCCTAGTAACTTCCTTGTGTTGTGTACATTCAACTCACAGAGTTGAACGTTCCCTTAGACAGAGCAGATTTGAAACACTCTTTTTGTGCAATTGGCAAGTGGTGATTTCAGCCGCTTTGAGGTCAATGGTAGAAAAGGAAATATCTTCGTATTAAAACTAGACAGAATCATTCCCACAAACTGCGTTGTGATGTGTTCGTTCAACTCACAGAGTTTAACCTTTCTGTTCATACGGCAGTTAGGAAACACTCTGTTTGTAAAGTCTGTAAGTGGATATTCTGACATTTTGTGGCCTTCGTTGGAAAGGGGATTTCTTCATATTCTGCTAGACAGAAGAATTCTCAGAATCTTCCTTGTGTTGTGTGTATTCAACTCACAGAGTTGAACGATGGTTTACACAGAGCAGATTTGAAACACTCTTTTGGTTGAATTTGCAAGTGGAGATTTCAGCCGCTTTGAGGTCAATGGTAGAAAAGGAAATATCTTCGTATAAAAACTAGACAGAATGATTCTCAGAAACTTCTTTGTGATGTGTGCGTTCAACTCACAGAGTTTAACCTTTCTTTTCATAGAGCAGTTAGGAAACACTCTGTTTGTAAAGTCTGCAAGTGGATATTCAGACCTCTTTGAGGCCTTCGTTGGAAACGGGATTTCTTCATACAATGCTAGACAGAAGAATTCTCAGTAACTTCCTTGTGTTGTGTGTATTCAACTCACAGAATTGAACGATCCTTTACACAGAGCAGACTTGAAACACTCTTTTTGTGGAATTTGCAAGTGGAGATTTCAGCCGCTTTGAGTTCAATGGTAGAATAGGAAATATCTTCCTATAGAAACTAGACAGAATGATTCTCAGAAACTCCTTTGTGATGTGTGCGTTCAACACACAGAGTTTAACTTTTCTTTTCATACAGCAGTTAGGAAACACTCTGTTTGTAAAGTCTGCAAGTGGATATTCAGACCTCTTTGAGGCCTTCGTTGGAAACGGGATTTCTTCATATTATGCTAGACAGAAGAATTCTCAGTAACTTCCTTGTGTTGTGTGTATTCAACTGACAGAGTTGAACTTTCATTTAGAGAGAGCAGATTTGAAACACTGTTTTTTTGGAATTTGCAAGTGGAGATTTCAAGCGCTTTGGGGCCAAAGGCAGAAAAGGAAATATCTTCGTATAAAAACTAGACAGAATCATTCTCAGAAACTGCTCTGCGATGTGTGCGTTCAACTCTCAGAGTTTAACTTTTCTTTTCATTCAGCAGTTTGGAAACACTCTGTTTGTAAAGTCTGCACGTGGATAATTTGACCACTTAGAGGCCTTCGTTGGAAACGGGATTTCTTCATACTGTGCTAGACAGAAGAATTCCCAGTAACTTCCTTGTGTTGTGTGCATTCAACTCACAGAGTTGAACGTTCCCTTAGACAGAGCTGATTTGAAACACTCTATTTGTGCAATTTGCAAGTGTAGATTTGAAGCGCTTTCAGGTCAATGGCAGAAAAGGAAATATCTTCGTTTCAAAACTAGACAGAATCATTCCCACAAACTGCGTTGTGATGTGTTCGTTCAACTCACAGAGTTTAACCTTTCTTTTCATAGAGCAGTTAGGAAACACTCTGTTTGTAAAGTCTGCAAGTGGATATTCAGACCTCTTTGAGGCCTTCGTTGGAAACGGGATTTCTTCATGTTCTGCTAGACAGAAGAATTCTCAGAATCTTCCTAGTGTTGTGTGTATTCAACTCACAGAGTTGAACGATGGTTTACACAGAGCAGATTTGAAACACTCTTTTTGTGGAATTTGCAAGTGGAGATTTCAGCCGCTTTGAGGTCAATGGTAGAAAAGGAAATATCTTCGTATAAAAACTAGACAGAATGATTCTCAGAAACTCCTTTGTGATGTGTGCGTTCAACTCACAGAGTTTAACCTTTCTTTTCATAGAGCAGTTAGGAAACACTCGGTTTGTAAAGTCTGCAAGTGGATATTCAGACCTCTTTGAGGCCTTCGTTGGAAACGGGTTTTTTTCATATAAGGCTAGACAGAAGAATTCTCAGAATCTTCCTTGTGTGGTGTGTATTCAACTCACAGAGTTGAACGATCCTTTACACAGAGCAGACTTGAAACACTCTTTTTGTGGAATTTGCAAGTGGAGATTTCAGCCGCTTTGAGGTCCATGGTAGAAAAGGAAATATCTTCGTATAAAAACTAGACAGAATGATTCTCAGAAACTCCTTTGTGATGTGTGCGTTCAACTCACAGAGTTTAACCTTTCTTTTTATAGAGCAGTTAGGAAACACTCTGTTTGTAAAGTCTGCAAGTGGATATTCAGACCTCCTTGAGGCCTTCTTTGGAAACGGGATTTCTTCCTATTATACTAGACAGAAGAATTCTCAGTAACTTCTTTGTGTTGTGTGTATTCAACTGACAGAGTTGAACTTTCATTTAGAGAGAGCAGATTTGGAACACTGTTTTTGTGGAATTTGCAAGTGGAGATTTCAAGCGCTTTGGGGCCAAAGGCAGAAAAGGATATATCTTCGTATAAAAACTAGACAGAATCATTCTCAGAAACTGCTGCGTGATGTGTGCGTTCAACTCTCAGAGTTTAACTTTTCTTTTCATTCAGCGGTTTGGAAACACTCTGTTTGTAAAGTCTGCACATGGATATTTTGACCACTTAGAGGCCTTCGTTGGAAACGGGTTTTTTTCATGTAAGGCTAGACAGACGAATTCCCAGTAACTTCCTTGTGTTGTGTACATTCAACTCAGAGAGTTGAACGTTCCATTAGACAGAGCAGATTTGAAACACTCTTTTTGTGCAATTGGCAAGTGGAGATTTCAAGCGCTTTAAGGTCAATGGCAGAAAAGGAAATATCTTCGTTTCAAAACTAGACAGAATCATTCCCACAAACTGCGTTGTGATGTGTTCGTTCAACTCACAGAGTTTAACCTTTCTGTTCATAGAGCAGTTAGGAAACACTCTATTTGTAAAGTCTGTAAGTGGATATTCTGACATCTTGTGGCCTTCGTTGGAAACGGGATTTCTTCATATTCTGCTAGACAGAAGAATTCTCAGAATCTTCCTTGTGTTGTGTGTATTCAACTCACAGAGTTGAACGATCCTTTACACAGAGCAGACTTGAAACACTCTTTTTGTGGAATTTGCAAGTGGAGATTTCAGCCGCTTTGAGGTCCATGGTAGAAAAGGAAATATCTTGGTATAAAAACTAGACAGAATGATTCTCAGAAACTCCTTTGTGATGTGTGCGTTCAACTCACAGAGTTTAACCTTTCTTTTCATAGAGCAGTTAGGAAACACTCTGTTTGTAAAGTCTGCAAGTGGATATTCAGACCTCCTTGAGGCCTTCGTTGGAAACGGGATTTCTTCATATTATGTTAGACAGAAGAATTCTCAGTAACTTCCTGGTGTTGTGTGTATTCAACTCACAGAGTTGAACGATCCTTTACACAGAGCAGACTTGAAACACTCTTTTTGTGGAATTTGCAAGTGGAGATTTCAGCCGCTTTGAGGTCAATGGTAGAATAGGAAGTATCTTCCTATAGAAACTAGACACAATGATTCTCAGAAACTCCTTTGTGATGTGTGCATTCAACTCACAGAGTTTAACTTTTCTTTTCATAGAGCAGTTAGGAAACACTCTGTTTGTAAAGTCTGCAAGTGGATATTCAGACCTCTTTGACGCCTTCGTTGGAAACGGGATTTCTTCATATTCTGCTAGACAGAAGAATTCCCAGTAACTTCCTTGTGATGTGTGTGTTCAACTCACAGAGTTGAACTTTCATTTACACAGAGCAGATTTGAAACACTCTTTTTGTGGAATTTGCAAATGGAGATTTCAAGCGCTTTGAGGCCAAAGGCAGAAAAGGAAATATCTTCGTATAAAAACTAGACAGAATCATTCTCAGCAAACTGCTCTGCGATGTGTGCGTTCAACTCTCAGAGTTTAACTTTTCTTTTCATTCAGCAGTTTGGAAACACTCTGTTTGTAAAGTCTGCACGTGGATAATTTCACCACTTAGAGGTCTTCGTTGGAAACGGGTTTTTTTCATGTAAGGATAGACAGAAGAATTCCCAGTAACTTCCTTCTGTTGTGTACATTCAACTCACAGAGTTGAACGTTCCCTTAGACAGAGCAGATTTGAAACACTCTTTTTGTGCAATTGGCAAGTGGAGATTTCAAGCGCTTTAAGGTCAATGGCAGAAAAGGAAATATCTTCGTTTCAAAACTAGACAGAATCATTCCCACAAACTGCGTTGTGATGTGTTCGTTACCTCACAGAGTTTAACCTTTCTTTTCATAGAGTAGTTAGGAAACACTCAGTTTGTAAAGCCTGCAAGTGGATATTCAGACCTCTTTGAGGCCTTCGTTGGAAACGGGATTTCTTCATATTATGCTAGACAGAAGAATTCTCAGTAACTTCCTTGTGTTGTGTGTATTCAACTCATGGAGTTGAACGATCCTTTACACAGAGCAGACTTGTAACACTCTTTTTGTGGAATTTGCAAGTGGAGATTTCAGCCACTTTGAAGTCAAAGGTAGAAAAGGAAATAACTTCCTATAAAAACTAGACAGAATGATTCTCAGAAACTCCTTTGTGATGGGTGCGTTCAACTCACAGAGTTTAACCTTTCTTTTCATAGAGCAGTTAGGAAACACTCTGTTTGTAAAGTCTGCAAGTGGATATTGAGACATCTTTGAGGCCTTCGTTGGAAACAGGATTTCTTCATATTCTGATAGACAGAAGAATTCTCAGTAACTTCCTTGTGTTGTGTGTATTCAACTCACAGAGTTGAACGATCCTTTACACAGAGCAGTCTTGAAACAGTCTTTTTGTGGATTTTGCAAGTGCAGATTTCTGCCGCTTTGAGGTCAATGGTAGAATAGGAAATATCTTCCTATAGAAACTAGACAGAATGATTCTCAGAAACTCCTTTGTGATGTGTGCGTTCAACTCACAGAGTTCAACCTTTCTTTTCATAGAGCAGTTGGGAAACACTCTGTTTGTAAAGTCTGCAAGTGGATTTTCAGACTTCTTTGAGGCCATCGTTGGAAGCGGGATTTCTTCATATTCTGCTAGACAGAAGAATTCTCAGAATCTTCCTTGTGTTGTGTGTATTCAACTCACAGAGTTGAACGATCCTTTACACAGAGCAGACTTGAAACACTCTTTTTGTGGAATTTGCAAGTGGAGATTTCAAGCGCTTTGAGGCCAAAGGCAGAATAGGAAATATCTTCGTATAAAAACTAGACAGAATCATTCTCAGAAACTGCTCTGTGATGTGTGCGTTCAACTCTCAGAGTTTAACTTTTCTTTTCATTCAGCAGTTTGGAAACACTCTGTTTGTAAAGTCTGCACGTGGATATTTTGCCCACTTAGAGGCCTTCGTTGGAAACGGGTTTTTTTCATGTAAGGGTAGACAGAAGAATTCCCAGTAACTTCCTTGTGTTGTGTACATTCAACTCACAGAGTTGAACGTTCCCTTAGACAGAGCAGATTTGAAACACTCTTTTTGTGCAATTGGCAAATGGAGATTTCAAGCGCTTTAAGTTCAATGGCAGAAAAGGAAATATCTTCGTTTCAAAACTAGACAGAATGATTCTGAGAAACTCCTTTGTGATGTGTGCGTTCAACTCACAGAGTTTAACCTTTCTTTTCAAAGAGCAGTTAGGAAACACTCTGTTTGTAAACTCTGCAAGTGGATATTCAGACCTCCTTGAGGCCTTCGTTGGAAACGGGGTTTCTTCCTATTATGCTAGACAGAAGAATTCTCAGTAACTTCCTTGTGTTGTGTGTATTCAACTCAAAGAGTTGAACGATCCTTTACACAGAGCAGAGTAGAAACACTCTTTTTGTGGAATTTGCAAGTGGAGATTTCAGACTCTTTGAGGTCAATGGTAGAATAGGAAATATCTTCCTATAGAAACTAGACAGAATGATTCTCAGAAACTTCTTTGTGATGTGTGCGTTCAACTCACAGAGTTTAACCTTTCTTTTAATAGAGCAGTTAGGAAACACTCTGTTTGTAAACTCTGCAAGTGGATATTCAGACCTCTTTGAGGCCTTCGTTGGAAACGGGATTTCTTCATACTATGCTAGACAGAAGAATTCTCAGTAACTTCCTTGTATTGTGTGTATTCAACTCACAGAGTTGAACGATCCTTTACACAGAGCAGACTTGTAACACACTTTTTGTGGAATTTGCAAGTGGAGATTTCAGCCGCTTTGAAGTCAAAGGTAGAAAAGGAAATATCTTCCTATAAAAACTAGACAGAATGATTCTCATGAACTCCATTGTGATGTGTGCGTTCAACTCACAGAGTTTAACCTTTCTTTTCATAGAGCAGTTAGGAAACACTCTGTTTGTAAAGTCTGCAAGTGGATATTCAGACCTCCTTGAGGCCTTCGTTGGAAAAGGGATTTCTTCATATTCTGCTAGACAGAAGAATTCTCAGTAACTTCCTTGTGTTGTGTGTATTCAACTGACAGAGCTGAACTTTCATTTAGAGAGAGCACATTTGAAACACTGTTTTTGTGGAATTTGCAAGTGGAGATTTCAAACGCTTTGGGGCCAAAGGCAGAAAAGGAAATATCTTCGTATAAAAACTAGACAGAATCATTCTCAGAAACTGCTCTGCGATGTGTGCGTTCAACTCTCAGAGTTTAACTTTTCTTTTCATTCAGCAGTTTGGAAACACTATGTTTGTAAAGTCTGCACGTGGATATTTTGACCACTTAGAGGCCTTCGTTGGAAACGGGTTTTTTTCTTGTAAGGCTAGACAGAAGAATTCCCAGTAACTTCCTTGTGTTGTGTACATTCAACTCACAGAGTTGAACGTTCCCTTAGACAGAGCAGATTTGAAACACTCTTTTTGTGCAATTGGCAAATGGAGATTTCAAGCGCTTTAAGTTCAATGGCAGAAAAGGAAATATCTTCGTTTCAAAACTAGACAGAATCATTCCCACAAACTGCGTTGTGATGTGTTCGTTCAACTCACAGAGTTTAACCTTTCTTTTCATAGAGCAGTTAGGAAACAGTCTGTTTGTCAATTCTGTAAGTGGATATTCTGACATCATGTGGCCTTCGTTGGAAACGGGATTTCTTCATATTCTGCTAGACAGAAGAATTCCCAGTAACTTCCTTGTGTTGTGTGTATTCAACTCACAGAGTTGAACGATCCTTTACACAGAGCAGACTTGTAACACTCTTTTTGTGGAATTTGCAAGTGGAGATTTCAGCCACTTTGAAGTCAAAGGTAGAAAAGGAAATAACTTCCTATAAAAACTAGACAGAAATGATTCTCAGAAACTCCTTTGTGATGTGTGCGTTCAACTCACAGAGTTTAACCTTTCTTTTCATAGAGCAGTTAGGAAACACTGTGTTTGTAAAGTCTGCAAGTGGATATTCAGACCTCTTTGAGGCCTTCGTTGGAAACGGGTTTTTTTCATATAAGGCTAGACAGAAGAATTCTCAGAATCTTCCTTGTGTTGTGTGTATTCAACTCACAGAGTTGAACGATAGTTTACACAGAGCAGATTTGAAACACTCATTTGGTGGAATTTGCAAGTGGAGATTTCAGCCGCTTTGAGGTAAATGGTAGAAAAGGAAATATCTTCGTATAACAACTAGACAGAATGATTCTCAGAAACTCCTTTGTGATGTGTGCGTTCAACTCACAGAGTTTAACCTGTCTTTTCATAGAGCAGTTAGGAAACACTCTGTTTGTAAAGTCTGCAAGTGGATATTCAGACATCCTTGAGGCTTTCGTTGGAAACGGGATTTCTTCATATTCTGCTAGAAAGAAGAATTCCCAGTAACTTCCCTTGTGTTGTGTGTGTTCAACTCACAGAGTTGAACTTTCATTTAGACAGAGCAGATTTGAAACACTCTTTTTGTGGAATTTGCAAATGGAGATTTCAAGCGCTTTGAGGCCAAAGGCAGAAAAGGAAATATCTTCGTATAAAAACTAGACAGAATCATTCTCAGAAACTGCTGCGAGATGTGTGCGTTCAACTCTCAGAGTTTAACTTTTCTTTTCATTCAGCGGTTTGGAAACACTGTGTTTGTAAAGTCTGCACGTGGATATTTTGACCACTTAGAGGCCTTCGTTGGAAACGGGTTTTTTTCATGTAAGGCTAGACAGAAGAATTCTCAGTAACTTCCTTGTGTTGTGTGTATTCAACTCACAGAGTTGAACGATCCTTTACACAGAGCAGACTTGAAACACTCTTTTTGTGGAATTTCCAAGTGGAGATTTCAGCCGCTTTGAGGTCAATGGTAGAAAAGGAAATATCTTCGTATAAAGACTAGACAGAATGATTCTCAGAAACTCCTTTGTGATGTGTGCGTTCAACTCACAGAGTTTAACTTTTCTTTTCATAGAGCAGTTAGGAAACACTCTGTTTGTAAAGTCTGCAAGTGGATATTCAGACCTCTTTGAGGCCTTCGTTGGAAACGAGATTTCTTCATATTCTGCTAGACAGAAGAATTCTCAGTAACTTCCTTGTGTTGTGTGTATTCAACTGACAGAGTTAAACTTTCATTTAGAGAGAGCAGATTTGAAACACTGTTTTTGTGGAATTTGCAAGTGGAGATTTCAAGCGCTTTGTGGCCAAAGGTAGAAAAGGAAATATCTTCGTATAAAAACTAGACAGAATCATTCTCAGAAACTGCTCTGCGATGTGTGCGTTCAACTCTCAGAGTTTAACTTTGCTTTTCATTCAGCAGTTTGGAAACACTCTGTTTGTAAAGTCTGCACGTGGATAACTTGACCACTTAGAGGCCTTCGTTGGAAACGGGTTTTTTTCATGTAAGGCTAGACAGAATAATTCTCAGTAACTTCCTTGTGTTGTGTGTATTCAACTCACAGAGTTGAACGATCCTTTACAGAGAGCAGAATTGAAACACTCTTTTTGTGGAATTTGCAAGTGGAGATTTCAGCCGCTTTGAGGTCAATGGTAGAATAGGAAATATCTTCCTATAGAAAATAGACAGAATGATTCTCATAAACTCCTTTGTGATGTGTGCGTTCAACTCACAGGGTTTAACCTTTCTTTTCATAGAGCAGTTAGGAAACACTCTGTTTGTAAAGTCTGCAAGTGGATATTCAGACCTACTTTGAGGCCTTCGATGGAAACGGGATTTTTTCATATTCTGCTAGACAGAAGAATTCCCAGTAACTTCCTTGTGTTGTGTGTGTTCAACTCACAGAGTTGAACTTTCATTTACACAGAGCAGATTGGAAACATTCTTTTTGTGGAATTTGCAAGTGGAGATTTCAAGCGCTTTGAGGTCAAAGGCAGAAAAGGAAATATCTTCGTATAAAAACTAGACAGAATCATTCTCAGAAACTGCTCTGCGATGTGTGCGTTCAACTCTCAGAGTTTAACTTTTCTTTTCATTCAGCATTTTGGAAACACTCTGTTTGTAAAGTCTGCACGTGGATATTTTGACCACTTAGAGGCCTTCGTTGGAAACGGGTTTCTTTCCTGTAAGGCTAGACAGAAGAATTCGCAGTAACTTCCCTTGTGTTGTGTACATTCAACTCACAGAGTTGAACGTTCCCTTAGACAGAGCAGATTTGAAACAGTCTTTTTGTGCAATTGGCAAGTGGAGATTTCAAGCGCTTTAAGTTCAATGGCAGAAAAGGAAATATCTTCGTTTCAAAACTAGACAGAATCATTCCCACAAACTGCGTTGTGATGTGTTGGTTCATCTCACAGAGTTTAACCTTTCTTTTCATAGAGCAGTTAGGAAACACTCTGTTTGTAAATTCTGTAAGTGGATATTCTGACATCTTGTGGCCTTCGTTGGAAACGGGATTTCTTCAAATTCTGCTAGACAGAAGAAGTCTCAGTAACTTCCTTGTGTTGTGTGTATTCAACTCACAGAGTTGAACGATACTTTACACAGAGCAGACTTGAAACACTCTTTTTGTGGAATTTGCAACTGGAGATTTCAGCCGCTTTGAGGTCAATGGTAGAATAGGAAATATCTTCCTATAGAAAC
The DNA here is from genome assembly GCF_000001405.40 of Homo sapiens. Lineage (NCBI taxonomy): Eukaryota > Metazoa > Chordata > Mammalia > Primates > Hominidae > Homo > Homo sapiens. The sequence continues at coordinate 47,395,550 of NC_000005.10, forward strand.
TAGACAGAATGATTCTCAGAAACTCCTTTGTGATGTGTGCGTTCAACTCACAGAGTTTAACTTTTCTTTTCATAGAGCAGTTAGGAAACACTCTGTTTCTAAGGTCTGCAAGTGGATATTCAGACCTCTTTGACGCCTTCGTTGGAAACGGGATTTCTTCATATTCTGCTAGACAGAAGAATTCTCAGTAACTTCCTTGTTTTGTGTGTATTCAACTCACAGAGTTGAACCATCCTTTACACAGAGCAGACTTGAAACACTCTTTTTGTGGAATTTGCAAGTGGAGATTTCAGCCGCTTTGAGCTCAATGGTAGAATAGGAAATATCTTCCTATAGAAACTAGACAGAATGATTCTCATAAACTCCTTTGTGATGTGTGCGTTCAAATCACAGAGTTTAACCTTTCTTTTCATAGAGCAGTTAGTAAATACTCTGTTTATAAAGTCTGCAAGTGGATATTCAGACCCCTTTGAGGCCTTCGTTGGAAACGGGATTTCTTCATATTATGCTAGACAGAAGAATTCCCAGTACCTTCCTTGTGTTGTGTGTGTTCAACTCACAGAGTTGAACTTTCATTTACACAGAGCAGATTTGAAACACTCTTTTTGTGGAATTTGCAGGTGGAGATTTCAAGCGCTTTGAGGCCAAAGGCAGAAAAGGAAATATCTTCGTATAAAAACTAGACAGAATCATTCTCAGAAACTGCTGCGTGATGTGTGCGTTCAACTCTCAGAGTTTAACTTTTCTTTTCATTCAGCGGTTTGGAAACACTCTGTTTGTAAAGTCTGCACGTGGACATTTTGACCACTTAGAGGCCTTCGTTGGAAACGGGTTTTTTTCATGTATGGCTAGACAGAAGAATTCCCAGTAACTTCCTTGTGTTGTGTACATTCAACTCACAGAGTTGAACGTTCCCTTAGACAGAGCAGATTTGAAACACTCTTTTTGTGCAATTGGCAAGTGGTGATTTCAGCCGCTTTGAGGTCAATGGTAGAAAAGGAAATATCTTCGTATAAAAACTAGACAGAATGATTCTCAGAAACTTCATTGTGACGTGTGCGTTCAACTCACAGAGTTTAACCTTTCTTTTCATAGAGCAGTTAGGAAACACTCTGTTTGTAAAGTCTGCAAGTGGATATTCGGACCTCTTTGAGGTCTTCGTTGGAAACGGGATTTCTTCATACTGTGCTAGACAGAAGAATTCTCAGTAACTTCCTTGTGTTGTGTGTATTGAACTCGCAGAGTTGTACGATCCTTTACACAGAGCAGACTTGAAACACTCTTTTTGTGGAATTTGCAAGTGGAGATTTCAGCCGCTTTGAGGTCAATAGTAGAAAAGGAAATATCTTCGTAGAAAAACTAGACAGAATGATTCTCAGAAACTCCTTTGTGATGTGTGTGTTCAACTCACAGAGTTTAACCTTTCTTTTCATGGAGCAGTTAGGAAACACTCTGTTTGTAAAGTCTGCAAGAGGATATTCAGACCTCTTTGAAGCCTTCGTTGGAAACGGGTTTTTTTCATATAAGGCTAGACAGAAGAATTCTCAGTAACTTCCTTGTGTTGTGTGTATTCAACTCACAGAGTTGAACGATCCTTTACAGAGAGCAGACTTGAAACACTCTTTTTGTGGAATTTGCAAGGGGAGATTTCAGCCGCTTTGAGGTCAATAGTAGAAAAGGAAATATCTTCGTATAAAGACTAGACAGAATCATTCTCAGAAAATGCTCTGTGATGTGTGCGTTCAACTCTCAGAGTTTAACTTTTCTTTTCATTCAGCACTTTGGAAACACTCTGTTTGTAAAGTCTGCACGAGGATATTTTGACCACTTAGAGGTCTTTGTTGGAAACGGGTTTTTTTCACGTAAGGCTAGACAGAAGAATTCCCAGTAACTTTCCTTGTGTTGTGTACATTCAACTCACAGAGTTGAACGTTCCCTTAGACAGAGCAGATTTGAAACACTCTTTTTGTGCAATTGGCAAGTGGAGATTTCAAGGGCTTTAAGGTCAATGGCAGAAAAGGAAATATCTTCGTTTCAAAACTAGACAGAATCATTCCCACAAACTGCGTTGTGATGTGTTCGTTCAACTCACAGAGTTTAACCTTTCTGTTCATAGAGCAGTTAGGAAACACTCTGTTTGTAAAGTCTGCAAGTGGATATTCAGACTTCCTTGAGGCCTTCGTTGGAAACGGGATTTCTTCATATTCTGCTAGACAGAAGAATTCTCAGGAACTTCCTTGTGTTGTGTGTATTCAACTCACAGAGTTGAACGATCCTTTACACAGAGCAGACTTGAAACACTCTTTTTGTGGAATTTGCAAGTGGAGATTTCAGCCGCTTTGAGGTCAATGGTAGAAAAGGAAATATCTTCCTATAGAAACTAGACAGAATGATTCTCAGCAAACTTCTTTGTGATGTGTGCGTTCAACTCACAGAGTTTAACCTTTCTTTTCATAGAGCAGTTAGGAAACACTCTGTTTGTAAACTCTGCAAGTGGATATTCAGACCTCTTTGAGGCCTTCGTTGGAAACGGGATTTCTTCATACTATGCTAGACAGAAGAATTCTCAGTAACTCCCTTGTGTTGTGTGTATTCAACTCACAGAGTTGAACGATCCTTTACACAGAGCAGACTTGAAACACTCTTTTTGTGGAATTTGCAAGTGGAGATTTCAGCCGCTTTGAGTTCAATGGTAGAATAGGAAATATCTTCCTATAGAAACTAGACAGAATGATTCTCAGAAACTCCTTTGTGATGTGTGCGTTCAACTCACAGAGGTTAACCTTTCTTTTCATAGAGCAGTTAGGAAACACTCTGTTTGTAAAGTCTGCAAGTGGATATGCAGACCTCCTTGAGGCCTTTGTTGGAACGGGATTTCTTCATATTATGCTATACAGAAGAATTCTCAGAAACTTCCTTGTGTTGTGTGTATTCAACTCACAGAGTTGAACGATCCTTTACACAGAGCATTCTTGAAACACTCTTCTTGTGGAATTTGCAAGTGGAGATTTCAGCCGCTTTGAGGTCAATGGTAGAATAGGAAATATCTTCCTATAGAAACTAGACAGAATCATTCTCAGAAACTGCTCTGTGATGTGTGCGTTCAACTCTCAGAGTTTAACTTTTCTTTTCATTCAGCAGTTTGGAAACACTCTGTTCGTAAAGTCTGCACGTGGATAATTTGACCACTTAGAGGCCTTCGTTGGAAACGGGTTTTTTTCATGTAAGGCTAGACAGAAGAATTCCCAGTAACTTCCTTGTGTTGTGTACATTCAACTCACAGAGTTGAACGTTCCCTTAGACAGAGCAGATTTGAAACACTCTTTTTGTGCAATTGGCAAGTGGAGATTTCAAGAGCTTTAAGGTCAATGGCAGAAAAGGAAATATCTTCGTTTCAAAACTAGACAGAATGATTCTCAGAAACTCCTTTGTGATGTGTGCGTTCAACTCACAGAGTTTAACCTTTCTGTTCATAGAGCAGTTAGGAAACACTCTGTTTGTAAAGTCTGTAAGTGGATATTCTGACATCTTGTGGCCTTCGTTCGAAACGGGATTTCTTCATATTCTGCTAGACAGAAGAATTCTCAGTAACTTCCTTGTGTTGTGTGTGTTCAACTCACAGAGTTGAACGATCCTTTACACAGAGCAGACTTGTCACACTCTTTTTGTGGAATTTGCAAGTGGAGATTTCAGCCGCTTTGAAGTCAAAGGTAGAAAAGGAAATATCTTCCTATAAAAACTAGACAGAATGATTCTCAGAAACTCCTTTGTGATGTCTGCGTTCAACTCACAGAGTTTAACCTTTCTTTTCATAGAGAAGTTAGGAAACACTCTGTTTGTAAAGTCTGCAAGTGGATATTCAGACCTCTTTGAGGCCTTCGTTGGAAACGGGTTTTTTTCATATAAGGCTAGACAGAAGAATTCTCAGAAACTTCCTTGTGTTGTGTGTATTCAACTCACAGAGTTGAACGATCATTTACACAGAGCAGACTTGAAACACACTTTTTTTGGTATTTTCAATGGGAGATTTCAGCCGCTTTTAGGTCAATGGTAGAAAAGGAAATATCTTCGTATAAAGACTAGACAGAATGATTCTCAGAAACTCCTTTGTGATGTGTGCGTTCAACTCACAGAGTTTAACCTTTCTTTTCATAGAGCAGTTAGGAAACGCTCTGTTTGTAAAGTCTGCAAGGGGATATTCAGACCTCTCTGAGGCCTTCGTTGGAAATGGGATTTCTTCATATTATGCTAGACAGAAGAATTCTCAGTAACTTCCTTGTGTTGTGTGTATTCAACTGACAGAGTTGAACTTTCATTTAGAGAGAGCAGATTTGAAACACTGTTTTTGTGGAATTTGCAAGTGGAGATTTCAAGCGCTTTGGGGCCAAAGCCAGAAAAGGAAATATCTTCGTATAAAAACTAGACAGAATCATTCTCAGAAACTGCTCTGCGATGTGTGCGTTCAACTCTCAGAGTTTAACTATTCTTTTCATTCAGCAGTTTGGAAACAATCTGTTTGTAAAGTCTGCACGTGGATAACTTGACCACTTAGAGGCCTTCGTTGGAAACGGGTTTTTTTCATGTAAGGCTAGACAGAAGAATTCTCAGAAACTTCCTTGTGTTGTGTGTTTTCAACTCACAGAGTTCAACGATCCTTTACACAGAGTAGACTTGAAACACTGTTTTTGTGGAATTGGCAAGTGGAGATTTCAGCCGCTTTGAGGTCAATGGTAGAATAGGAAATATCTTCGTATAAAAACTAGACAGAGAATGATTCTCAGAAACTCCTTTGTGATGTGTGTGTTCATCTCACAGAGTTTAACCTTTCTTTTCATAGAGCAGTTAGTAAACACTCTGTTTATAAAGTCTGCAAGTGGATATTCAGACCCCTTTGAGGCCTTCGTTGGAAACGGGATTTCTTCATATTATGCTAGACAGAAGAATTCCCAGTAACTTCCTTGTGTTGTGTGTGTTCAACTCACAGAGTTGAACTTTCATTTACACAGAGCAGATTTGAAACACTCTTTTTGTGGAATTTGCAAGTGGAGATTTCAAGCGCTTTGAGGCCAAGGGCAGAAAAGGAAATATCTTCGTATAAAAACTAGACAGAATCATTCTCAGAAACTGCTCTGCGATGTGTGCGTTCAACTCTCAGAGTTTAACTTTTCTTTTCATTCAGCAGTTTGGAAACACTCTGTTTGTAAAGTCTGCACGTGCATAATTTGACCACTTAGAGGCCTTCGTTGGAAACGGGTTTTTTTCATGTAAGGCTAGACAGAAGAATTCTCAGTAACATCCTTGTGTTGTGTGTATTCAACTCACAGAGTTGAACGATCCTTTACACAGAGCAGACTTGAAACACTCTTTTTGTGGAATTTGCAAGTAGAGATTTCAGCCGCTTTGAGGTCAATGGTAGAATAGGAAATATCTTCCTATAGAAACTAGACAGAGTGATTCTCAGAAACTCCTTTGGGATGTCTGCGTTCAACTCACAGAGTTTAACCTTTCTTTTCATAGAGCAGTTAGGAAACACTCTGTTTGAAAAGTCTGCAAGTGGATATTCAGACCTCCTTGAGGCCTTCGTTGGAAACGGGATTTCTTCATATTCTGCTATACAGAAGAATTCTCAGCAACTTCCTTGTGTTGTGTGTATTCAACTCACAGAGTTGAACGATCGTTTACACAGAGCAGACTTGAGACACTCTTTTTGTGGAATTTGCAAGTGGAGATTTCAGCCTCTTTGAGGTCAATGGTAGAAAAGGAAATATCTTCATGTAAAAACTAGACAGAATCATTCTCAGAAACTGCTGCGTGATGTGTGCGTTCAACTCTCAGAGTTTAACTTTTCTTTTCATTCAGCGGTTTGGAAACACTCTGTTTGTAAAGTCTGCACGTGGATATTTTGACCACTTAGAGGCCTTCGTTGGAAACGGATTTTTTTCATGTAAGGCTAGACAGAAGAATTCCCAGTAACTTCCTTGTGTTGTGTACATTCAACTCACAGAGTTGAACGTTCCCTTAGACAGAGCAGATTTGAAACACTCTTTTTGTGCAATTGGCAAACGGAGATTTCAAGCGCTTTAAGTTCAATGGCAGAAAAGGAAATATCTTCGTTTCAAAACTAGACAGAATCATTCCCACAAACTGCGTTGTGATGTGTTCGTTCAACTCACAGAGTTTAACCTTTCTTTTCATATAGCAGTTAGGAAACACTCTGTTTGTAAAGTCTGCAAGTGGATATTCAGACCTCTTTGAGGCCCTCGTTGGAAACGGGATTTCTTCATATTATGCTAGACAGAAGAATTCTCAGTAACTTCCTTGTGTTGTGTGTATTCAACTCACGGAGTTGAACGATCCTTTACACAGAGCAGACTTGTAACACTCTTTTTGTGGAATTTGCAAGTGGAGATTTCAGCCGCTTTGACGTCAATGGTAGAAAAGGAAATACCTTCGAATAAAAACTAGACAGAATGATTCTCAGAAACTCCTTTGTGATGTGCGCGTTCAACTCACAGAGTTTAACCTTTCTTTTCATAGAGCAGTTAGGAAACACTCTGTTTGTAAAGTCTGCAAGTGGATATTCAGACATCCTTGAGGCTTTCGTTGGAAACGGGATTTCTTCATATTCTGCTAGAAAGAAGAATTCTCAGTAACTTCCTTGTGTTGTGTGTATTCAACTCACAGAGTTGAACGATCCTTTACACAGAGCAGACTTGAAACACTCTTTTTGTGGAATTTGCAAGTGGAGATTTCAAGCGCTTTGAAGCCAAAGGCAGAAAAGGAAATATCTTCGTATAAAAACTAGACAGAATGATTCTCAGAAACTCCTTTGTGATGTGTGCGTTCAAGTCACAGAGTTTAACCTTTCTTTTCATAGAGCAGTTAGGAAACACTCTGTTTGTAAAGTCTGCAAGTGGATATTCAGACCTCTTTGAGGCCTTCGTTGGAAACGGGATTTCTTCATATTCTGCTAGACAAAAGAATTTCTCAGTAACTTCCCTTGTGTTGTGTGTATTCAACTGACAGAGTTGAACTTTCATTTAGAGAGAGCAGATTTGAAACACTGTTTTTGTGGAATTTGCAAATGGAGATTTCAAGCGCTTTGGGGCCAAAGGCAGAAAAGGAAATATCTTCGTATAAAAACTAGACAGAATCATTCTCAGAAACTGCTGCGTGATGTGTGCGTTCAACTCTCAGAGTTTAACTTTTCTTTTCATTCAGCGGTTTGGAAACACTCTCTTTGTAAAGTCTGCACGTGGATATTTTGACCACTTAGAGGCCTTCGTTGGAAACGGGTTTTCTTCATGTAAGGCTAGACAGAAGAATTCCCAGTAACTTCCTTGTGTTTTGTACATTCAACCCACAGAGTTGAACGTTTCCTTAGACAGAGCAGATTTGAAACACTCTTTTTGTGCAATTGGCAATTGGTGATTTCAGCCGCTTTCAGGTCAAAGGTAGAAAAGGAAATATCTTCCTATAAAAACTAGACAGAATCATTCCCACAAACTGCGTTGTGATGTGTTCGTTCAAATCACAGAGTTTAACCTTTCTGTTCATAGAGCAGTTAGGAAACACTCTGTTTGTAAAGTCTGCAAGTAGATATTGAGACCTCCTAGAGGCCTTCGTTGGAAACGGGATTTCTTCATATTCTGCTAGACAGAAGAATTCTCAGTAACTCCTTTGTGTTGTGTATATTCAACTCACAGAGTTGAACGATCCTTTACACAGAGCAGACTTGAAACACTCTTTTTGTGGAATTTGCAAGTGGAGATTTCAGCCTCTTTGAGGTCAATGGTAGAATAGGAAATATCTTCCTATAGAAACTAGACAGAATGATTCTCAGAAACTCCTTTGTGATGTGTGCGTTCAACTCACAGAGTTTAACCTTTCTTTTCATAGAGCAGTTAGGAAACACTCTGTTTGTAAAGTCTGCAAGTGGATATTCAGACCTCCTTGAGGCCTTCTTTGGAGACGGGATTTCTTCATATTATGCTAGACAGAAGAATTCCCAGTAACTTCCTTGTGTTGTGTGTGTTCAACTCACAGAGTTGAACTTTGATTTACACAGAGCAGATTTGAAACACTCTTTTTGTGGAATTTGCAAGTGGAGATTTCAAGCGCTTTGAGGCCAAAGGCAGAAAAGGAAATATCTTCGTATAAAAACTAGACAGCATCATTCTCAGAAACTGCTCTGCGATGTGTGCGTTCAACTCTCAGAGTTTAACTTTTCTTTTCATTCAGCAGTTTGGAAACCCTCTGTTTGTAAAGTCTGCACGTGGATATTTTGACCATTTAGAGGCTTTCGTTGGAAACGGGTTTTTTTCTTGTAAGGCTAGACAGAAGAATTCCCAGTAACTTCCCTTGTGTTGTGTGCATTCAACTCACAGAGTTGAACGTTCCCTTAGACAGAGCAGATTTGAAACACTCTATTTGTGCAATTTGCAAGTGTAGATTTCAAGCGCTTTAAGGTCAATGGCAGAAAAGGAAATATCTTCGTTTGAAAACTAGACAGAATGATTCCCACAAACTGCGTTGTGATGTGTTCGTTCAACTCACAGTAGTTTAACCTTTCTGTTCATAGAGCAGTTAGGAAACACTCTGTTTGTAAAGTCTGTAAGTGGATATTCTGACATCTTGTGGCCTTCGTTGGGAACGGGATTTCTTCATATTCTGCTAGACAGAAGAATTCTCAGTAACTTCCTTGTGTTGTGTGTATTCAACTCACACAGTTGAACGATCCTTTACACATAGCAGACTTGTAACACTCTTTTTGTGGAATTTGCAAGTGGAGATTCCTGCCGCTTTGAAGTCAAATGTAGAAAAGGAAATATCTTCCTATAAAAACTAGACAGAATGATTCTCAGAAACTCCTTTGTGATGTGTGCGTTCAACTCACAGAGTTTAACCTTACTTTTCATAGAGCAGTTAGGAAACACTCTGTTTGTAAAGTCTGCAAGTGGATATACAGACATCTTTGAGGCCTTCGTTGGAAACGGGATTTCTTCATGTTCTGCTAGACAGAAGAATTCTCAGTAACTTCCGCGTGTTGTGTGTATTGAACTCACAGAGTTGAACGATCCTTTACACAGAGCAGAGTTGAAACACTCTTTTTGTGGAATTTGCAAGTGGAGATTTCAGCCGCTTTGAGGTCAATGGTAGAAAAGGAAATATCTTCCTATAAAAACTAGACAGAATGATTCTCAGAAACTCCTTTGTGATGTGTGCGTTCAACTCACAGAGTTCAAACTTTCTTTTCATAGAGCAGTTGGGAAACACTCTGTTTGTAAAGTCTGCAAGTGGATATTCAGACTTCTTTGAGGACTTCGTTGGAAGCGGGATTTCTTCGTATTCTGCTAGACAGAAAAATTCCCAGTAACTTCCTTGTGTTGTGAGTGTTCAACTCACAGAGTTGAACTTTCATTTACACAGAGCAGATTTGAAACACTCTTTTTGTGGAATTTGCAAGTGGAGATTTCAAGCGCTTTGAGGCCAAAGGCAGAAAAGGAAATATCTTCTTATAAAAACTAGACAGAATCATTCTCAGAAACTGTGGCGTGATGTGTGCGTTCAACTCTCAGAGTTTAACTTTTCTTTTCATTCAGCGGTTTGGAAACACTCTGTTTGTAAAGTCTGCACGTGGATATTTTGACCACTTAGAGGCCTTCGTTGGAAACGGGGTTTTTTCATATTCTGCTAGACAGAAGAATTCCCAGTAACTTCCTTGTGTTGTGTACATTCAACTCACAGAGTTGAACGTTCCCTTAGACAGAGCAGATTTGAAACACTCTTTTTGTGCAATTGGCAAATGGAGATTTCAAGCGCTTTAAGGTCAATGGCAGGAAAGGAAATATCTTCGTTTCAAAACTAGACAGAATCATTCCCACAAACTGCGTTGTTATGTGTTCGTTCAACTCACAGTAGTTTAACCTTTCTTTTCATAGAGCAGTTAGGAAACAGTCTGTTTGTAAATTCTGTAAGTGGATATTCTGACATCTTGTGGCCTTCGTTGGAAACGGGATTTCTTCATATTCTGCTAGACAGAAGAATTCTCAGTAAATTCCTGGTGTTGTGTGTATTCAACTCACAGAGTTGAACGATCCTTTACACAGAGCAGACTTGAAACACTCTTTTTGTGGAATTTGCAAGTGGAGATTTCAGCCGCTTTGAGGTCAATTGTAGAAAAGGAAATATCTTCGTATAGAAACTAGACAGAATGATTCTCAGAAACTTCTTTGTGATGTGTGCGTTCAACTCACAGAGTTTAACCTTTCTTTTCATACAGCAGTTAGGAAACACTCTGTTTGTAAACTCTGCAAGTGGATATTCAGACCTCTTTGAGGCCTTCGTTGGAAACGGGATTTCTTCATACTATGCTAGACAGAAGAATTCTCAGTAACTTCCTTGTGTTGTGTGTATTCAACTCACAGAGTTGAACGATGATTTACACAGAGCAGACTTGAAACACTCTTTTTGTGGAATTTGCAACTGGAGATTTCAGCCGCTGTGTGGTCAATGGTAGAATAGGAAATATCTTCCTATAGAAACTAGACAGAATGATTCTCAGAAACTGCTTTGTGCTCTGTGCGTTCAACTCACAGAGTTTAACCTTTCTTTTCATAGAGCAGTTAGGAAACACTCTGTTTGTAAAGTCTGCAAGTGGATATTCTGACCTCTTTGGGGCCTTCGTTGGAAAAGGGATTTCTTCATATTATGCTAGACAGAAGAATTCCCAGTAACTTCCTTGTGTTGTGTGTGTTCAACTCACAGAGTTGAACTTTCATTTACACAGAGCAGATTTGAAACACTCTTTTTTTGGAATTTGCAAGTGGAGATTTCAAGCGCTGTGAGGCCAAAGGCAGAAAAGGAAATATCTTCGTATAAAAACTAGACAGAATCATTCTCAGAAACTACTCTGCGATGTGTGCGTTCAACTCTCAGAGTTTAACTTTTCTTTTCATTCAGCAGTTTGGAAACACTCTGTTTGTAAAGTCTGCACGTGGATATTTTGACCACTTAGAGGCCTTCGTTGGAAACGGGTTTTTTTCCTGTAAGGCTAGACAGAAGAATTCCCAGTAACTTCCTTGTGTTGTGTACATTCAACTCACAGAGTTGAACGTTCCCTTAGACAGAGCAGATTTGAAACACTCTTTTTGTGCAATTGGCAAATGGAGATTTCAAGCGCTTTAAGGTCAATGGCAGGAAAGGAAATATCTTCGTTTCAAAACTAGACAGAATCATTCCCACAAACTGCGTTGTGATGTGTTCGTTCAACTCACAGAGTTTAACCTTTCTGTTCATAGAGCAGTTAGGAAACACTCTGTTTGCAAAGTCTGCAAGTGGATATTCAGACCTCCTTGAGGCCTTCGTTGGAAACGGGATTTCTTCATATTCTGCTAGACAGAAGAATTCTCAGAATCTTCCTTGTGTTGTGTGTATTCAACTCACAGAGTTGAACGATGGTTTACACAGAGCAGATTTGAAACACTCTATTTGTGGAATTTGCAAGTGGAGATTTCAGCCGCTTTGAGGTCCATGGTAGAAAAGGTAATATCTTCGTATAAAAACTAGACAGAATGATTCTCAGAAACTCCCTTGTGATGTGTGCGTTCAACTCACAGAGTTTAACCTTTCTTTTCATAGAGCAGTTAGGAAACACTCTGTTTGTAAAGTCTGCAAGTGGATATTCAGACCTCCTTGAGGCCTTCGTTGGAAACGGGATTTCTTCATATGATGCTAGACAGAAGAATTCTCAGTAACTTCCTTGTGTTGTGTGTATTCAACTCACAGAGTTGAACGATCCTTTACACAGAGCAGACTTGAAACACTCTATTTGTGGAATTTGCAAGTGGAGATTTCAGCCGCTTTGAGGTCAATGGTAGTATAGGAAATATCTTCCTATAGAAACTAGACAGAATGATTCTCAGAAACTCCTTTGTGATGTGTGCAGTTCAACTCACAGAGTTTAACCTTTCTTTTCATAGAGCAGTTAGGAAACACTCTGTTTGTAAAGTCTGCAAGTGGATATTCAGACCTCCTTGAGGCCTTCGTTGGAAACGGGATTTCTTCCTATTATGCTAGACAGAAGAATTCCCAGTAACTTCCTTGTGTTATGTGTGTTCAACTCACAGAGTTGAACTTTCATTTACACAGAGCAGATTTGAAACACTCTTTTTGTGGAATTTGCAAGTGGAGATTTCAAGCGCTTTGAGGCCAAAGGCAGAAAAGGAAATATCTTCGTATAAAAACTAGACAGAATCATTCTCAGAAACTGCTCTGCGATGTGTGCGTTCAACTCTCAGAGTTTAACTTTTCTTTTCATTCAGAAGTTTGGAAACACTCTGTTTGTAAAGACTGCACGTGGATAACTTGACCACTTAGAGGCCTTCGTTGGAAACGGGTTTTTTTCATATAAGGCTAGACAGAAGTATTCCCAGTAACTTCCTTGTGTTGTGTGCATTCAACTCACAGAGATGAACGTTCCCTTAGACAGAGCAGATTTGAAACACTCTATTTGTGCAATTTGCAAGTGTAGATTTCAAGCGCTTTAAGGTCAATGGCAGAAAAGGAAATATCTTCGTTTCAAAACTAGACAGAATCATTCCCACAAACTGCGTTGTGATGTGTTCGTTCAACTCACAGAGTTTAACCTTTCCGTTCATAGAGCAGTTAGGAAACACTCTGTTTGTAAAGTCTGTAAGTGGATATTCTGACATCTTCTGGCCTTCGTTGGAAACGGGATTTCTTCATATTCTGCTAGACAGAAGAATTCTCAGAATCTTCCTTGTGTTGTGTGTATTCAACTCACAGAGTTGAACGATGGTTTACACACAGCAGATTTGAAACACTCTTTTTGTGGAATTTGCAAGTGGAGATTTCAGCCTCTTTGAGGTCAATGGTAGAAAAGGAAATATCTTCGTATAAAAACTAGACAGAATGATTCTCAGAAACTTCTTTGTGATGTGTGCGTTCAACTCACAGAGTTTAACCTTTCTTTTCATAGAGCAGTTAGGAAACACTCTGTTTGTAAAGTCTGCAAGTGGATATTCAGACCTCTTTGAGGCCTTCGTTGGAAACGGGATTTCTTCATGCTATGCTAGACAGAAGAATTCTCAGTAACTTCCTTGTGTTGTGTGTATTCAACTCACAGAGTTGAACGATCCTTTACACGGAGCATACTTGAAACACTCTTGTTGTGGAATTTGCAAGTGGAGATTTCAGCCTCTTTGAGGTCAATGGTAGAATAGGAAATATCTTCCTATAGAAACTAGACAGAATGATTCTCAGAAACTCCTTTGTGATGTGTGCGTTCAACTCACAGAGTTTAACTTTTCTTTTCATAGAGCAGTTAGGAAACACTCTGTTTGTAAGGTCTGCAAGTGGATATTCAGACCTCTTTGAGGCCTTCGTTGGAAACGGGATTTCTTCATATTATGCTAGACAGAAGAATTCTCAGTAACTTCCTTGTGTTGTGTGTATTCAACTGACAGAGTTGAACTTTCATTTAGAGAGAGCAGATTTGAAACACTGTTTTTGTGGAATTTGCAAGTGGAGATTTCAAGCGCTTTGGGGCCAAAGGCTGAAAAGGGAATATCTTCGTATAAAAACTAGACAGAATCATTCTCAGAAACTGCTGCGTGATGTGTGCGTTCAACTCTCAGAGTTTAACTTTTCTTTTCATTCAGCGGTTTGGAAACACTCTGTTTGTAAAGTCTGCACGTGGATATTTTGACCACTTAGAGGCCTTCGTTGGAAACGGGTTTTTTTCATGTAAGGCTAGAGAGAAGAATTCCCAGTAACTTCCCTTGTGTTGTGTACATTCAACTCACAGAGTTGAACGTTTCCTTAGACACAGCAGATTTGAAACACTCTTTTTGTGCAATTGGCAAGTGGTGATTTCAGCCGCTTTGAGGTCAATGGTATAAAAGGAAATATCTTCATATAAAAACTAGACAGAATCATTCCCACAAACTGCGTTGTGATGTGTTTGTTCAACTCACAGAGTTTAACCTTTCTTTTCATAGAGCAGTTAGGAAACAGTCTGTTTGTCAATTCTGTAAGTGGATATTCTGACATCTTGTGGCCTTCGTTGGAAACGGGATTTCTTCATATTCTGCTAGACAGAAGAATTCTCAGTAACTTCCTTGTGTTGTGTGTATTCAACTCACAGAATTGAACGATCCTTTACACAGAGCAGACTTGAAAAACTCTTTTTGTGGAATTTGCAAGTGGAGATTTCAGCCGCTTTGAGGTCAATGGTAGAATAGGAAATATCTTCCTATAGAAACTAGACAGAATCATTCCCACAAACTGCGTTGTGATGTGTTCGTTCAACTCACAGAGTTTAACCTTTCTGTTCATAGAGCAGTTAGGAAACACTCTCTTTGTAAAGTCCGTAAGTGGATATTCTGACATCTTCTGGCCTTCGTTGGAAACGGGATTTCTTCATATTCCGCTAGACAGAAGAATTCTCAGTAACTTCCTTGTGTTGTGTGTATTCAACTCACAGAGTTGAACGATCCTTTACACAGAGCATAGTTGAAACACTCTTTTTGTGGAATTTGCAAGTGGAGATTTCAGCCGCTTTGAGGTCAATGGTAGAAAAGGAAATATCTTCGTATAAAGACTAGACAGAATGATTCTCAGAAACCCCTTTGTGATGTGTACGTTCAACTCACAGAGTTTAACCTTTCTTTTCATAGAGCAGTTAGGAAACACTCTGTTTGTAAAGTCTGCAAGTGGATATTCAGACCTCTTTGAGGCCTTCGTTGGAAACGGGATTTCTTCATATTCTGCTAGACAGAGAATTCCCAGTAACTTCCTTGTGTTGTGTGTGTTCAACTCACAGAGTTGAACTTTCATTTACACAGAGCAGATTTGAAACACTCTTTTTGTGGAATTTGCAGGTGGAGATTTCAAGCGCTTTGGGGCCAAAGGCAGAAAAGGAAATATCTTCGTATAAAAACTAGACAGAATCATTCTCAGAAACTACTCTGTGATGTGTGCGTTCAACTCTCAGAGTTTAACTTTTCTTTTCATTCAGCAGTTTGGAAACACTCTGTTTGTAAAGTCTGCACGTGGATATTTTGACCACTTAGAGGCCTTCGTTGGAAACGGGTTTTTTTCATTTAAGGCTAGACAGAAGAATTCCCAGTAACTTCCTTGTGTTGTGTATATTCAACTCACAGAGTTGAACGATCCCTTAGACAGAGCAGATTTGAAACACTCTTTTTGTGCAATTGGCAAGTGGAGACTTCAAGCGCTTTAAGGTCAATGGCAGAAAAGGAAATATCTTCGTTTCAAAACTAGACAGAATCATTCCCAAAAACTGCGTTGTGATGTGTTCGTTCATCTCAGAGAGTTTAACCTTTCTTTTCATAGAGCAGTTAGGAAACAGTCTGTTTGTAAATTCTGTAAGTGGATATTCTGACATCTTGTGGCCTTCGTTGGAAACGGGATTTCTTCATATTCTGCTAGACAGAAAGGAATTCTCAGTAACTTCCTTGTGTTGTGTTTATTCAACTCACAGAGTTGAATGATCCTTTACACAGAGCAGACTTGAAACACTCTTTTTGTGGAATTTGCAAGTGGAGATTTCAGCCGCTTTGAGGTCAATGGTAGAAAAGTAAATATCTTCGTATAAAGACTAGACAGAATGATTCTCAGAAACTCCTTTGTGATGTGTGCGTTCAACTCACAGAGTTTAACCTTTCTTTTCATAGAGCAGTTAGGAAACACTCTGTTTGTAAAGTCTGCAAGTGGATATTCAGACCTCTTTGAGGCTTTCCTTGGAAACGGGAGTTCTTCATATTCTGCTAGACAGAAGAATTCTCAGTAACTTCCTTGTGTTGTGTGTATTCAACTCACAGAGTTGAACGATCCTTTACACAGAGCAGACTTGAAACACTGTTTTTGTGGAATTTGCAAGTGGAGATTTCGGCCGCGTTGAGGTCAAAGGTAGAAAAGGGAATATCTTCGTAAAGAAACTAGACAGAATGATTCTCAGAAACTCCTTTGAGATGTGTGTGTTCAACTCACAGAGTTTAACCTTTCTTTTCATAGAGCAGTTAGGAATCACTCTGTTTGTAAAGTCTGCAGGTGGATATTCAGACCTCTTTGAGGCCTTCGTTGGAAACGGGTTTTTTTCATATAAGGCTAGACAGAAGAATTCTCAGTAACTTCCTTGTGTTGTGTGTATTCAACTGACAGAGTTGAACTTTCATTTAGAGAGAGCAGATTTGAAACACTGTTTTTGTGGAATTTGCAAGTGGAGATTTCAAGCGCTTTGGGGCCAAAGGCAGAAAAGGAAATATCTTCGTATAAAAACGAGACAGAATCATTCTCAGAAACTGCTCTGCGATGTGTGCGTTCAACTCTCAGTAGTTTAACTTTTCTTTTCATTCAGCAGTTTGGAAACACTCTGTTTGCAAAGTCTGCACGTGGATATTTTGACCACTTAGAGGCCTTCGTTGGAAACGGGTTTTTTTCATGTAAGGCTAGACAGAAGAATTCTCAGTAACTTCCTTGTGTTGTGTGTATTCAACTCACAGAGTTGAACGATCCTTTACACAGAGCCTACTTGAAACACTGTTTTTGTGGAATTTGCAAGTGGAGATTTCAGCCGCTTTGAGGTCAATGGTAGAAAAGGAAATATCTTCCTATAGAAACTAGACAGAATGATTCTCAGAAACTCCTTTGTGATGTGTGCGTTCAACTCACGGAGTTTAACCTTTCTTTTCATAGAGCAGTTAGGAAACACTCTGTTTGTAAAGTCTGCAAGTGGATATTCAGACCTCTTTGAGGCCTTCGTTGGAAACGGGATTTCTTCATATTCTGATAGACAGAAGAATTCCCAGTAACTTCCTTGTGTTGTGTGTGTTCAACTCACAGAGTTGAACTTTGATTTACACAGAGTAGATTTGAAACACTCTTTTTGTGGAATTTGCAAGTGGAGATTTCAAGCGCTTTGAGGCCAAAGGCAGAAAAGGAAATATCTTCGTATAAAAACTAGACAGAATCATTCTCAGAAACTGCTGCGTGATGTGTGCGTTCAACTCTCACAGTTTAACTTTTCTTTTCATTCAGCGGTTTGGAAACACTCTGTTTGTAAAGTCTGCACGTGGATATTTTGACCACTTAGAGGCCTTCGTTAGAAACTGGTTTTTTTCATGTAAGGCTAGACAGAAGAATTCCCAGTAACTTCCTTGTGTTGTGTGCATTCAACTCACAGAGATGAACGTTCGCTTGGACAGAGCAGATTTGAAACACTCTATTTGTGCAATTTGCAAGTGTAGATTTCAAGGGCTTTAAGGTCAATGGCAGAAAAGGAAATATCTTCGTTCCAAAACTAGACAGAATCATTCCCACTAACTGCGTTGTGATGTGTTCGTTCATCTCACAGAGTTTAACCTTTCTTTTCGTAGAGCAGTTAGGAAACAGTCTGTTTGTAAATTCTGTAAGTGGATATTCTGACATCTTGTGGCCTTCGTTGGAAACGGGATTTCTTCATATTCTGCTAGACAGAAGAATTCTCAGTAACTTCATTGTGTTGTGTGTATTCAACTCACAGACTTCAACGATCCTTTACACAGAGCAGACTTGAAACACTCTTTTTCTGGAATTTGCAAGTGGAGATTTCAGCCGCTTTGAGGTCAATGGTAGAATAGGAAATATCTTCCTATAGAAACTAGACAGAATGATTCTCAGAAACTCCTTTGTGATGTGTGCGTTCAACTCACAGAGTTCAACCTTTCTTTTCATAGAGCAGTTGGAAAACACTCTGTTTGTAAAGTCTGCAAGTGGATATTCAAACTTCTTTGAGGCCTTCGTTGGAAGCGGGATATCTTCATATTCTGCTAGACAGAAGAATTCTCAGTAACTTCCTTGTGTTTTGTGTATTCAACTCACAGAGTTCAACGATCCTTTACAGAGAGCAGACTTGAAACACTCTTTTTGTGGAATTTGCAAGTGGAGCTTTCAGCCGCTTTGAGGTCAATGGTAGAAAAGGAAACATCTTCGTATAAAAACTAGACAGAATGATTCTCAGAAACTCCTTTGTGATGTGTGCGTGCAACTCACAGAGTTTAACCTTTCTTTTCATAGAGCAGTTAGGAAACACTGTGTTTGTAAAGTCTGCAAGTGGATATTCAGACCTCCTTGAGGCCTTCGTTGGAAACGGGATTTCTTCATATTATGCTAGACAGAAGAATTCTCAGTAACTTCCTTGTGTTGTGTGTATTCAACTGACAGAGTTGAACATTCATTTAGAGAGAGCAGATTTGAAACACTGTTTTTGTGGAATTTGCAAGTTGAGATTTCAAGAGGTTTGGGGCCAAAGGCAGAAAAGGAAATATCTTCGTATAAAAACTAGACAGAATCATTCTCAGAAACTGCTGCGTGATGTGTGCGTTCAACTCTCAGAGTTTAACTTTTCTTTTCATTCAGCGGTTTGGAAACACTCTGTTTGTAAAGTCTGTAAGTGGATATTTTGACCCCTTAGAGGCCTTCGTTGGAAATGGGTTTTTTTCATGTAAGGCTAGACAGAAGAATTCCCAGTAACTTCCTTGTGTTGTGTGCATTCAACTCACAGACTTGAACGTTCCCTTAGACAGAGCAGATTTGAAACACTCTATTTGTGCAATTTGCAAGTGTAGATTTCAAGCGCTTTCAGGTCAATGGCAGAAAAGGAAATATCTTCCTTTCAAAACTAGACAGAATCATTCCCACAAACTGCGTTGTGATGTGTTCGTTCAACTCACAGAGTTTAACCTTTCTTTTCATAGAGCAGTTAGGAAACACTCTGGTTGTAAAGTCTGCAAGTGGATATTCAGACCTCTTTGAGGCCTTCGTTGGAAACGGGATTTCTTCATATTCTGCTAGACAGAATAATTCTCAGTAACTTCCCTTGTGTTGTGTGTATTCAACTCACAGAGTTCAACGATCCTTTACAGAGAGCAGACTTGAAACACTCTTTTTGTGGAATTCGCAAGTGGAGATTTCAGCCGCTTTGAGGTCAATGGTAGAAAAGGATATATCTTCGTATAAAGACTAGACAGAATGATTCTCAGAAACTCCTTTGTGATGTGTGCGTTCAACTCACAGAGTTTAACCTTTCTTTTCATAGAGCAGTTAGGAAACACTCTGTTTGTAAAGTCTGCAAGTGGATATTCAGAGCTCCTTGAGGCCTTCTTTGGAAACGGGATTTCTTCATATTATGCTAGACAGAAGAATTCTCAGTAACTTCCTTGTGTTTTGTGTATTCAACTCACAGAGTTCAACGATCCTTTACACAGAGCAGACTTGAAACACTCTTTTTGTGGAATTTGCAAGTGGAGATTTCAGCCGCTTTGAGGTCAATGGTAGAAAAGGAAATATCTTCGTATAAAAACTAGACAGACAATGATTCTCAGAAACTCCTTTGTGATGTGTGTGTTCAACTCACAGAGTTTAACCTTTCTTTTCATAGAGCAGTTAGGAAACACTCTGTTTGTAAAGTCTGCAAGAGGATATTCAGACCTCTTTGAGGCCTTCGTTGGAAACGGGTTTTTTTCATATAAGGCTAGACAGAAGAATTCCCAGTAACTTCCTTGTGTTGTGTGTGTTCAACTCAGAGAGTTGAACTCTCATTTACACAGAGCAGATTTGAAACACTCTTTTTGTGGAATTTGCAAGTGGAGATTTCAAGCGCTTTGAGGCGAAAGGCAGAAAAGGAAATATCTTCGTATAAAAACTAGACAGAATTATTCTCAGAAACTGCTCTGCGATGTGTGCGTTCAACTCTCAGAGTTTAACTTTTCTTTTCATTCAGCAGTTTGGAAACACTCTGTTTGTAAAGTCTGCACGTGGATAACTTGACCACTTAGAGGCCTTCGTTGGAAACGGGTTTTTTTCATGTAAGGCTAGACAGAAGAATTCTAAGTAACTTCCTCGTGTTGTGTGTATTCAACTCACAGAGTTGAGCGACGCTTTACACAGAGCAGACTTGAAACACTCTTTTTGTGGAATTTGCAATTGGAGATTTCAGCCGCTTTGAGGTCAATGGTTGAAAAGGAAATATCTTCGTTTCAAAACTAGACAGAATGATTCTCAGAAACTCCTTTGTGATGTGTGCGTTCAACTCACAGAGGTTAACCTTTCTTTTCATAGAGCAGTTAGGAAACACTCTGTTTGTAATGTCTGCAAGTGGAGATTCAGACCTGCTTGAGGCCTTCGTTGGAAACGGGATTTCTTCATATTATGCTAGACAGAAGAATTCTCAGTAAGTTCCTTGTAGTGTGTGTATTCAACTCACAGAGTTAAACGATCCTTTACACAGAGCATACTTGAAACACTCTTTTTGTGGAATTTGCAAGTGGAGATTTCAGCCGCTTTGAGGTCAATGGTAGAATAGGAAGTATCTCCCTATAGAAATTAGACAGAATGATTCTCAGAAACTCCTTTGTGATGTGTGCGTTCAACTCACACAGTTTAACCTTTCTTTTCATAGAGCAGTTAGGAAACACTCTGTAAAGTCTGCAAGTGGATATTCAGACCTCCTTGAGGCCTTCGTTGGAAACGGGATTTCTTCATATTATGCTAGACAGAAGAGTTCTCAGTAACTTCCTTGTGTTGTGTGTATTCAACTCACAGAGTTGAACGATCCTTTACACAGAGCAGACTTGAAACACTCTTTTTGTGGAATTTGCAAGTGGAGATTTCAGCCGCGTTGAGGTCAATGGTAGAAAAGGAAATATCTTCGTATAAAAACTAGACAGAATGATTCTCAGAAACTCCTTTGTGATGTGTGTGTTCAACTCACAGAGTTTAACCTTTCTTTTCATAGAGCAGTTAGGAAACACTCTGCTTGTAAAGTCTCCAAGTGGATATTCAGCCCTCTTTGAGGCCATCGTTGGAAACGGGTTTTTTTCATATAAGGCTAGACAGAAGAATTCCCAGTAACTTCCTTGTGTTGTGTGTGTTCAACTCACAGAGTTGAACTTTCATTTACACAGAGCAGGTTTGAAACACTCTTTTTGTGGAATTTGCAAATGGAGATTTCAAGCGCTTTGAGGCCAAAGGCAGAAAAGGAAATATCTTCGTATAAAAACTAGACAGAATCATTCTCAGAAACTGCTGCGTGATGTGTGCGTTCAACTCTCAGAGTTTAACTTTTCTTTTCATTCAGCGGTTTGGAAACACTCTGTTTGTAAAGTCTGCACGAGGATATTTTGACCCCTTAGAGGCCTTCGTTGGAAACGGGTTTTTTTCATGTAAGGCTAGACAGAAGAATTCTCAGTAACTTCCTTGTGTTGTGTGTATTCAACTCACAGAGTTGAAGGATCCTTTACAGAGAGCAGGATTGAAAAACTCTTTTTGTCGAATTTGCAAGTGGAGATTTCAGCCGCTTTGAAGCCAATGGTAGAATAGGAAATATCTTCTTATAGAAACTAGACAGAATGATTCTCAGAAACTCCTTTGTGATGTGTGCGTTCAACTCACAGAGGTTAACCTTTCTTTTCATAGAGCAGTTAGGAAACACTCTGTTTGTAAAGTCTGCAAGTGGAGATTCAGACCTGCTTGAGGCCTTCGTTGGATACGGGATTTCTTCATATTATGCTAGACAGAAGAATTCCCAGTAACTCCCTTGTGTTGTGTGTGTTCAACTCACAGAGTTGAACTTTCATTTACACAGAGCAGATTTGAAACACTCTTTTTGTGGAATTTGCAAATGGAGATTTCAAGCGCTTTGAGGCCAAAGGCAGAAAAGGAAATAACTTCGTTTCAAAACTAGAGAGAAATCATTCTCAGAAACTGCTCTGCGATGTGTGCGTTCAACTCTCAGCAGTTTAACTTTTCTTTTCATTCAGCAGTTTGGAAACACTCTGTTTGTAAAGTCTGCACGTGGATAATTTGACCACTTAGAGGCCTTCGTTGGAAACGGGTTTTTTTCATGTAAGGCTAGACAGAAGAATTCCCAGTAACTTCCTTGTGTTGTGTACATTCAACTCACAGAGTTGAACGTTCCCTTAGACAGAGCAGATTTGAAACACTCTTTTTGTGCAATTGGCAAGTGGAGATTTCAAGCGCTTTAAGGTCAATGGCAGAAAAGGAAATATCTTCGTTTCAAAACTAGAGAGAATCATTCCCACAAACTGCGTTGTGATGTGTTCATTCAACTCACAGAGTTTAACCTTTCTTTTCATAGAGCAGTTAGGAAACAGTCTGTTTGTAAATTCTGTAAGTGGATATTCTGACATCTTGTGGCCTTCGTTGGAAACGGGATTTCTTCATATTCTGCTAGACAGAAGAATTCTCAGAAACTTCCTTGTGTTGTGTGTATTCAACTCACAGAGTTGAACGATCCTTTACTCAGAGCAGACTTGAAACACTCCTTTTGTGGAATTTGCAAGAGAAGATTTCAGCCGCTTTTAGGTCAATGGTAGAATAGGAAATATCTTCCTATAGAAACTAGACAGAATGATTCTCAAAAACTTCTTTGTGATGTGTGCGTTCAACTCACAGAGTTTAACCTTTCTTTTCTTAGAGCAGTTAGGAAACACTCTGTTTGTAAACTCTGCAAGTGGATATTCAGACCTCTTTGAGGCCTTCGTTGGAAACGGGATTTCTTCATACTATGCTAGACAGAAGAATTCTCAGAAAGTTCGTTGTGTTGTGTGTTTTCAACTCACAGAGTTCAACGATCCTTTACACAGAGTAGACTTGAAACACCCTTTTTGTGGAATTGGCAGGGTGGAGATTTCAGCCGCTTTGAGGTCAATGGAAGAAAAGGAAATATCTTCGTATAAAAACTAGACAGAATGATTCTCAGAAAATCTTTTGTGATGTGTGTGTTCAACTCACAGAGTTTAACTTTTCTTCTCATAGAGCAGTTAGGAAACACTCTGTTTGTAAAGTCTGCAAGTGGATATTCAGACCTCTTTGAGGCCTTCGTTGGAAACGGGATTTCTTCATATTATGCTAGACAGAAGAATTCTCAGTAACTTCCTTGTGTTGTGTGTATTCAACTCACAGAGTTCAACGATCCTTTACACAGAGCAGACTTGAAACACTCTTTTTGTGGAATTTGCAAGTGGAGATTTCAGCCGCTTTGAGGTCAATGGCAGAAAAGGAAATATCTTCGTATAAAAACTAGACAGAATGATTCTCAGAAACTCCTTTGTGATGTGTGCGTTCAACTCACAGAGTTTAACCTTTCTTTTCATAGAGCAGTTAGGAAACACTCTATTTGTACAGTCTGCAAGTGGATATTCAGACCTCCTTGAGGCCTTCGTTGGAAACGGGATTTCTTCATATTCTGCTAGACAGAAGAATTCTCAGTAACTTCCTTGTGTTGTGTGTATTCAACTCACAGAGTTGAACGATCGTTTACACAGAGCAGACTTGAAACATTCTTTTTGTGGAATTTGCAAGTGGAGATTTCAGCCGCTTTGTGGTCAATGGTAGAATAGGAAATATCTTCCTATAGAAACTAGACAGAATCATTCTCAGAAACTGCTCTGCGATGTGTGCGTTCAACTCTCAGAGTTTAACTTTTCTTTTCATTCAGCAGTTTGGAAACACTCTGTTTGTAAAGTCTGCACGTGGATAACTTGACCACTTAGAGGCCTTCGTTGGAAAAGGGTTTTTTTCATGTAAGGCTAGACAGAAGAATTCTCAGTAACTTCCTTGTGTTGTGTTTATTCAACACACAGAGTTGAATGATCCTTTACCCAGAGCAGACTTGAAACACTCTTTTTGTGGAATTTGCAAGTGGAGATTTCAGCCGCTTTGAGGTCAATGGTAGAATAGGAAATATCTTCTTATAGAAACTAGACAAAATGATTCTCAGAAACTCCTTTGTGATGTGTGCGTTCAACTCACAGAGTTTAACCTTTCTGTTCATAGAGCTGTTAGGAAACACTCTGTTTGTAAAGTCTGCAAGTGGATATTCAGACCTCCTTGAGGCCTTCGTTGGAAACGGGATTTCTTCATATTCTGCTAGACAGGAGTAATTCCCAGTAACTTCCTTGTGTTGTGTGTGTTCAACTCATAGAGTTGAACTTTGATTTACACAGAGCAGATTTGAAACACTCTTTTTGTGGAATTTGCAAGTGGAGATTTCAAGCGCTTTGAGGCCAAAGGCAGAAAAGGAAATATCTTCGTATAAAAACTAGACAGAATCATTCTCAGAAACTGCTCTGCGATGTGTGCGTTCAACTCTCAGAGTTTAACTTTTCTTTTCATTCAGAAGTTTGGAAACACTCTGTTTGTAAAGTCTGCACGTGGATAACTTGACCACTTAGAGGCCTTCGTTGGAAACGGGTTTTTTTCACGTAAGGCTAGACAGAAGAATTCCGAGTAACTTCCTTGTGTTGTGTGCATTCAAATCACAGAGTTGAACGTTCCCTTAGACAGAGCAGATTTGAAACACTCTATTTGTGCAATTTGCAAGTGTAGATTTCAAGCGCTTTAAGGTCAATGGCAGAAAAGGAAATATCTTCGTTTCAAAACTAGACAGAAATCATTCCCACAAACTGCGTTGTGATGTGTTCATTCAACTCACAGAGCTTAACCTTTCTGTTCATAGAGCAGTTAGGAAACACTCTGTTTGTAAAGTCTGTAAGTGGATATTCTGACATCTTGTGGCCTTCGTTGGAAACGGGATTTCTTCATATTCTGCTAGACAGAAGAATTCTCAGTAACTTCCTTGTGTTGTGTGTATTCACCTCACAGAGTTGAACGATCCTTTACACAGAGCAGACGTGTAACACTCTTTTTGTGTAATTTGCAAGTGGAGATTTCAGCCGCTTTGAAGTCAAAGGTAGAAAAGGAAATATCTTCCTATAAAAACTAGACAGAATGATTCTCAGAAACTCCTTTGTGATGTGTGCGTTCAACTCACAGAGTTTAACCATTCTTTTCATAGAGCAGTTAGGAAAAACTCTGTTTGTAAAGTCTGCAAGTCGATATTCAGACCTCCTTGAGGCCTTCGTTGGAAACGCGATTTCTTCATATTCTGCTAGACAGAAGAATTCTCAGTAACTTCCTTGTGTTGTGTGTATTCAACTCACAGAGTTGAACTATCCTTTACAGAGAGCAGACTTAAAACACTCTTTTTGTGGAATTTGCAAGTGGAGATTTCAGCCGCTTTGAGGTCAATAGTAGAAAAGCAAATATCTTCGTAGAAAAACTAGACAGAATGATTCTCAGAAACTCCTTTGTGATGTGTGCGTTCAACTCACAGAGTTTAACCTTTCTTTTCTTAGAGCAGTTAGGAAACACTCTGTTTATAAAGTCTGCAAGTGGATATTCAGACCTCTTTGAGGCCTTCGTTGGAAACGGGATTTCTTCATATTCTGGTAGACAGAAGAATTCCCAGTAACTTCCTTGTGTTGTGTGTGTTCAACTCACAGAGTTGAACTTTCATTTACACAGAGCAGATTTGAAACACTCTTTTTGTGGAATTTGCAAGTGGAGATTTCAAGCGCTTTGAGGCCAAAGGCAGACAAGGAAATATCTTCGTATAAAAACTAGACAGAATCATTCTCAGAAACTGCTCTGTGATGTGTGCGTTCAACTCTCAGAGTTTAACTTTTCTTTTCATTCTACAGTTTGGAAACACTCTGTTTGTAAAGTCTGCACGTGGATATTTTGACCACTTAGAGGCCTTCGTTGGAAACGGGTTTTTTTCATGTAAGGCTAGACAGAAGAATTCCCAGTAACTTCCTTGTGTTGTGTGCATTCAACTCACAGAGTTGAACGTTCCCTTAGACAGAGCAGATTTGAAACACTCTATTTGTGCAATTTGCAAGTGTAGATTTCAAGCGTTTTAAGGTCAATGGCAGAAAAGGAAATATCTTCGTTTCAAAACTAGACAGAATCATTCCCACAAACTGCGTTGTGATGTGTTCGTTCAACTCACAGAGTTTAACCTTTCTGTTCATAGAGCAGTTAGGAAACACTCTGTTTGTAAAGTCTGCAAGTGGACATTCAGACCTCCTTGAGGCCTTCGTTGGAAACGGGATTTCTTCATATTCTGCTAGACAGAAGAATTCTCAGAATCTTCCTTGTGTTGTGTGTATTCAACTCACAGAGTTGAACGATCCTTTACACAGAGCAGACTTGAAACACTCTTTTTGTGGAATTTGCAAGTGGAGATTTCAGCCGCTTTGAGGTCCATGGTAGAAAAGGAAATATCTTTGTATAAAAACTAGTCAGAATGATTCTCAGAAACTTCTTTGTGATGTGTGCGTTCAACTCACAGAGTTTAACCTTTCTTTTCATAGAGCAGTTAGGAAACACTCTGTTTGTAAACTCTGCAAGTGGATATTCAGACCTCTTTGAGGCCTTCGTTGGAAACTGGATTTCTTCATACTATGCTAGACAGAAGAATTCTCAGTAACTTCCTTGTGTTGTGTGTATTCAACTCACAGAGTTGAACGATCCTTTACACAGAGCAGACTTGAAACACTCTTTTTGTGGAATTTGCAAGTGGAGATTTCAGCCGCTTTGAGGTCAATGGTAGAATAGGAAATATCTTCCTATACAAACTAGACAGAATGATTCTCAGAAACTCCTTTGTGATGTGTGCCTTCAACTCACAGAGTTTAACCTTTCTTTTCATAGAGCAGTTAGGAAACACTCTGTTTGTAAAGTCTGCAAGTGGATATTCCGACATCCTTGAGGCTTTCGTTGGAAACGGGATTTCTTCATATTCTGCAAGAAAGAAGAATTCTCAGTAACTTCCTTGTGTTGTGTGTATTCAACTGACAGAGTTGAACTTTCATTTAGAGAGAGCAGATTTGAAACACTGTTTTTGTGGAATTTGCAAATGGAGATTTCAAGCGCTTTGGGGCCAAAGGCAGAAAACGAAATATCTTCGTATAAAAACTAGACAGAATCATTCTCAGAAACTGCTCTGCGATGTGTGCGTTCAACTCTCAGAGTTTAACTTTTCTTTTCATTCAGCGGTTTGGAAACACTCTGTTTGTAAAGTCTGCACGTGGATAATTTGGCCACTTAGAGGCCTTCGTTGGAAACGTGTTTTTTTCATGTAAGGCTAGACAGAAGAATTCTCAGTAACTTCCTTGTGTTGTGTGGATTCAACTCACAGAGTTGAACGATCCTTTACACAGAGCGGACTTGAAACACTCGTTTTGTGGAATTTGCAAGTGGAGATTTCAGCCGCTTTGAGGTCAATGGTAGAAAAGGAAATATCTTCGTACAAAAACTAGACAGAACGATTCTCAGAAACTCCTTTGTGATGTGTGCGTTCAACTCACAGAGTTTAACCTTTCTTTTCATAGAGCAGTTAGGAAACACTCTGTTTGTAACGTCTGCAAGTGGATATTCAGACCTCCTTGAGGCCTTCGTTGGAAACGGGATTTCTTCCTATTCTGCTAGACAGAAGAATTCCCAGTAACTTCCTTGTGTTGTGTGTGTTCAACTCACAGAGTTGAACTTTCCTTTACACAGAGCAGATTTGAAACACTCTTTTTGTGGAATTTGCAGGTGGAGATTTCAAGCGCTTTGAGGCCAAAGGCAGAAAAGGAAATATCTTCGTATAAAAACTAGACAGAATCATTCTCAGAAACTGCTCTGCGATGTGTGCATTCAACTCTCAGAGTTTAATTTTTCTTTTCATTCAGCAGTTTGGAAACATTCTCTTTGTAAAGTCTGCACGTGGATATTTTGACCACTTAGAGGCCTTCGTTGGAAACGGGTTTTATTCCTGTAAGGCTAGACAGAAGAATTCCCAGTAACTTCCTTGTGTTGTGTACATTCAACACACAGATTTGAACGTTCCCTTAGACAGAGCTGATTTGAAACACTCTTTTTGTGCAATTGGCAAGTGGAGATTTCAAGCGCTTTAAGGTCAATGGCAGAAAAGGAAATATCTTCGTTTCAAAACTAGACAGAATCATTCCCACAAACTGCGTTGTGATGTGTTCGTTCAACTCACAGAGTTTAACCTTTCTGTTCATAGAGCAGTTAGGAAACACTCTGTTTGTAAAGTCTGAAAGTGGATATTCTGACATCTTGTGGCCTTCGTTGGAAACAGGATTTCTTCATATTCTGCTAGACAGAAGAATTCTCAGAATCTTCCCTTGTGTTGTGTGTATTCCACTCACAGAGTTGAACGATGGTTTACACAGAGCAGATTTGAAACACTCTTTGTGTGGAATTTGCAAGTGGAGATTTCAGCCGCTTTGAGGTCAATGGTAGAAAAGGAAATATCTTCGTATAAAAACTAGACAGAATGATTCTCAGAAACTCCTATGTGATGTGTGCGTTCAACTCACAGAGTTTAACTTTTCTTTTCAGAGAGCAGTTAGGAAACACTCTGTTTGTAAAGTCTGCAAGTGGATATTCAGACCTCTTTGAGGCCTTCGTTGGAAACGGGATTTCTTCATATTATGCTAGACAGAAGAATTCTCAGTAACTTCCTCGTGTTGTGTGTATTCAACTCACAGAGTTGAACGATCCTTTACACAGAGCAGATTAGAAACACTCTTTTTGTGGAATTTGCAAGTGGAGATTTCAGCCGCTTTGAGGTCAATGGTAGAAAAGGAAATATCTTCATAGAAAAACTAGACAGAATGATTCTCAGAAACTTCATTGTGATGTGTGCGTTCAACTCACAGAGTTTAACCTTTCTTTTCATAGAGCAGTTAGGAAACACTCTGTTTGTAAACTCTGCAAGTGTATATTCAGACCTCTTTGAGGACTTCGTTGGAAACGGGATTTCTTCATACTGTGCTAGACAGAAGAATTCTCAGTAACTTCCTTCTGTTGTGTGTATTCAACTGACAGAGTTGAACTTTCATTTAGAGAGGGCAGATTTGAAACACTGTTTTTGTGGAATTTGCAAGTGGAGATTTCAAGCGCTTTGGGGCCAAAGGCAGAAAAGGAAATATCTTCGTATAAAAACTAGACAGAATCATTCTCAGAATCTGCTCTGTGATGTGTGCGTTCAACTCTCAGAGTTTAACTTTTCTTTTCATTCTACAGTTTGGAAACACTCTGTTTGTAAAGTCTGCACGTGGATATTTTGACCACTTAGAGGCCTTCGTTGGAAACGGGTTTTTTTCATGTAAGGCTAGACAGAAGAATTCCCAGTAACTTCCTTGTGTTGTGTGCATTCAACTCACAGAGTTGAACGTTCCCTTAGACAGAGCAGATTTGAAACACTCTATTTGTGCAATTTGCAAGTGTAGTTTTCAAGCTCTTTAAGGTCAACGGCAGAAAAGGAAATATCTGCGTTTCAAAACTAGACAGAATCATTCCCACAAACTGCGTTGTGATGTGTTCGTTCATCTCACAGAGTTTAACCTTTCTTTTCATAGAGCAGTTAGGAAACAGTCTGTTTGTAAATTCTGTAAGTGGATAATTTGACATCTTGTGGCCTTCGTTGGAAACGGGATTTCTTCATATTCTGCTAGACAGAAGAATTCTCAGTAACTTCCTTGTGTTGTGTGTATTCAACTCACAGAGTTGAACGATCCTTTACACAGAGCAGACTTGAAACACTGTTTTAGTGGAATTTGCAAGTGGAGATTTCAGCCGCTTTGAGGTCAATGGTAGAATAGGAAATATCTTCCTATAGAAACTAGACCGAATGATTCTCAGAAACTGCTTTGTGATTTGTGCGTTCAACTCACAGAGTTTAACCTTTCTTTTCATAGAGAAGTTAGGAAACACTCTGTTTGTAAAGTCTGCATGTGGATATTCAGACCTCCTTGAGGCCTTCGTTGGAAACGTGATTTCTTCATATTATGCTAGACAGAAGAATTCTCAGTAACTTCCTTGTGTTGTGTGTATTCACCTCACCGATTTGAACGATCCTTTACACAGAGCAGACTTGAAACACTCTTTTTGTGGAATTTGCAAGTGGAGATTTCAGCCGCTTTGAGGTCAATGGTAGAATAGGAAATATCTTCCTATAGAAATTAGACAGAATGTTTCTCAGAAACTCCTTTCTGATGTGTGTGTTCAACTCACAGAGTTTAACCTTTCTTTTCATAGAGCAGTTAGGAAACACTCTGTTTGTAAAGTCTGCAAGTGGATATTCAGACCTCTTTGAGGCCTTCGTTGGAAACGGGTTTTTTTCATGTAAGGCTAGACAGAAGAATTCCCAGTAACTTCCTTGTGTTGTGTGTGTTCAACTCACGGAGTTGAGCTTTCATTTACACAGAGCAGATTTGAAACACTCTTTTTGTGGAATTTGCAAGTGGAGATTTCAAGCGCTTTGAGGCCAAAGGCAGAAAAGGAAATATCTTCGTATAAAAACTAGACAGAATCATTCTCAGAAACTGCTGCGTGATGTGTGCGTTCAACTCTCAGAGTTTAACTTTTCTTTTCATTCAGCGGTTTGGAAACACTCTGTTTGTAAAGTCTGCACCTGGATATTTTGACCACTTAGAGGCCTTCGTTGGAAACGGGTTTTTTTCATGTAAGGCTAGACAGAAGAATTCCCAGTAACTTCCTTGTGTTGTGTACATTCAACTCACAGAGTTGAACAGTTCCCTTAGACAGAGCAGATTTGAAACACTCTTTTTGTGCAATTGGCAAGTGGAGATTTCAAGCGCTTTAAGGTCAATGGCAGAAAAGGAAATATCTTCGTTTCAAAACTAGAGAGAATCATTCCCACAAACTGCGTTGTGATGTGTTCGTTCAACTCACAGAGTTTAACTTTTCTGTTCATAGAGCAGTTAGGATACACTCTGTTTGTAAAGTCTGTAAGTGGATATTCTGACATCTTGTGGCCTTCGTTTTAAACGGGATTTCTTCATATTCTGCTAGACAGAAGAATTCTCAGAATCTTCCTTGTGTTGTGTGTATTCAACTCACAGAGTTGAACGATGGTTTACACAGAGCAGATTTGAAACACTCTTTTTGTGGAATTTGCAAGTGGAGATTTCAGCCGCTTAGAGGTCAATGGTAGAAAAGGAAATATCTTCGTATAAAAACTAGACAGAATGATTCTCAGAAACTCCTTTGTGATGTGTGCGTTCAATTCACAGAGTTTAACCTTTCTATTCATAGAGCAGTTAGGAAACACTGTGTTTGTAAAGTCTGCAAGTGGATATTCAGACCTCTTTGAGGCTTTCGTTGGAAACGGGATTTCTTCATATTCTGCTAGACAGAAGAATTCTCAGTAACTTCCTTGTGCTGTGTGTATTCAACTCACAGAGTTGAACGATCCTTTTCAGAGAGCAGACTTTAAACACTCTTTTTGTGGAATTTGCAAGTGGAGATTTCAGCCGCTTTGAGGTCAATGGTAGAAAAGGAAATATCTTCGTATAAAGACTAGACAGAATGATTCTCAGAAACTCCTTTGTGATGTGTGCGTTCAACTCACAGAGTTTAACCTTTCTGTTCATAGAGCATTTAGGAAACACTCTGTTTGTAAAGTCTGCAAGTGGATATTCAGACCTCCTTGAGGCCTTCGTTGGAAACGGGATTTCTTCATATTCTGCTAGACAGAAGAATTCTCAGTAACTTCCTTGTGTTGTGTGTATTCAACTGACAGAGTTGAACTTTCATTTAGAGAGAGCAGATTTATAACACTGTTTTTGTGGAATTTGCAAGTGGAGATTTCAGCCGCTTTGGGGCCAAAGGCCGAAAAGGAAATATCTTCGTATAAAAACTAGACAGAAATCATTCTCAGAAACTGCTCTGCGATGTGGGTGTTCAACTCTCAGAGTTTAACTTTTCTTTTCATTCAGCAGTTTGGAAACACTCTGTTTGTAAAGTCTGCACGTGGATATTTTCACCACTTAGAGGCCTTCGTTGGAAACGGGTTTTTTTCCTGTAAGGCTAGACAGAAGAATTCCCAGTAACTTCCTTGTGTTGTGTACATTCAACTCACAGAGTTGAACGTTCCCTTAGACAGAGCAGATTTGAAACACTCTTTTTGTGCAATTGGCAAATGGAGATTTCAAGCGCTTTAAGTTCAATGGCAGAAAAGGAAATATCTTCGTTTCAAAACTAGACAGAATCATTCCCACAAACTGCGTTGTGATGTGTTCGTTCAACTCACAGGGTTTAACCTTTCTTTTCATAGAGCAGTTAGGAAACAGTCTGTTTGTCATTTCTGTAAGTGGATATTCTGACATCTTGTGGCCTTCGTTGGAAACGGGATTTCTTCATATTCTGCTAGACAGAAGAATTCTCAGCAACTTCCTTGTGTTGTGTGTATTCAACTCACAGAGTTGAACGATCCTTTGAGCAGACTTGAAACACTCTTTTTGTGGAATTTGCAAGTGGAGATTTAAGCCGCTTTGAGGTCAATTGTAGAAAAGGAAGTATCTTCGTATAAAAACTAGACAGAATGATTCTGAGAAACTCCTTTGTGATGTGTGCGTTCAACTCACAGAGTTTAACCTTTCTTTTCATAGAGCAGTTAGGAAACACTCTGTTTGTGAAGTCTGCAAGTGGATATTCAGACATCTTTGAGGCTTTCGTTGGAAACTGGATTTCTTCATATTCTGCTATACAGAAGAATTCTCAGAAACTTCCTTGTGTTGTGTGTATTCAACTCACAGAGTTGAACGATCATTTACACAGAGCAGACTTGAGACACTCTTTTTGTGGAATTTGTAAGTGGACATTTCAGCCGCTTTGAGGTCAATGGTAGAAAAGGAAATATCTTCATATAAAAACTAGACAGAATGATTCTCAGAAACTCCTTTGTGATGTGTGCGTTCAACTCACAGAGTTTAATCTTTCTTTTCATAGAGCAGTTAGGAAACACTCTGTTTGTAAAGACTGCAAGTGGATATTCAGACCTCTTTGAGGCCTTCGTTGGAAACGGGTTTTTTTCATATAAGGCTAGACAGAGAAGATTCTCAGTAACTTCCTTGTGTTGTGTGTATTCAACTCACAGAGTTGAACTTTCATTTACACAGAGCAGATTTGAAACACTCTTTTTGTGGAATTTGCAAATGGAGATTTCAAGCGCTTTGAGGCCAAAGGCAGAAAAGGAAATATCTTCGTATAAAAACTAGACAGATCATTGCTCAGAAACTGCTCTGGGATGTGTGCGTTCAACTCTCAGAGTTTAACTTTTCTTTTCATTCAGCAGTGTGGAAACACTCTGTTTGTAAAGTCTGCACGTGGATATTTTGACCACTTAGAGGCCTTCGTTGGAAACGGGTTTTTTTCCTGTAAGGCTAGACAGAAGAATTCCCAGTAACTTCCTTGTGTTGTGTACATTCAACTCACAGAGTTGAACGTTCCCTTAGACAGAGCAGATTTGAAATACTCTTTTTGTGCAATTGGCAAGTGGAGATTTCAAGCGCTTTAAGGTCAATGGCAGAAAAGGAAATATCTTGGTTTCAAAACTAGACAGAATGAATCCCACAAACTGCGTTGTGATGTGTTCGTTCAACTCACAGAGTTTAACCTTTCTGTTCATAGAGCAGTTAGGAAACACTCTGTTTGTAAAGTCTGTAAGTGGATATTCTGACATTTTGTGGCCTTGGTTGGAAATGGGATTTCTTCATATACTCCAAGACAGAAGAATTCTCAGTAACTTCCTTGTGTTGTGTGTATTCAACTCACAGAGTTGAACGATCCTTTACACAGAGCGGACTTGAAACACACTTTTTGTGGAATTTGCAAGTGGAGATTTCAGCCGCATTGAGGTCAATGGTAGAAAAGGAAATATCTTCGTATAAAAGTTAGACAGAATGATTCTCAGAAACTCCTTTGTGATGTGTGCGTTCAACTCATAGAGTTTAACTTTTCTTTTCATAGAGCAGTTAGGAAACACTCTGTTTGTAAAGACTTCAAGTGGATATTCAGACCTCTTTGAGGCCTTCGTTGGAAACGGGATTTCTTCATATTCTGCTAGACAGAAGAATTCCCAGTAACTTCCTTGTGTTGTGTGTGTTCAACTCACAGAGTTGAACTTCCGTTTACACAGAGCAGATTTGAAACACTCTTTTTGTGGAATTTGCAAATGGAGATTTCAAGCGCTTTGAGGCCAAAGGCAGAAAAGGAAATATCTTCGTATAAAAATTCGACAGAATCATTCTCAGAAACTGCTCTGCGATGTGTGCGTTCAACTCTCAGAGTTTAACTTTTCTTTTCATTCAGCAGTTTGGAAACACTCTGTTTGTAAAGTCTGCACGTGGATATTTTGACCACTTAGAGGCCTTCATTGGAAACGGGTTTCTTTCCTGTAAGGCTAGACAGAAGAATTCCCAGTAACTTCCTTGTGTTGGGTGCATTAAACTCACAGAGTTGAACGTTCCCTTAGACAGAGCAGATTTGAAACACTCTATTTGTGCAATTTGCAAGTGTAGATTTCAAGCGCTTTAAGGTCAATGGCAGAAAAGGAAATATCTTCGTTTCAAAACTAGACAGAATCATTCCCACAAACTGCGTTGTGATGTGTTCGTTCAACTCACAGAGTTTAACCTTTGTTTTCATAGAGCAGTTAGGAAACAGTCTGTTTGTAAATTCTGTAAGTGGATATTCTGACATCTTGTGGCCTTCGTTGGAAACGGGATTTCTTCATATTCTGCTAGACAGAAGAATTCTCAGTAACTTCCTTGTGTTGTGTGTATTCAAGTCACAGAGTTGAACGATCCTTTACACAGAGCAGACTTGTAACACTCTTTTTGTGGAATTTGCAAGTGGAGATTTCAGCCGCTTTGAAGTCAAAGGTAGAAAAGGAAATATCTTCCTATAAAAACTAGACAGAATGATTCTCAGAAACTCCTTTGTGATGTGTGTGTTCAACTCACAGAGTTTAACCTTTCTTTTCATAGAACAGTTAGGAATCACTCTGTTTGTAAAGTCTGCAAGTGGATATTCAGACCTCTTTGAGGCCTTCGTTGGAAACGGGTTTTTTTCATATAAGGCTAGACAGAAGAATTCCCAGTAACTTCCTTGTGTTGTGTGTGTTCAACTCACAGAGCTGAACTTTCATTTACACAGAGCAGATTTGAAACACTCTTTTTGTGGAATTTGCAAGTGGAGATTTCAAGCGCTTTGAGGCCAAAGGCAGAAAAGGAAATATCTTCGTTTCAAAACTAGACAGAATGATTCTCAGAAACTCCTTTGTGATGTGTGCGTTCAACTCACAGAGTTCAACCTTTCTTTTCATAGAGCAGTTGGGAAACACTCTGTTTGTAAAGTCTGCAAGTGCTTATTCAGACTTCTTTGAGGCCTTCGTTGGAAGCGGGATTTCTTCATATTCTGCTAGACAGAAGAATTCTCAGTAACTGCCTTGTGTTGTGTGTATTCAACTCACAGAGTTGAAGGATCCTTTACACAGAGCAGACTTGAAACACTCTTTTTGTGGAATTTGCAAGTGGAGATTTCAGCCGCTTTGAGGTCAATGGTAGAATAGGAAATATCTTCCTATAGAAACTAGACAGAATGATTCTCAGTAAACTCCTTTGTGATGTGTGCGTTCAACTCACAGAGTTTAACCTTTCTTTTCATAGAGCAGTTAGGAAACACTCTGCTTGTAAAGTCTGCAAGTGGATATTCAGCCCTCTTTGAGGCCTTCGTTGGAAACGGGTTTTTTTCATATAAGGCTAGACAGAAGAATTCCCAGTAACTTCCTTGTGTTGTGTGTGTTCAACTCACAGAGTTGAACTTTCATTTACACAGAGCAGATTTGAAACACTCTTTTTGTGGAATTTGCAAATGGAGATTTCAAGCGCTTTGAGGCCAAAGGCAGAAAAGGAAATATCTTCGTACAAAAACTAGACAGAATCATTCTCAGAAACTGCTCTGCGATGTGTGCGTTCAACTCTCAGAGTTTAACTTTTCTTTTCATTCAGCAGTTTGGAAACACTCTGTTTGTAAAGTCTGCACGTGGATAATTTGACCACTTAGAGGCCTTCGTTGGAAACGGGTTTTTTTCATGTAAGGCTACACAGAAGAATTCCCAGTAACTTCCTTGTGTTGTGTACATTCAACTCACAGAGTTGAACGTTTCCTTAGACAGAGCAGATTTGAAACACTCTTTTTGTGCAATTGGCAAGTGGAGATTTCAAGCGCTTTGAGGTCAATGGCAGAAAAGGAAATATCTTCGTTTCAAAACTAGACAGAATCATTCCCACAAACTGCGTTGTGATGTGTTCGTTCATCTCACAGAGTTTAACCTTTCTTTTCGTAGAGCAGTTAGGAAACAGTCTGTTTCTAAATTCTGTAAGTGGATATTCTGACATCTTGTGGCCTTCGTTGGAAACGGGATTTCTTCATATTCTGCTAGACAGAAGAATTCTCAGAATCTTTCCTTGTGTTGTGTGTATTCAACTCACAGAGTTGAACGATCCTTTACACAGAGCAGACTTGAAACACTCTTTTTGTGGAATTTGCAAGTGGAGATTTCAGCCGCTTTGAGGTCCATGGTAGAAAAGGAAATATCTTCGTATAAAAACTAGACAGATGATTCTCAGAAACTCTTTTGTGATGTGTGCGTTCAACTCACAGAGTTTAACCTTTCTGTTCATAGAGCCGTTAGGAAACACTCTGTTTGTAAAGTCTGCAAGTGGATATTCACACCTCCTTGTGACCTTCGTTTGAAACGGGATTTCTTCATATTCTGCTAGACAGAGGAATTCTCAGTAACTTCCTTGTGTTCTGTGTATTCAACTGACAGAGTTGAACGATCCTTTACACAGAGCAGACTTGAAACACTCTTTTTGTGGAATTTGCAAGTGGAGATTTCAGCCTCTTTGAGGTCAATGGTAGAAAAGGAAACTATCTTCGTATACAGACTAGACAGAATGATTCTCAGAAACTCCTTTGTGATGTGTGTTTTCAACTCACAGAGTTTAACCTTTCTTTTCATAGAGCAGTTAGGAAACACTCTGTTTATAAAGTCTGCAAGTGGATATTCAGACCCCTTTGAGGCCTTCGTTGGAAACGGGATTTCTTCATATTATGCTAGACAGAAGAATTCCCAGTAACTTCCTTGTGTTGTGTGTGTTCAACTCACAGAGTTGAACTCTCATTTACACAGAGCAGATTTGAAACACTCTTTTTGTGGAATTTGCAAATGGAGATTTCAAGCGCTTTGAGGCCAAAGGCAGAAAAGGAAATATCTTCGTTTCAAAACTAGACAGAATCATTCTCAGAAACTGCTGCGTGATGTGTGCGTTCAACTCTCAGAGTTTAACTTTTCTTTTCATTCAGCGGTTTGGAAACACTCTGTTTGTAAAGTCTGCACGTGGAAATTTTGACCACTTAGAGGCCTTCGTTGGAAATGGGTTTTTTTCATGTAAGGCTAGACAGAAGAATTCCCAGTAACTTCCTTGTGTTGTGTGCATTCAACTCACAGAGTTGAACGTTCCCTTAGACAGAGCAGATTTGAAACACTCTATTTGTGCAATTTGCAAGTGTAGTTTTCAAGCTCTTTAAGGTCAACGGCAGAAAAGGAAATATCTTGGTTTCAAAACTAGACAGAATCATTCCCACAAACTGCGTTGTGATGTGTTCGTTCAACTCACAGAGTTTAACCTTTCTGTTCATAGAGCAGTTAGGAAACACTCTGTTAAGTCTGTAAGTGGATATTCTGACATCTTGTGGCCTTCGTTGGAAACGGGATTTCTTCATATTCTGCTAGACAGAAGAATTCTCAGTAACTTCCTTGTGTTGTGTGTATTCAACTCACAGAGCTGAACGATCCTTTACACAGAGCAGACTTGAAACATTCTTTTTGTCGAATTTGCAAGTGGAGATTTCAGCCGCTTTGAGGTCAATGGTAGAATAGGAAATATCTTCCTATAGAAACTAGACAGAATGATTCTCAGAAAATCCTTTGTGACGTGTGCGTTCAACTCACAGAGTTTAACTTTTCTTTTCATAGAGCAGTTAGGAAACACTCTGTTTGTAAAGTCTGCAAGTGGATATTCAGACCTCTTTGAGGCCTTCGTTGGAAACGGGATTTCTTCATATTCTGCTAGACAGAAGAATTCTCAGTAACTTCCTTGTGTTGTGTGTATTCAACTCACAGAGTTGAACGATCCTTTACACAGAGCAGACTTGAAACACTCTTTTTGTGGAATTTGCAAGTGGAGATTTCTGCCTCTTTGAGGTCAATGGTAGAATAGGAGATATCTTCCTATAGAAACTAGACAGAATGATTCTCAGAAACTCCTTTTTGATGTGTGCGTTCAACTCACAGAGTTTAACTTTTCTTTTCATAGAGCAGTTAGTAAACACTCTGTTTATAAAGTCTGCAAGTGGATATTCAGACCCCTTTGAGGCCTTCGTTGGAAACGGGATTTCTTCATATTGTGCTAGACAGAAGAATTCCCAGTAACTTGCTTGTGTTGTGTGTGTTCAACTCACAGAGTTGAACTTTGATTTACACAGAGCAGATTTGAAACACTCTTTTTGTGGAATTTGCAAGTGGAGATTTCAAGCGCTTTGAGGCCAAAGGCAGAAAAGGAAATATCTTCGTATAAAAACTAGACAGAATCATTCTCAGAAACTGCTCTGCGATGTGTGCGTTCAACTCTCAGAGTTTAAATTTTCTTTTCATTCAGCAGTTTGGAAACACTCTGTTTGTAAAGTCTGCACGTGGATAATTTGACCACTTAGAGGCCTTCGTTGGAAACGGGTTTTTTCCTGTAAGGCTAGACAGAAGAATTCCCAGTAACTTCCTTGTGTTGTGTACATTCAACTCACAGAGTTGAACGTTCCCTTAGACAGAGCAGATTTGAAAAACTCTTTTTGTGCAATTGGCAAGTGGTGATTTCAGCCGCTTTGAGGTCAATGGTAGAAAAGGAAATATTTTCGTATAAAAACTAGACAGAATCATTCCCACAAACTGCGTTGTGATGTGTTCGTTCAACCCACAGAGTTTAACCTTTCTGTTCATAGAGCAGTTAGGAAACACTCTGTTTGTAAAGTATGAAAGTGGATATTCTGACATCTTGTAGCCTTCGTTGGAAACGGGATTTCTTCGTATTCTGCTAGACAGAAGAATTCTCAGTAACTTCCTTGTGTTGTGTGTATTCAACTCATAGAGTTGAACGATCCTTTACACAGAGCAGACTTGAAACACTCTTTTTGTGGAATTTGCAAGTGGAGATTTCAGCCGCTTTGAGGTCAATGGTAGAAAAGGAAATATCTTCGTATAAAGACTAGACAGAATGATTCTCAGAAAATCTTTTGTGATGTGTGCGTTCAACTCACAGAGTTTAACTTTTCTTCTCATAGAGCAGTTAAGAAACACTCTGTTTGTAAAGTCTGCAAGTGGATATTCAGACCTCTTTGAGGCCTTCGTTGGAAACGGGATTTCTTCAAATTATGCTAGACAGAAGAATTCTCAGTAACTTCCTTGTGTTGTGTGTATTCAACTCACAGAATTGAACGATCCTTTACACAGAGCAGACTTGAAACACTCTTTTTGTGGAATTTGCAAGTGGAGATTTCAGCTGCTTTGAGGTCAATGGTAGAAAAGGAAATATCTTCGTATAGAAACAAGACAGAATGATTCTCAGAAACTCCTTTGTGATGTGTGCGTTCAACTCACAGAGTTTAACCTTTCTTTTCATAGAGCAGTTAGGAAACACTCTGTTTGTAAAGTCTGCAATTGGATATTCAGACCTCTTTGAGGCCTTCGTTGGAAACGGGTTTTTTTCATATAAGGCTAGACAGAAGAATTCTCTGTAACTTCCTTGTGTTGTGTGTATTCAACTCACAGAGTTGAACGATCCTTTACACAGAGCAGACTTGAAACACTCTTTTTGTGGAATTTGCAAGTGGAGATTTCAGCCGCTTTGAGGTCAATGGTAGAATAGGAAATATCTTCCTATAGAAACTAGACAGAATGATTCTCAGAAACTCCTTTGTGATGTGTGCGTTCAACTCACAGAGTTTAACCTTTCTTTTCATAGAGCAGTTAGGAAACACTCTGTTTGTAAATTCTGCAAGTGGATATTCAGACCTCTTTGAGGCCTTCGTTGGAAACGGGTTTTTTTCATATAAGGCTAGACAGAAGAATTCTCAGAATCTTCCCTTGTGTTGTGTGTATTCAACTCACCGAGTTGAACGATCCTTTACACAGAGCAGACTTGAAACACTCTTTTTGTGGAATTTGCAAGTGGACATTTCAGCCACTTTGAGGTCCGTGGTAGAAAAGGAAATACCTTCGTATAAAAACTAGACAGAATGATTCTCAGAAAATCTTTTGTGATGTGTGCGTTCAACTCACCGAGTTTAACTTTTCTTCTCATAGAGCAGTTAGGAAACACTCTGTTTGTAAAGTCTGCAAGTGGATATTCCGACCTCTTTGAGGCCTTCGTTGGAAACGGGATTTCTTCATATTATGCTAGACAGAAGAATTCCCAGTAACTTCCTTGGGTTGTGTGTATTCAACTCACAGAGTTGAACGATCCTTTACACAGAGCAGACTTGTAACACTCTTTTTGTGGAATTTGCAAGTGGAGATTTCAGCCGCTTTGAAGTCAAAGGTAGAAAAGGAAATATCTTCCTATAAAAACTAGACAGAATGATTCTCAGAAACTCCATTGTGATGTGTGTGTCCAACTCACAGAGTTTAACCTTTCTTTTCATAGAGCAGTTAGGAAACACTCAGTTTGTAAAGTCTGCAAGAGGATATTCAGACCTCTTTGAGGCCTTCGTTGGAAACGGGTTTTTTTCATATAAGGCTAGACAGAATAATTCTCAGTAACTTCCTTGTGTTGTGTGTATTCAACTCTCAGAGTTGAACGATCCTTTACAGAGAGCAGACTTGAAACACTCTTTTTGTGGAATTTGCAAGTGGAGATTTCAGCCGCTTTGAGGTCAATGGTAGAATAGGAAATATCTTCCTATCGAAACTAGACAGAATGATTCTCAGAAACTCCTTTGTGATGTGTGCGTTCAACTCACAGAGTTCAACTTTTCTTTCCATAGAGCAGTTAGGAAACACTCTGTTTGTAAAGTCTGCAAGTGGATATTCAGACCTCTTTGAGGCCTTCGTTGGAAACGGGATTTCTTCATATTCTGCAAGACAGAAGAATTCTCAGTAACTTCCTTGTGTTGTGTGTATTCAACTCACAGAGTTGAATGATCCTTTACAGAGAGCAGACTTTAAACACACTTTTTGTGGAATTTGCAAGTGGAGACTTCAGCCGCTTTGAGGTCAATGGTAGAAAAGGAAATATCTTCGTATAAAGACTAGACAGAATGATTCTCAGAAACTTCTTTGTGATGTGTGCGTTCAACTCACAGAGTTTAACCTTTCTTTTCATAGAGCAGTTAGGAAAGACTCTGTTTGTAAAGTCTGCAAGTGGATATTCAGACCTCTTTGAGGCCTTCTTTGGAAACGGGTTTTTTTCATATAAGGCTAGACATAAGAATTCTCAGTAACTTCCTTGTGTTGTGTGTATTCAGCTGACAGAGTTGAACTTTCATTTAGAGAGAGCAGATTTGAAACACTGTTTTTGTGGAATTTGCAAGTGGAGATTTCAAGCGCTTTGTGGCCAAAGGCAGAAAACGATATATCTTCGTATAAAAACTAGACAGAATCATTCTCAGAAACTGCTCTGCGATGTGTGCGTTCAACTCTCAGAGTTTAACTTTTCTTTTCATTCAGCAGTTTGGAAACACTCTGTTTGTAAAGTCTGCACGTGGATAACTTGACCACTTAGAGGCCTTCGTTGGAAACGGGTTTTTTTCTGTAAGGCTAGACAGAAGAATTCCCAGTAACTTCCTTGTGTTGTGTGCATTCAACTCACAGAGTTGAACGTTCCCTTAGACAGAGCAGATTTGAAAAACTCTATTTGTGCAATTTGCAAGTGTAGATTTCAAGCGATTTAAGGTCAACGGCAGAAAAGGAAATATCTTCGTTTCAAAACTAGACAGAATCATTCCCACAAACTGCGTTGTGATGTGTTCGTTCAACTCACAGAGTTTAACCCTTCTGTTCATAGAGCAGTTAGGAAACACTCTGTTTGTAAAGTATGCAAGTGGATATTCAGACCTCCTTGAGGCCTTCGTTGGAAACGGGATTTCTTCATATTCTGCTAGACCGAAGAATTCTCAGTAACTTCCTTGTGTTGTGTGTATTCAACTCACAGAGTTGAACGATCCTTTACACAGAGCAGACTTGAAACACTCTTTTTGTGGAATTTGCCAGTGGAGATTTCAGCCGCTTTGAGTTCAATGGTAGAATAGGAAATATCTTCCTATAGAAACTAGAGAGAATGATTCTCAGAAAATCTTTTGTGATGTGTGCGTTCAACTCACAGAGTTTAACTTTTCTTCTCATAGAGCAGTTAGGAAACACTCTGTTTGTAAAGTCTGCAAGTGGATATTCAGACCTGTTTGAGGCCTTCGTTGGAAACGGGATTTCTTCATATTATGCTAGACAGAAGAATTCTCAGTAACTTCCTTGTGTTGTGTGTATTCAACTGACAGAGTTGAACTTTCATTTAGAGAGAGCAGATTTGAAACACTGTTTTTGTGGAATTTGCAAGTGGAGATTTCAAGCGCTTTGGGGCCAAAGGCAGAAAAGGAAATATCTTCGTATAAAAACAAGACAGAATCATTCTCAGAAACTGCTCTGCGATGTGTGCGTTCAACTCTCAGTAGTTTAACTTTTCTTTTCATTCAGCAGTTTGGAAACACTCTGTTTGTAAAGTCTGCACGTGGATATTTTGACCACTTAGAGGCCTTCTTTGGAAACGGGTTTTTTTCCTGTAAGGCTAGACAGAAGAATTCCCAGTAACTTCCTTGTGTTGTGTGCATTCAACTCACAGAGTTGAACGTTCCCTTAGACAGAGCAGATTTGAAACACTCTATTTGTGCAATTGGCAAGTGTAGATTTCAAGCGCTTTAAGGTCAATGGCAGAAGAGGAAATATCTTCGTTTCAAAACTAGACAGAATCATTCCCACAAACTGCGTTGTGATGTGTTCGTTCAACTCACAGAGTTTAACCTTTCTGTTCATAGAGCAGTTAGGAAACACTCTGTTTGTAAAGTCTGTAAGTGGATATTCTGAAATCTTGTGGTCTTCGTTGGAAACGGGATTTCTTCATATTCTGCTAGACAGAAGAATTCTCAGAAACTTCCTTGTGTTGTGTGTATTCAACTCACAGAGTTGAACGATCGTTTACACAGAGCAGACTTGAGACACTCTTTTTGTGGAATTTGTAAGTGGAGATTTCAGCCGCTTTGAGGTCAATGGTAGAAAAGGAAATATCTTCATATATAAACCAGACAGAATGATTCTCATAAACTCCTTTGTGATGTGTGCGTTCAACTCACAGAGTTTAACTTTTCATTTCATAGAGCCGTTAGGAAACACTCTGTTTGTAAAATCTGCAAGTGGATATTCAGACCTCTTTGAGGCCTTCATTGGAAACGGGATTTCTTCATATTATGCTAGACAGAAGAATTCTCAGTAACTTCCTTGTGTTGTGTGTATTCAACTCACAGAGTTGAACGATCCTTTACACAGAGCAGACTTGAAACACTCTTTTTGTGGAATTTGCAAGTGGAGATTTCAGCCGCTTTGAGGTCAATGGTAGAAAAGGAAACTATCTTCGTATAAAGACCAGACAGAATGATTCTCAGAAACTACTTTGTGATGTGTGCGTTCAACTCACAGGGTTTAACCTTTCTTTTCATAGAGCGGTTAGGAAACACTCTGTTTGTAAAGTCTGCAAGTGGATATTCAGACCTCCTTGAGGGCTTCGTTGGAAACGGGATTTCTTCATATTCTGCTAGACAGAAGAATTCTCAGTAACTTCCTTGTGTTGTGTGTATTCAACTTACAGAGTTGAACGATCCTTTACACAGAACAGACTTGAAACACTGTTTTTGTGGAATTTGCAAGTGGAGATTTCAGCCGCTTTGTGGTCAATGGTAGAATAGGAAATATGTTCCTATAGAAACTAGACAGAATGATTCTCAGAAACTCCTTTGTGATGTGTGCGTTCAACTCACAGAGTTTAACCTTTCTTTTCATAGAGCAGTTAGGAAACACTCTGTATGTAAAGTCTGCAAGTGGCTATTCAGACCTCTTTGAGGCCTTCTTTGGAA
The DNA here is from genome assembly GCF_000001405.40 of Homo sapiens. Taxonomy (NCBI): domain Eukaryota; kingdom Metazoa; phylum Chordata; class Mammalia; order Primates; family Hominidae; genus Homo; species Homo sapiens. The sequence goes on from NC_000005.10 coordinate 47,439,551, forward strand.
ACGGGATTTCTTCATATTATGTTAGAGAGAGGAATTCTCAGGAACTTCCTTGTGTTGTGTGTATTCAACTCACAGAGTTGAACGATCCTTTACACAGAGCAGACTTGAAACACTCTTTTTGTGGAATTTGCAAGTGGAGATTTCAGCCGCTTTGAGGTCAATAGGTAGAATAGGAAATATCTTCCTATAGAAACTAGACAGAATGATTCTCAGAAACTCCTTTGTGATGTGTGCGTTCAACTCGCAGAGTTTAACCTTTCTTTTCATAGAGCAGTTAGGAAACACTCTGTTGGTAAAGTCTGCAAGTGGATATTCAGACCTCGTTGAGGCCTTCGTTGGAAACGGGATTTCTTCATATTATGCTAGACAGAAGAATTCTCAGTAACTTCCTTGTGTTGTGTGTATTCAACTCACAGAGTTGAACGATCCTTTACACAGAGCAGACTTGAAACACTCTTTTTGTGGAACTTGCAAGTGGAGATTTCAGCCGCTTTGAGGTCAATTGTAGAATAGGAAATATCTTCCTATAGAAACTAGACAGAATGATTCTCAGAAACTTCTTTGTGATGTGTGCGTTCAACTCACAGAGTTTAACCTTTCTTTTCATAGAGCAGTTAGGAAACACTCTGTTTGTAAACTCTGCAAGTGGATATTCAGACCTCTTTGAGGCCTTCGTTGCAAACGGGATTTCTTCATATTATGCCTGACAGAAGAATTCTCAGTAACTTCCTTGTGTTGTGTGTATTCAACGCACAGAGTTGAACGATCCTTTACACAGAGCATACTTGAAACACTCTTCTTGCGGAATTTGCAAGTGGAGATTTCAGCCGCTTTGAGGTCAATGGTAGAATAGGAAATATCTTCCTATAGAAACTAGACAGAATGATTCTCAGAAACTCCTTTGTGATGTGTGCGTTGAACTCACAGAGTTTAACCTTTCTTTTCATAGAGCAGTTAGGAAACACTCTGTTTGTAAAGTCTGCACGTGGATATTTGGACTTCTTTGAGGCCTTCGTTGGAAACGGGTTTTTTTCATGTAAGGCTAGGCAGCAGAATTCTCAGTAACTTCCTTGTGTTGTGTGTATTCAACTGACAGAGTTGAACTTTCATTTAGAGAGAGCAGATTTGTAACACTGTTTTTGTGGAATTTGCAAGTGGAGATTTCAAGCGATTTGCGGCCAAAGGCAGAAAAGGAAATATCTTCGTATAAAAACTAGACAGAATCATTCTCAGAAACTGCTCTGCGATGTGTGCGTTCAGCTCTCAGAGTTTAACTTTTCTTTTCATTCAGCAGTTTGGAAACACTCTGTTTGTAAAGTCTGCACGTGGATATTTTGACCACTTAGAGGCCTTCGTTGGAAACGGGTTTTTGTCATGTAAGGCTAGACAGAACAATTCCCAGTAACTTCCTTGTGTTGTGTACATTCAACTCACAGAGTTGAACGTTCCCTTAGTCAGAGCAGATTTGAAACACTCTTTTTGTGCAATTGGCAAGTGGAGATTTCAAGCGCTTAAGGTCAATGGCAGAAAAGGAAATATCTTCGTTTCAAAACTAGACAGAATCATTCCCACAAACTGCGTTGTGATGTGTTCGTTCAACTCACAGAGTTTAACATTTCTGTTCATAGAGCAGTTAGGAAACACTCTGTTTGTAAAGTCTGTAAGTGGATATTCTGACATCTTGTGGCCTTCGTTGGAAACGGGATTTCTTCCTATTCTGCTAGACAGAAGAATTCTCAGCAACTTCCTTGTGTTGTGTGTATTCAACTCACAGAGTTGAACTCTGGTTTACACAGAGCAGATTTGAAACACTCTTTTTGTGGAATTTGCAAGTGGAGATTTCAGCCGCTTTGAGGTCAATGGTAGAAAAGGAAATATCTTCGTATAAAAACTAGACAGAATGATTCTCAGAAACTCCTTTGTGATGTGTGCGTTCAACTCACAGAGTTTAACCATTCTTTTCATAGAGCAGTTAGGAAACACTCTGCTTGTAAATTCTGCAAGTGGATATTCAGACCTCCTTGAGGCCTTCGTTGGAAACGGGATTTCTTCATATTCTGCTAGACAGAAGAATTCTCACTAACTTCCTTGTGTTGTGTGTATTCAACTGACAGAGTTGAACTTTCATTTAGAGAGAGCAGATTTGAAACACTGTTTTTGTGGAATTTGCAAGTGGAGATTTCAAGCGCTTTGGGGCCAAAGGCAGAAAAGGAAATATCTTCGTATAAAAACTAGACAGAATCATTCTCAGAAACTGCTCTGCGATGTGTGCGTTCAACTCTCAGAGTTTAACTTTTCTTTTCATTCAGCAGTTTGGAAACACTCTGTTTGTAAAGTCTGCAAGTGGATAATTTGACCACTTAGAGGCCTTCGTTGGAAACGGGTTTTTTTCATGTAAGGCTAGACAGAAGAATTCTCAGTAACTTCCTTGTGTTGTGTGTATTCAATTCACAGAGTTGAACGATCCTTTACACAGAGCAGACTTGTAACACTCTTTTTGTGGAATTTGCAAGTGGAGATTTCAGCCGCTTTGAAGTCAAAGGTAGAAAAGGAAATATCTTCCTATAAAAACTAGACAGAATCATTCCCACAAACTGCGTTGTGATGTGTTCGTTCAACTCACAGCAGTTTAACCTTTCTGTTCATAGAGCAGTTAGGAAACACTCTGTGTGTAAAGTCTGCAAGTGGATATTCAGACCTCTTTGAGGCCTTCGTTGGAAACGGGATTTCTTCATATTCTGCTAGACAGAAGAATTCTCAGTAACTTCCTCGTGTTGTGTGTACTCAACTCACAGAGTTGAACGATCCTTTACACAGAGCAGACTTGAAACACTCTTTTTGTGAAATTTGCAAGTGGAGATTTCAGCCGCTTTGTGGTCAATGGTAGAATAGGAAATATCTTCCTATAGAAACTAGACAGAATGATTCTCAGAAACTTCTTTGTGATGTGTGCGTTCAACTCACAGAGTTTAACCTTCCTTTTCATAGAGCAGTTGGGAAACACTCTGTTTTTAAAGTCTGCAAGTGGATATTCAGACCTCTTTGAGGCCTTCGTTGGAAACGGGTTTTTTTCATGTAAGGCTAGACAGAAGAATTCTCAGAAACGTCCTGGTGTTGTGTGTTTTAAACTCACAGAGTTCAACGATCCTTTACACAGAGTAGACTTGAAACACTCTTTTTGTTGAATTGGCAAGTGGAGATTTCAGCCGCTTTGAGGTCAGTGGTAGAAAAGGAAATATCTTCGTATAAAAACTAGACAGAGTGATTCTCAGAAACTCCTTTGTGATGTCTGCGTTCAACTCACAGGGTTTAACCTTTCTTTTCATAGAGCAGTTAGGAAACACTCTGTTTGTAAAGTCTGCAAGTGGATATTCAGACCTCCTTGAGGCCTTCGTTGGAAACCGGATTTCTTCATATTTTGCTATACAGAATATTTCTCAGAAACTTCCTTGTGTTGTGTGTATTCAACTCACAGAGTTGAACGATCCTTTACAGAGAGCAGACTTGAAACACTCTTTTTGTGGAATTTGCAAGTGGAGATTTCAGCCGCTTTGAGGTCAATGGTAGAATAGGAAATATCTTCCTATAGAAACTAGACAGAATGATTCTCATAAACTCCTTTGTGATGTGTGCGTTCAACTCACAGAGTTTAACCTTTCTGTTCATAGAGCAGTTAGGAAACACTCTGTTTGTAAAGTCTGCAAGTGGATATTCAGACCTCTTTGAGGCCTTCGTTGGAAACGGGATTTCTTCATATTATGCTAGACAGAAGAATTCTCAGTAACTTCCTTGTGTTGTGTGTATTCAACTCACAGAGTTGAAGGATCCTTTACAGAGAGCAGGCTTGAAACACTCTTTTTGTCGAATTTGCAAGTGGAGATTTCAGCCGCTTTCAGGTCAATGGTAGAATAGGAAGTATCTTCTTATAGAAACTAGACAGAATGATTCTCAGAATCTCCTTTGAAATGTGTGCGTTCAACTCACAGAGTTTAACCTTTCTTTTCATAGAGCAGTTAGGAAACACTCTGTTTGTAAAGTCTGCAAGTGGATATTCAGACCTCTTTGAGGCCTTCGTTGGAAACGGGATATCTTCATATTATGCTAGACAGAAGAATTCCCACTAACTTCCTTGTGTTGTGTGTGTTCAACTCACAGAGTTGAACTTTCATTTACCCAGAGCAGATTTGAAACACTCTTTTTGTGGAATTTGCAAGTGGAGATTTCAAGCGCTTTGAGGCCAAAGGCAGAAAAGGAAATATCTTCGTTTCAAAACTAGACAGAATCATTCTCTGAAACTGCTCTGCGATGTGTGCGTTCAACTCTCAGAGTTTAACTTTTCTTTTCATTCAGCAGTTTGGAAACACTCTGTTTGTAAAGTCTGCACGTGGATATTTTGACCACTTAGAGGCCTTCGTTGGAAACGGGTTTTTTTCCTGTAAGGCTAGACAGAAGAATTCCCAGGAACTTCCTTGTGTTGTGTACATTCAACTCACAGAGTTGAACGTTCCCTTAGATAGAGCAGATTTGAAACACTCTTTTTGTGCAATTGGCAAGTGGTGATTTCAGCCGCTTTGAGGTCAATGGTAGAAAAGGAAATATCTTCGTATAAAAACTAGACAGAACGATTCTCAGAAACTCCTTTGTGATGTGTGCGTTCAACTCACAGAGTTTAACCTTTCTTTTCATAGAGCAGTTAGGAAACACTCTGTTTGTAAAGTCTGCAAGTGGATATTCAGACCCCTTTGAGGCCTTCGTTGGAAACGGGATTTCTTCATATTATGCTAGACAGAAGAATTCTCAGTAACTTCCTTGTGTTGTGTGTATTCAACTCACAGAGTTGAAGGATCCTTTACACAGAGCAGACTTGTAACACTCTTTTTGTGTAATTTGCAAGTGGAGATTTCAGCCGCTTTGAGGTCAATGGTAGAAAAGGAAATCTCTTCGTATAAAAACTAGACAGAATGATTCTCAGAAACTCCTTTGTGATGTGTGCCTTCAACTCACAGAGTTTAACCTTTCTTTTCATAGAGCAGTTAGGAAACACTCTGTTTGTAAAGTCTGCAAGTGGATATTCAGACCTCTTTGAGGCCTTCGTTGGAAACGGGATTTCTTCATACTGTGCTAGACAGAAGAATTCCCAGTAACTTCCTTGTGTTGTGTGTGTTCAACTCACAGAGTTGAACTTTCATTTACACAGAGCAGATTGGAAACACTCTTTTTGTGGAATTTGCAAGTGGAGATTTCAAGCGCTTTGAGGCCAAAGGCAGAAATGGAAATATCTTCGTATAAAAACTAGACAGAATCATTCTCAGAAACTGCTCTGCGATGTGTGCGTTCAACTCTCAGAGTTTAACTTTTCTTTTCATTCAGCAGTTTGGAAACACTCTGTTTGTAAAGTCTGCACATGGATATTTTGACCACTTAGAGGCCTTCGTTGGAAACGGGTTTCTTTCCTGTAAGGCTAGACAGAAGAATTCCCAGTAACTTCCTTGTGTTGTGTACATTCAACTCACAGAGTTGAACGTTCCCTTAGACACAGCAGATTTGAAACACTCTTTTTGTGCAATTGGCAAGTGGAGATTTCAAGCGCTTTAAGGTCAATGGCAGTAAAAGAAATATCTTCGTTTCAAAACTAGACAGAATCATTCCCACAAACTGCGTTGTGATGTGTTCGTTCAACTCACAGAGTTTAACCTTTCTGTTCATAGAGCAGTTAGGAAACACTCTGTTTGTAAAGTCTGCAAGTGGATATTCTGACATCTTGTGGCCTTCGTTGGAAATGGGATTTCTTCATATTCTGCTAGACAGAAGAATTCTCAGTAACTTCCTTGTGTTGTGTGTATTCAACTCACAGAATTGAACGATCCTTTACACAGAGCAGACTTGAAACACTCTTTTTGTGGAATTTGCAATTGTAGATTTCAGCCGCTTTGAGGTCAATGGTAGAAAAGGAAATATCTTCGTATAGAAACAAGACAGAATGATTCTCAGAAACTCCTTTGTGATGTGTGTGTTCAACTCACAGAGTTTAACCTTTCTTTTCATAGAGCAGTTAGTAAACACTCTGTTTATAAAGTCTGCAAGTGGATATTCAGACCCCTTTGAGTCCTTCGTTGGAAACGGGATTTCTTCATATTATGCTAGACAGAAGAATTCCCAGTAACTTCCTTGTGTTGTGTGTGTTCAACTCACAGAGTTGAACTTTCATTTACACAGAGCAGATTTGAAACACTCTTTTTGTGGAATTTGCAAGTGGAGATTTCATGCGCTTTGAGGCCAAAGGCAGAAAAGGAAATATCTTCGTTTCAAAACTAGACAGAATCATTCTCAGAAACTGCTGCGTGATGTGTGCGTTCAACTCTCAGAGTTTAACTTTTCTTTTCATTCAGCGGTTTGGAAACACTCTGTTTGTAAAGTCTGCACGTGGAAATTTTGACCACTTAGCGGCCTTCGTTGGAAACGGGATTTTTTCATGTAAGGCTAGACAGAAGAATTCTCAGTAACTTCCTTGTGTTGTGTGTATTCAACTCACAGAGTTGAACGATCCTTTACACAGAGCAGACTTGAAACACTCTTTTTGTGGAATTTGCAAGTGGGGATTTCAGCCGCTTTGAGGTCAATGGTAGAAAAGGAAATATCTTCGTATAAAGACTAGACAGAATGATTCGCAGAAACTCCTTTGTGATGTGTGCGTTCAACTCACAGAGTTTAACCTTTCTTTTCATAGAGCAGTTAGGAAACACTCTGTTTGTAAAGTCTGCAAGTGGATATTCAGACCTCCTTGAGGCCTTCTTTGGAAACGGGATTTCTTCATATTCTGCTAGACAGAAGAATTCTCAGCAACTTCCTTGTGTTGTGTGTATTCAACTCACAGAGTTGAACGATCCTTTACACAGAGCAGACTTGAAACACTCTTTTTGTGGAATTTGCAAGTGGAGATTTCAGCCGCTTTGTGGTCAATGGTAGAAAAGGAAACTATCTTCGTATAAAGACTAGACAGAATGATTCTCAGAAACTCCTTTGTGATGTGTGCGTTCAAATCACAGAGTTTAACTTTTCTTTTCATAGAGCAGTTAGGAAACCCTCTGTTTGTAAAGTCTGCAAGTGGATATTCAGACCTCTTTGAGGCCTTCGTTGGAAACGGGATTTCTTCATATTATGCTAGACAGAAGAATTCTCAGTAACTTCCTTGTGTTGTGTATATTCAACTCACAGAGTTGAATGATCCTTTACACAGAGCAGACTTGAAACTCTCTTTTTGTGGAATTTGCAAGTGGAGATTTCAGCCGCTTTGAGGTCAATGGTAGAAAAGCAAATATCTTCGTATAAAGACTAGACAGAATGATTCTCAGAAACTCCTTTGTGATGTGTGCGTTCAACTCACAGAGTTTAACCTTTCTTTTCATAGAGCAGTTAGGAAACACTCTGTTTCTAAAGTCTGCAAGTGGATATTCAGACCTCCTTGAGGCATTCGTTGGAAACGGGATTTCTTCATATTATGCTAGACAGAAGAATTCTCAGAAACTTCCTTGTGTTGTGTGTATTCAACTCACAGAGTTGAACGATCGTTTACACAGAGCAGACTTGAGACACACTTTTTGTGGAATTTGTAAGTGGAGATTTCAGCCGCTTTGAGGTCAATGGTAGAAAAGGAAATATCTTCATATAAAAACTAGACAGAATGATTCTCATAACTCCTTTGTGATGTGTGCGTTCAACTCACAGAGTTCAACCTCTCTTTTCATAGAGCAGTTGGGAAACACTCTGTTTGTAAAGTCTGCAAGTGGATATTCAGACTTCTTTGAGGCCTTCGTTGGAAACGGGATTTCTTCATATTATGCTAGACAGAAGAATTCTCAGTAACTTCCTTGTGTTGTGTTTATTCAACACACAGAGTTGAATGATCCTTTACACAGAGCAGACTTGAAACACTCTTTTTGTGGAATTTGCAAGTGGAGATTTCAGCCGCTTTGAGGTCAATGGTAGAATAGGAAATATCTTCTTATAGAAACTAGACAAAACGATTCTCAGAAACTCCTTTGTGATGTGTGCGTTCAACTCACAGAGTTTGACCTTTCTTTTCATAGAGCAGTTAGGAAACACTCTGTTTGTAAAGTCTGCAAGTGGATATTCAGACCTCTTTGAGGCCTTCGTTGGAAACGGGATTTCTTCATATTCTGCTAGACAGAATAATTCTCAGTAACTTCCTTGTGTTGTGTGTATTCAACTCACAGATATGAAGGATCCTTTACAGAGAGCAGGCTTGAAACACTCTTTTTGTCGAATTTGCAAGTGGAGATTTCAGCCGCTTTGAGGTCAATGGTAGAATAGGAAATATCTTCTTATAGAAACTAGACAGAATGATTCTCAGAAACTTCTTTGTGATGTGTGCGTTCAACTCACAGAGTTTAACCTTTCTTTTCATAGAGCAGTTAGGAAACACTCTGTTTGTAAACTCTGCAAGTGGATATTCGGACCTCTTTGAGGCCTTCGTTGGAAACGGGATTTCTTCATACTGTGCTAGACAGAAGAATTCCCAGTAACTTCCTTGTGTTGTGTGTGTTCAACTCACAGAGTTGAACTTCCATTTACACAGAGCAGATTTGAAACACTCTTTTTGTGGAATTTGCAAGTGGAGATTTCAAGCGCTTTGAGGCCAAAGGCAGAAAAGGAAATATCTTCGTTTCAAAACTAGACATAATCATTCTCAGAAACTGCTCTGCGATGTGTGCTTTCAACTCTCAGAGTTTAACTTTTCTTTTCATTCAGAAGTTTGGAAACACTCTGTTTGTAAAGTCTGCACGTGGATAATTTGACCACTTAGAGGTCTTCGTTGGAAACGGGTTTTTTTCATGTAAGGCTAGACAGAAGAATTCCCAGTAACTTCGTTGTGTTTTATGCATTCAACTCACAGAGTTGAACGTTCCCTTAGACAGAGCAGATTTGAAACACTCTCTTTGTGCAATTTGCAAGTGTAGATTTCAAGCGCTTTAAGGTCAGTGGCAGAAAAGGAAATATCTTCGTTTCAAAACTAGACAGAATCATTCCCACAAACTGCGTTGTGATGTGTTCGTTCAACTCACAGAGTTTAACTTTTCTGTTCATAGAGCAGTTAGGAAACACTCTGTTTGTAAAGTCTGCAAGTGGATATTCAGACCTCCTTGAGGCCTTCGTTGGAAACGGGATTTCTTCATATTCTGCTAGACAGAAGAATTCTCAGTAACTTCCTTGTGTTGTGTGTATTCAACTCACAGAGTTGAACGATCCTTTACACACAGCAGACTTGAAACACTCTTTTTGTGGAATTTGCAAGTGGAGATTTCAGCCGCTTTGAGGTCAATGGTAGAAAAGGAAACTATCTTCATATAAAGACTAGACAGAATGATTCTCAGAAACTCCTTTGTGATGTGTGTGTCCAACTCACAGAGTTTAACCTTTCTTTTCATAGAGCAGTTAGGAAACACTCTGTTTGTAAAGTCTGCAAGAGGATATTCAGACCTCTTTGAGGCCTTCGGTGGAAACGGGTTTTTTTCATATAAGGCTAGACAGAATAATTCTCAGTAACTTCCTTGTGTTGTGTGTATCCAACTCACAGAGTTGAAGGATCCTTTACAGGGAGCAGGCTTGAAACACTCTTTTTGTCGAATTTGCAAGTGGAGATTTCAGCCGCTTTGAGGTCAATGGTAGAATAGGAAATATCTTCTTATAGAAACTAGACAGAATGATTCTCAGAAACTCCTTTGTGATGTGTGCGTTCAACTCACAGAGTTCAACCTTTCTTTTCATAGAGCAGTTAGGAAACACTCTGTTTGTAAAGTCTGCAAGTGGATATTCAGACATCTTTGAGGCTTTCGTTGGAAACGGGATTTCTTCATATTCTGCTAGAAAGAAGAATTCTCAGAATCTTCCTTGTGTTGTGTGTATTCAACTCACAGAGTTGAACGATCCTTCACACAGAGCAGACTTGAAACACTCTTTTTGTGGAATTTGCAAGTGGAGATTTCAGCCACTTTGAGGTCCATGGTAGAAAAGGAAATATCTTCGTATAAAAACTAGACAGAATAATTATCAGAAAATCCTTTGTGATGTGTGCGTTCAACTCACAGAGTTTAACTTTTCTTTTCATAGAGCAGTTAGGAAACACTCTGTTTGTAAAGTCTGCAAGTGGATATTCAGACCTCCTTGAGGCCTTCGTTGGAAACGGGATTTCTTCATATTCTGCTAGACAGAAGAATTCTCAGTAACTTCCTTGTGTTGTGTGTATTCAACTCACAGAGTTGAACGATCCTTTACACAGAGCAGACTTGAAACACTCTGTTTGTGAAATTTGCAAGTGGAGATTTCAGCCGCTTTGAGGTCAATAGTAGAAAAGGAAATATCTTCGTAGAAAAACTAGACAGAATGATTCTCAGAAACTCCTTTGTGATGTGTGTGTTCAACTCACAGAGTTTAACCTTTCTTTTCATAGAGCAGTTCGTAAACACTCTGTTTGTAAAGTCTGCAAGTGGATATTCAGACCCCTTTGAGGCCTTCTTTGGAAACGGGATTTCTTCATATTATGCTAGACAGAAGATTTCCCAGTAACTTCCTTGTGTTGTGTGTGTTCAACTCACAGAGTTGAACTTTCATTTACAGAGAGCAGATATGAAACACTCTTTTTGTGGAATTTGCAAATGGAGATTTCAAGCGCTTTGAGGCCAAAGGCAGAAAAGGAAATATCTTCGTATAAAAACTAGACAGAATCATTCTCAGAAAATCCTCTGTGATGTGTGCGTTCAACTCTCAGAGTTTAACATTTCTTTTCATTCAGCAGTTTGAAAACACTCTGTTTGTAAAGTCTGCACGTGGATATTTTGACCACTTAGAGGCCTTCTTTGGAAACGGGTTTTTTTCATGTAAGTGTAGACAGAAGAATTCCCAGTAACTTCCTTGTGTTGTGTGCATTCAACTCACAGAGTTGAACGTTCCCTTAGACAGAGCAGATTTGAAACACTCTTTTTGTGCAATTTGCAAGTGGAGATTTCAAGCGCTTTAGGGTCAATGGCAGAAAAGGAAATATCTTCGTTTCAAAACTAGACAGAATGATTCTCAGGAACTCCTTTGTGATGTGTGCGTTCAACTCACAGAGTTTAACCTTTCTTTTCATAGAGCAGTTAGGAAACACTCTGTTTGTAAAGTCTGCAAGTGGATATTCAGACCTCCTTGAGGCCTTCGTTGGAAACGGGATTTCTTCATATTCTGCTAGACAGAAGAATTCTCAGTAACTTCCTTGTGTTGTGTGTATTCAACTCACAGAGTTGAACGATCCTGTACACAGAGCAGACTTGAAACACTCTTTTTGTGGAATTTGCAAGTGGAGATTTCAGCCGCTTTGAGGTCAATGGTAGAATAGGAAATATCTTCCTATAGAAACTAGACAGAATGATTCTCAGAAACTCCTTTGTGATGTGTGCGTTCAACTCACAGAGTTTAACCTTTCTTTTCATAGAGCAGTTAGGAAACACTCTGTTTGTAAAGTCTGCAAGTGGATATTCAGACCTCCTTGAGGCCTTCGTTGGAAACGAGATTTCTTCATATTATGCTAGACAGAAGAATTCTCAGTAACTTCCTTGTGTTGTGTGTATTCAACTCACAGAGTTGAACGATCCTTTACACAGAGCAGACTTGAAACACTCTTCTTGTGGAATTTGCAAGTGGAGATTTCAGCCGCTTTGAGGTCAATGGTAGAATAGGAAATATCTTCGTATAAAAACTAGACAGAATGATTCTCAGAAACTCCTTTGTGATGTGTGCGTTCAACTCACAGAGTTTAACTTTTCTTTTCATAGATCAGTTAGGAAACACTCTGTTTGTAAAGTCTGCAAGTGGATATTCAGACCTCTTTGAGGCCTTCGTTGGAAACGGGATTTCTTCATATTCTGCTAGACAGAAGAATTCTCAGAATCTTCCTTGTGTTGTGTGTATTCAACTCACAGAGTTGAACGATCCTTTACACAGAGCAGACTTGAAACACTCTTTTTGTGGAATTTGCAAGTGGAGATTTCAGCTGCTTTGACGTCCATGGTAGAAAAGGAAATATCTTCGTATAAAAACTAGACAGAATGATTCTGAGAAACTCCTTTGTGATGTGTGCATTCAACTCACAAAGTTTATCCTTTCTTTTCATAGAGCAGTTAGGAAACACTCTGTTTGTAAAGTCTGCAAGTGGATATTCAGACCTCCTTGAGGCCTTCGTTGGAAACGGGATTTCTTCATATTCTGCTAGACAGAAGAATTCTCAGTAACTTCCTTGTGTTGTGTGTTTTCAACTCACAGAGTTGAACGATCCTTTACACAGAGCAGACTTGAAACACTCTTTTTGTGGAATTTGCAAGTGGAGATTTCAGCCGCTTTGAGGTCAATGGTAGAATAGGAAATATCTTCCTACAGAAACTAGACAGAATGATTCTCAGAAACTCCTTTGTGATGTGTGCGTTCAACTCACACAGTTTAACCTTTCTTTTCATAGAGCAGTTAGTAAACACTCTGTTTGTAAAGTCTGCAAGTGGATATTCAGACCTCCTTGAGGCCTTCGTTGGAAACGGGATTTCTTCATATTATGCTAGACAGAAGAATTCCCAGTAACTTCCTTGTGTTGTGTGTGTTCAACTCACAGAGTTGAACTTTCATTTACACAGAGCAGATTTGAAACACTCTTTTTGTGGAATTTGCAAATGGAGATTTCAAGCGCTTTGAGGCCAAAGGCAGAAAATGAAATATCGTCGTATAAAAACTAGACAGAATCATTCTCAGAAACTGCTCTGCGATGTGTGCGTTCAACTCTCAGAGTTTAACTTTTCTTTTCATTCAGCAGTTTGGAAACACTCTGTTTGTAAAGTCTGCGCGTGGATAATTTGACCACTTAGAGGCCTTCGTTGGAAACGGGTTTTTTTCATGTAAGGCTAGACAGAAGAATTCTCAGTAACTTCCTTGTGTTGTGTGTATTCAACTCTCAGAGTTGAACGATCCTTTACAGAGAGCAGACTTTAAACACTCTTTTTGTGGAATTTGCAAGTGGAGATTTCAGCCGCTTTGAGGTCAATGGTAGAAAAGGAAATATCTTCGTATAAAGACTAGACAGAATGATTCGCAGAAACTCATTTGTGATGTGTGTGTTCAACTCACAGAGTTTAACCTTTCTTTTCATAGAGCAGTTAGGAAACACTCTGTTTGTAAAGTCTGCAAGTGGATATTCAGACCTCTTTGAGGCCTTCGTTGGAAACGGGTTTTTTTCATATAAGGCTAGACAGAAGAATTCTCGGTAACTTCCTTGTGTTGTGTGTATTCAACTGACAGAGTTGAACTTTCATTTAGAGAGATCAGATTTGAAACACTGTTTTTGTGGAATTTGCAAGTGGAGATTTCAAACGCTTAGGGGCCAAACGCAGAAAAGGAAATATATTCGTATAAAAACTAGACAGAATGATTCTCAGAAACTCCTTTGTGATGTGTGCGTTCAACTCACAGAGTTTAACCTTTCTGTTCATAGAGCAGTTAGGAAACACTCTGTTTGTAAAGTCTGCAAGTGGATATTCAGACCTCCTTGAGGCCTTCGTTGGAAACGGGGTTTCTTCATATTCTGCTGGAGAGAAGAATTCTCAGCAACTTCCTTGTGTTGTGTGTATTCAACTCACAGAGTTGAACGATCCTTTACACAGAGCAGACTTGAAACACTCTTTTTGTGGAATTTGCAAGTGGAGATTTCAGGCGCTTTGAGGTCAATGGTAGAAAAGGAAACTATCTTCGTATAAAGACTAGACAGAATGATTCTCAGAAAATCCTTTGTGATGTGTGCGTTCAAATCTCAGAGTTTAACTTTTCTTTTCATAGAGCAGTTAGGAAACACTCTGTTTGTAAAGTCTGCAAGTGGATATTCAGACCTCTTTGAGGCCTTCGTTGGAAACGGGATTTCTTCATATTATGCTAGACAGAAGAATTCTCAGTAACTTCCTTGTATTGTGTGTATTCAACTGACAGAGTTGAACTTTCATTTAGAGAGAGCAGATTTGTAACACTCTTTTTGTGGAATTTGCAAGTGGAGATTTCAAGCGCTTTGCGGTCAATGGCAGAAAACGAAATATCATCGTATAAAAACTAGACAGAATCATTCTCAGAAACTGCTCTGCGATGTGTGCGTTCAACTCTCAGAGTTTAACTTTTGTTTTCATTCAGCAGTTTGGAAACACTCTGTTTGTAAAGTCTGCACGTGGATATTTTGACCACTTAGAGGCCTTCGTTGGAAACGGGTTTTTATCCTGTAAGGCTAGACAGAAGAATTCTCAGTAACTTCCTTGTGTTGTGTGTATTCAACTCACAGAGTTCAACGATGCTTTGCACAGAGGAGACTTGAAACACACTTTTTGTTGAATTTGCAAGTGGAGATTTCAGCCGCTTTGAGGTCAATGGTAGAATAGGAAATATCTTCCTATAGAAACTAGACAGAATGATTCTCAGAAACTCCTTTGTGATGTGTGCGCTCAACTCACAGAGTTTAACCTTTCTTTTCATAGAGCAGTTAGGAAACACTCTGTTTGTAAAGTCTGCAAGTGGATATTCAGACCTCTTTGAGGCCTTCGTTGGAAACGGGATTTCTTCATATTCTGCTAAACAGAAGAATTCTCAGTAACTTCCTTGTGTTGTGTGTATTCAACTCACAGAGTTGAACGATCCTTTACACAAAGCAGACTTGAAACACTCTTTTTGTGGAATTTGCAAGTGGAGATTTCAGCCGCTTTGAGGTCAATGTTAGAATAGGAAATATCTTCCTATAGAAACTAGACAGAAATGATTCTCAGAAACTCCTTTGTGATGTGTGCGTTCAACTCACAGAGTTTAACCTTTCTTTTCATAGAGTAGTTAGGAAACACTCTGTTTGTAATGTCTGCCAGTGGATATTCAGACCTCTTTGAGGCCATCGTTGGAAACGGGATTTCTTCATATTATGCTAGACAGAAGAATTCCCAGTAACTTCCTTGTGTTGTGTGTGTTCAACTCACAGAGTTGAACTTTCATTTACACAGAGCAGATTTGAAACACTCTTTTTGTGGAATTTGCAAGTGGAGATTTCACGCGCTGTGAGGCCAAAGGCAGAAAAGGAAATATCTTCGTATAAAAACTAGACAGAATCATTCTCAGAAACTGCTCTGCGATGTGTGCGTTCAACTCTCAGAGTTTAACTTTTCTTTTCATTCAGCAGTTTAGAAACACTCTGTTTGTAAAGTCTGCACGTGGATATTTTGACCATTTAGAGGCTTTCGTTGGAAACGGGTTTTTTTCTTGTAAGGCTAGACAGAAGAATTCCCAGGAACTTCCTTGTGTTGTGTACATTCAACTCACAGAGTTGAACGTTCCCTTAGACAGAGCAGATTTGAAACACTCTTTTTGTGCAATTGGCAAGTGGTGATTTCAGCCGCTTTGAGGTCAATGGTAGAAAAGGAAATATCTTCGTATAAAAACTAGACAGAATGATTCTCAGAAACTTCATTGTGACGTGTGCGTTCAACTCACAGAGTTTATCCTTTCTTTTCATAGAGCAGTTAGGAAACACTCTGTTTGTAAAGTCTGCAAGTGGATATTCAGACCTCTTTGAGGCCTTCGTTGGAAACGGGATTTCTTCATACTGTGCTAGACAGAAGAATTCTCAGTAACTGCCTTGTGTTGTGTGTATTCAACTCACAGAGTTGAACGATCCTTTACACAGAGCAGACTTGAAACACTCCTTTTGTGGAATTTGCAATTGGAGATTTCAGCCGCTTTGAGGTCAATGGTAGAATAGGAAATATCTTCCTATAGAAACTAGACAGAATGATTCTCAGAAACTCCTTTGTGATGTGTGTGTTCAACTCACAGAGTTTAACCTTTCTTTTCATAGAGCAGTTAGTAAACACTCTGTTTATAAATCTGCATGTGGATATTCAGATCTCTTTGAGGCCTTCGTTGGAAACGGGATTTCTTCATATTATGCTAGACAGAAGAATTCTCAGTAACTTCCTTGTGTTGTGTGTATTCAACTGACAGAGTTGAACTTTCATTTACAGAGAGCAGATTTGAAACACTGCTTTGTGGAATTTGCAAGTGGAGATTTCAAGCGCTTTGGGGCCAAAGGCAGAAAAGGAAATATCTTCGTATAAAAACTAGACAGAATGATTCTCAGAAACTCCTTTGTGACGTGTGCGTTCAACTCACAGAGTTTAACTTTTCTTTTCATAGAGCAGTTAGGAAACACTCTGTTTGTAAAGTCTGCAAGTGGATATTCAGACCTCTTTGAGGCCTTCGTTGGAAACGGGATTTCTTCATATTCTGCTAGACAGAAGAATTCTCCCTAACTTCCTTGTGTTGTGTGTATTCAACTCACAGAGTTGAACGATCCTTTACACAGAGCAGACTTGAAACACACTTTTTGTGGAATTTGCAATTGGAGATTTCAGCCGCGTTGAGGTCAATGGTAGAAAAGGAAATATCTTCGTATAAAAACTAGACAGAATCATTCTCAGAAACTTCTTTGTGATGTATGCGTTCAACTCACAGAGTTTAACCTTCCTTTTCATAGAGCAGTTAGGAAACCCTCTGTTTGTAAACTCTGCAAGTGGATATTCAGACCTCTTTGAGGCCTTCGTTGGAAACGGGATTTCTTCATACTATGCTAGACAGAAGAATTCCCAGTAACTTCCTTGTGTTGTGTGCGTTCAACTCACAGAGTTGAACTTTGATTTACACAGAGCAGATTTGAAACACTCTTTTTGTGGAATTTGCAAGTGGAGATTTCAAGCGCTTTGAGGCCAAAGGCAGAAAAGGAAATATCTTCGTATAAAAACTAGACAGAATCATTCTCAGAAACTGCTGCTTGATGTTTGCGTTCAACTCTCAGAGTTTAACTTTTCTTTTCATTCAGCGGTTTGGAAACACTCTGTTTGTAAAGTCTGCACGTGGATATTTTGACCACTTAGAGGCCTTCGTTGGAAACGGGTTTTTTTCATGTAAGGCTAGACAGAAGAATTCCCAGTAACTTCCTTGTGTTGTGTACATTCAACTCACAGAGTTGAACGTTCCCTTAGACAGAGCAGATTTGAAACACTCTTTTTGTGCAATTGGCAAGTGGAGATTTCAAGAGTTTTAAGGTCAATGGCAGAAAAGGAAATATCTGCGTTTCAAAACTAGACAGAATCATTCCCACAGACTGCGTTGTGATGTGTTCGTTCAAATCACAGAGTTTAACCTTTCTTTTCATAGAGCAGTTAGGAAACAGTCTGTTTGTAAATTCTGTAAGTGGATTTTCTGACAACTTGTGGCCTTCGTTGGAAACGGGATTTCTTCATATTCTGCTAGACAGAAGAATTCTCAGTAACTTCCTTGTGTTGTGTGTATTCAACTCACAGAGTTGAACGATCCTTTACACAGAGCAGACTTGAAACACTCTTTTTGTGGAATTTGCAAGTGGAGATTTCAGCCGCTTTGAGGTCAAAGGTAGAATAGGTAATATCTTCCTATAGAAACTAGACAGAATGATTCTCAGAAACTCCTTTGTGATGTGTGCGTTCAACTCACAGAGTTTAACCTTTCTGTTCACAGAGCAGTTAGGAAACACTCTGTTTGTAAAGTCTGCAAGTGGATATTCAGACCTCCTTGAGGCCTTCGTTGGAAACGGGATTTCTTCGTATTCTGCTAGACAGAAGAATTCTCAGTAACTTCCTTGTGTTGTGTGTATTCAACTGACAGAGTTGAACGATCCTTTACACAGAGCAGACTTGAAACACTCTTTTTGTGGAATTTGCAAGTGGAGATTTCAGCCGCTTTGAGGTCAATGGTAGAAAAGGAAATATCTTCGTATAAAGACTAGACAGAATCATTCTCAGAAACTGCTCTGCGATGTGTGCGTTCAACTCTCAGAGTTTAACTTTTCTTTTCATTCAGCAGTTTGGAAACACTCTGTTTGTAAAGTCTGCACGTGGATATTTTGACCATTTAGAGGCCTTCGTTGGAAACGGGTTTTTTTCTTGTAAGGCTAGACAGAAGAATTCCCAGGAACTTCCTTTTGTTGTGTACATTCAACTCACAGAGTTGAACGTTCCCTTAGACAGAGCAGATTTGAAACACTCTTTTTGTGCAATTGGCAAGTGGTGATTTCAGCCGCTTTGAGGTCAATGGTAGAAAAGGAAATATCTTCGTATAAAAACTAGACAGAATGATTCTCAGAAACTCCTTTGTGATGTGTGTGTTCAACTCACAGAGTTTAACCTTTCTTTTCATAGAGCAGTTAGGAAACACTCTGTTTGTAAAGTCTGCAAGTGGATATTCAGACCTCTTTGAGGCCTTCGTTGGAAACGGGTTTTTTTCATATTAGGCTAGACAGAAGAATTCCCAGTAACTTCCTTGTGTTGTGTGTGTTCAACTCACAGAGTTGAACTTCATTTAAACAGAGCAGATTTGAAACACTCTTTTTGTGGAATTTGCAAGTGGAGATTTCAAGCGCTTTGAGGCCAAAGGCAGAAAAGGAAATATCTTCGTAAAAAAATAGAAAGAATCATTCTCAGAAACTGCTCTGCGATGTGTGCGTTCAACTCTCAGAGTTTGACTTTTCTTTTCATTCAGCAGTTTGGAAACACTCTGTTTGTAAAGTCTGCACGTGGAAAATTTGACCACTTAGAGGCCTTCATTGGAAACGGGTTTTTTTCATGTAAGGCTAGACAGAAGAATTCTCAGTAACTTCCTTGTGTTGTGTGTATTGAACTCACAGAGTTGAACGATCCTTTACACAGAGCAGACTTGTAACACTCTTTTTGTGGAATTTGCAAGTGGAGATTTCAGCCACTTTGAAGTCAAAGGTAGAAAAGGAAATATCTTCCTATAAAAACTAGACAGAATCATTCCAAGAAACTGCGTTGTCATGTGTTCGTTCAACTCACAGAGTTTAACCTTTCTGTTCATAGAGCAGTTAGGAAACACTCTGTAAAGTTTGTAAGTGGATATTCTGACATCTTGTGGCCTTCGTTGGAAACGGGATTTCTTCATATTCTGCTAGACAGAAGAATTCTCAGTAACTTCCTTGTGTTGTGTGTATTCAACTCACAGAGTTGAACGATCCTTTACACAGAGCAGACTTGAAACACTCATTTTGTGGAATTTGCAAGTGGAGATTTCAGCCGCTTTGAGGTCAATGGTAGAAAAGGAAACTATCTTCATATAAAGACTAGACAGAATGATTCTGAGAAACTCCTTTGTGATGTGTGCATTCAACTCACAGAGTTTAACCTTTCTTTTCATAGAGCAGTTAGGAAACACTCTGTTTGTAAAGTCTGCAAGTGGATATTCAGACCTCCTTGAGGCCTTCGTTGGAAACGGGATTTCTTCATATTCTGCTAGACAGAATAATTCTCAGTAACTTCCTTGTGTTGTGTGTATTCAACTCACAGAGTTGAAGGATCCTTTACAGAGAGCAGGCTTGAAACACTCTTTTTGTCGAATTTGCAAGTGGAGATTTCAGCCGCTTTGAGGTCAATGGTAGAATAGGAAATATCTTCTTATAGAAAGTAGACAGAACGATTCTCAGAAACTCCTTTGTGATGTGTGCGATCAACTCACAGAGTTTAACCTTTCTTTTCATAGAGCAGTTAGGAAACACTCTGTTTGTAAAGTCTGCAAGTGGATATTCAGACCTCCTTGAGGCCTTCGTTGGAAACGGGATTTCTTCATATTCTGCTAGACAGAAGTATTCTCAGTAACTTCCTTGTGTTGTGTGTATTCAACTCACAGAGTTGAACGATCCTTTACAAAGAGCAGACTTGAAACACTCTTTTTGTGGAATTTGCAAGTGGAGATTTCAGCCGCTTTGAGGTCCATGGTAGAAAAGGTAATATCTTCCTATAAAGACTAGACAGAATGATTCTCAGAAACTCCTTTGTGATGTGTGCGTTCAACTCACAGAGTTTAACCTTTCTGTTCATAGAGCAGTTAGGAAACACTCTGTTTGTATAGTCTGCAAGTGGATATTCAGACCTCCTTGAGGCCTTCGTTGGAAACGGGATTTCTTCATATTCTGCTAGACAGAAGAATTCTCAGTAACTTCCGCGTGTTGTGTGTATTCAACTCAGAGAGTTGAACGATCCTTTACACAGAGCAGACTTGAAACACTCTTTTTGTGGAATTTGCAAGTGGAGATTTCTGCCGCTTTGAGGTCAATGGTAGAAAAGGAAATATCTTCCTATAAAAACTAGACAGAATGATTCTCATAAACTCCTTTGTGATGTGTGCATTCAACTCACTGAGTTTCACCTTTCTTTTCATAGAGCAGTTAGGAAACACTCTGTTTGTAAAGTCTGCAAGTGGATATTCAGACCTCCTTGAGGCCTTCGTTGGAAACGGGATTTCTTCATATTCTGCTAGACAGAAGAATTCTCAGTAACTTCCTTGTGTTGTGTGTATTCAACTCACAGAGTTGAACGATCCTTTACACAGAGCAGACTTGAAACACTCTTTTTGTGGAATTTGCAAGTGGAGATTTCAGCTGCTTTGAGGTCAATGGTAGAAAAGGAAATATCTTCGTATAAAGACTAGACAGAAATCATTCTCAGTAAACTGCTCTGCGATGTGTGCGTTCAACTCTCAGAGTTTAACTTTTCTTTTCATTCAGCAGTTTGGAAACACTCTGTTTGTAAAGTCTGCACGTGGATAACTTGACCACTTAGAGGACTTCGTTGGAAACGGGTTTTTTTCCTGTAAGGCTAGACAGAAGAATTCCCACTAACTTCCTTGTGTTGTGTACATTCAACTCACAGAGGTGAACGTTCCCTTAGACAGAGCAGATTTGAAACACTCTTTTTGTGCAATTGGCAAGTGGAGATTTCAAGCGCTTTAAGGTCAATGGTAGAAAAGGAAATATCTTCGTTTCAAAACTAGACAGAATGATTCTCAGAAACTCCTTTGTGATGTGTGCGTTCAACTCACAGAGTTTAACCTTTCTTTTCATAGAGCATTTGGGAAACGCTCTGTTTGTAAAGTCTGCAAGTGGATATTCAGACTTCTTTGAGGTCTTCGTTGGAAGCGGGATTTCTTCATATTCTGCTAGACAGAAGAATTCTCAGTAACTTCCTTGTGTTGTGTGTATTCAACTCACAGAGTTGAACGATCCTTTACACAGAGCAGACTTGAAACACTCTTTTTGTGGAATTTGCAAGTGGAGACTTCAGCCGCTTTGAGGTCAATGGTAGAATAGGAAATATCTTCCCATAGAAACTAGACAGAATGATTCTCAGAAACTCCTTTGTGATGTGTGCGTTCAACTCACAGAGTTTAACCTTCCTTTTCATAGAGCAGTTAGGAAACACTCTGTTTGTAAAGTCTGCAAGTGTATATTCAGACATCCTTGAGGCTTTCGTTGGAAACGGGATTTCTTCATATTCTGCTAGAAAGAAGAATTCCCAGTAACTTCCTTGTGTTGTGTGTGTTCAACTCACAGAGTTGAACTTTCATTTACACAGAGCAGATTTGAAACACTCTTTTTGTGGAATTTGCAAGTGGAGATTTCAAGCGCTTTGAGGCCAAAGGCAGAAAAGGAAATGTCTTCGTTTCAAAACTAGACAGAATCATTCTCAGAAACTGCTCTGCGATGTGTGCGTTCAACTCTCAGAGTTTAACTTTTCTTTTCATTCAGAAGTTTGGAAACACTCTGTTTGTAAAGTGTGCACGTGGATAACTTGAACACTTAGAGGCCTTCGTTGGAAACGGGTTTTTTTCATGTAAGGCTAGACAGAAGAATTCCCACTAACATCCTTGTGTTGTGTGTGTTCAACTCACAGAGTTGAACTTTCATTTACACAGAGCAGATTTGAAAGACTCTTTTTGTGCAATTTGCAAATGGAGATTTCAAGCGCTTTGAGGCCAAAGACAGAAAAGGAAATATCTTCGTTTCAAAACTAGACAGAATCATTCCCACAAACTGCGTTGTGATGTGTTCGTTCAACTCACAGAGTTTAACCTTTCTGTTCATAGAGCAGTTAGGAAACACTCTGTTTCTAAAGTCTGTAAGTGGATATTCTGACATCTTGTGGCCTTCGTTGGAAACGGGGTTTCTTCATATTCTGCTAGACAGAAGAATTCTCAGTAACTTCCTTGTGTTGTGTGTATTCAACTCACACCGTTGAACGATCCTTTATACAGAGCAGACTTGAAACACTGTTTTTGTGGAATTTACAAGTGGAGATTTCAGCCGATTTGAGGTCAATGGTAGAAAAGGAAATATCTTCCTATAGAAACTAGACAGAATGATTCTCAGAAACTCCTTTGGGATGTGTGTGTCCAACTCACAGAGTTTAACCTTTCTTTTCATAGAGCAGTTAGGAAACACTCTGTTTGTAAAGTCTGCAAGAGGATATTCAGACCTCTTTGAGGCCTTCGTTGGAAACGGGTTTTTTTCATATAAGGCTAGACAGAAGAATTCCCAGTAACTTCCTTGTGTTGTGTGTGTTCAACTCACAGAGTTGAACTTTCATTTACACAGAGCAGATTTGAAACACTCTTTTTGTGGAATTTGCAGGTGGAGATTTCAAGTGCTTTGAGGCCAAAGGCAGAAAAGGAAATATCTTCGTATAAAAACTAGACAGAATGATTCTCAGAAACTCCTTTGTGATGTGGGTGTTCAACTCACAGTGTTTAACCTTTCTTTTCATAGAGCAGTTTGGAAACACTCTGTTTGAAAAGTCTGCACGTGTATAATATGACCACTTAGAGGCCTTCGTTGGAAACGGGTTTTTTTTCATGTAAGGCTAGACAGAAGAATTCCCAGTAACTTCCTTGTGTTGTGTGCATTCAACTCACAGAGTTGAACGTTCCCTTAGACAGAGCAGATTTGAAACACTCTATTTGTGCAATTTGCAAGTGTAGTTTTCAAGCTCTTTAAGGTCAACAGCAGAAAAGGAAATATCTTCGTTTCAAAACTAGACAGAATCATTCCCACAAACTGCGTTGTGATGTGTTCGTTCAACTCACAGAGTTTAACCTTTCTTTTCATAGAGCAGTTAGGAAACAGTGGGTTTGTAAATTCTGTAAGTGGATATTCTGACATCTTGTGGCCTTCGTTGGAAACGGGATTTCTTCATATTCTGCTAGACAGAAGAATTCTCAGAAACTTCCTTGTGTTGTGTGTATTCAACTCACAGAGTTGAACGATCCTTTACACAGAGCAGACTTGAAACACTCTTTTTGTGGAATTTGCAAGTGGAGATTTCTGCCGCTTTGAGGTCAATGGTAGAATAGTAAATATCTTCCTATAGAAACTAGACAGAATGGTTCTGAGAAATCCTTTGTGAGGTGTGCGTTCAACTCACAGAGTTTAACCTTTCTTTTCATAGAGCAGTTAGGAAACACTCTGTTTTTAAAGTCTTCAAGTGGATATTCAGACCTCCTTGAGGCCTTCGTTGGAAACGGGATTTCTTCATATTATGCTAGACAGAAGAATTCTCAGTAACTTCCTTGTGTTGTGTGTATTCAACTCACAGAGTTGAACGATCCTTTACACAGAGCAGACTTGAAACACTCTTTTTGTGGAATTTGCAAGTGGAGATTTCAGCCGCTTTGAGGTCAATAGTAGAAAAGGAAATATCTTCATAGAAAAACTAGACAGAATGATTCTCAGAAACTCCTTTGTGCTGTGTGCGTTCAGCTCACAGAGTTTAACCTTTCTTTTCATAGAGTAGTTAGGAAACACTCTGTTTGTAAAGTCTGCAAGTGGATATTCAGACATCTTTGAGGCCTTCGTTGGAAACGGGATTTCTTCATATTCTGCTAGACAGAAGAATTCTCAGTAACTTCCTTGTGTTGTGTGTATTCAACTGACAGAGTTGAACTTTCATTTAGAGAGAGCAGATTTGTAACACTGTTTTTGTGGAATTTGCAAGTGGAGATTTCAAGCGCTTTGGGGCCAAAGGCAGAAAAGGAAATATCGTCGTATAAAAACTAGACAGAATCATTCTCAGAAACTGCTGCGTGATGTGTGCGTTCAACTCTCAGAGTTTAACTTTTCTTTTCATTCAGCGGTTTGGAAACACTCTGTTTGTAAAGTCTGCACGTGGAAATTTTGACCACTTAGAGGCCTTCTTTGGAAACGGGTTTTTTTCATGTAAGGCTAGACAGAAGAATTCCCAGTAACTTCCTTGTGTTGTGTGCATTCAACTCACAGAGTTGAACGTTCCCTTAGACAGAGCAGATTTGAAACACTCTATTTGTGCAATTTGCAAGTGTAGTTTTCAAGCTCTTTAAGGTCAACGGCAGAAAAGGAAATATCTTCGTTTCAAAACTAGACAGAATGATTCTCAGAAACTCCTTTGTGATGTGTGTGTTCAACTCACAGAGTTTAACCTTTCTTTTCATAGAGCAGTTACTAAACACTCTGTTTATAAAGTCTGCAAGTGGATATTCAGACCCCTTTGAGGCCTTCGTTGGAAACGGGATTTCTTCATATTATGCTAGACAGAAGAATTCTCAGTAACTTCCTTGTGTTGTGTGTATTCAACTCACAGAGTTGAACGAACCTTTACACAGAGCAGACTTGAAACACTCTTTTTGTGGAATTTGCAAGTGGAGATTTCATCCCCTTTGAGGTCAATGGTAGAAAAGGAAATATCTTCGTATAAAAACTAGACAGAATGATTCTCATAAACTTCTTTGTGATGTGTGCGTTCAACTCACAGAGTTTAACCTTTCTTTTCATAGAGCAGTTAGGAAACACTCTGTTTGTAAACTCTGCAAGTGGATATTCAGACCTCTTTGAGGCCTTCGTTGGAAACGGGATTTCTCCATACTGTGCTAGACAGAAGAATTCCCAGTAACTTCCTTGTGTTGTGTGTGTTCAACTCACAGAGTTGAACTTTCATGTACACAGAGCAGATTTGAAACACTCTTTTTGTGGAATTTGCAAATGGAGATTTCAAGCGCTTTGAGGCCAAAGGCAGAAAAGGAAATATCTTCGTATAAAAACTAGACAGAAATCATTCTCAGAAACTGCTCTGCGATGTGTGCGTTCAACTCTCAGGAGTTTAACTTTTCTTTTCATTCAGCAGTTTGGAAACACTCTGTTTGTAAAGTCTGCACGTGGATATTTTGACCACTTAGAGGCCTTCGTTGGAAACGGGTTTTTTTCCTGTAAGGCTAGACAGAAGAATTCCCAGTAACTTCCTTGTGTTGTGTACATTCAACTCACAGAGTTGAACGTTCCCTTAGACAGAACAGATTTGAAACACTCTTTTTGTGCAATTGGCAAATGGAGATTTCAAGCGCTTTGAGGTCAATGGTAGAAAAGGAAATATCTTCGTTTCAAAACTAGACAGAATCATTCCCACAAACTGCGTTGTGATGTGTTCGTTCAACTCACAGAGTTTAACCTTTCTTTTCATAGAGTAGTTAGGAAACAGTCTGTTTGAAAATTCTGTAAGTAGATATTCTGACAGCTTGTGGCCTTCGTTGGAAACGGGATTTCTTCATATTCTGCTAGACAGACGAATTCTCAGTAACTTCCTTGTGTTGTGTGTATTCAACTCACAGAGTTGAACGATCCTTTACACAGAGCAGACTTGTAACACTCTTTTTGTGGAATTTGCAAGTGGAGATTTCAGCCCCTTTGAAGTCAAAGGTAGAAAAGGAAATATCTTCCTATAAAAACTAGACAGAATGATTCTCAGAAACTTCTTTTTGATGTGTGCGTTCAACTCACAGAGTTTAACCTTTCTTTTCATAGAGCAGTTAGGAAACACTCTGTTTGTAAACTCTGCAAGTGGATATTCAGACCTGTTTGAGGCCTTCGTTGGAAACGGGATTTCTTCATACTATGCTAGACAGAAGAATTCTCAGTAACTTCCTTGTGTTGTGTGTATTCAACTCACAGAGTTGAACGATCCTTTACACAGAGCGGACTTGAAACACACTTTTTGTGGAATTTGCAAGTGGAGATTTCAGCCGCGTTGAGGTCAATGGTAGAAAAGGAAATATCTTCGTTTCAAAACTAGACAGAATGATTCTCAGAAACTCCTTTGTGATGTGTGCGTTCAACTCACAGAGTTTCACTTTTCTTTTCATAGAGCAGTTAGGAAACACTCTGTTTGTAAAGTCTGCAAGTGGATATTCAGACCTCTTTGAGGCCTTCGGTGGAAACGGGATTTCTTCATATTATGCTAGACAGAAGAATTCCCAGTAACTTCCTTGTGTTGTGTGTGTTCAACTCACAGAGTTGAACTTTCATTTACACAGAGCAGATTTGAAACACTCTTTTCGTGAAATTTGCAAGTGGAGATTTCAAGCGCTTTGAGGCCAAAGGCAGAAAAGGAAATATCTTCGTATAAAAACTAGACAGAATAATTCTCAGAAACTGCTCTGTGATGTGTGCGTTCATCTCTCAGAGTTTAACTGTTCTTTTCATTCAGCAGTTTGGAAACACTCTGTTTGTAAAGTCTGCACGTGGATATTTTGACCACTTAGAGGCCTTCGTTGGAAACGGGTTTTTTTCATGTAAGGCTAGACAGAAGAATTCCCAGTAACTTCCTTGTGTTGTGTACATTCAACTCACAGAGTTGAACGTTCCCTTAGACAGAGCAGATTTGAAACACTCTTTTTGTGCAATTGGCAAGTGGAGATTTCAAGCGCTTTAAGGTCAATGGCAGAAAAGGAAATATCTTCGTTTCAAAGCTAGACAGTATGATTCTCAGAAACTTCTTTGTGATGTGTGCGTTCAACTCACAGAGTTTAACCTTTCTTTTCATAGAGCAGTTAGGAAACACTCTGTTTGTAAACTCTGCAAGTGGATATTAAGACCTCTTTGAGGCCTTCGTTGGAAACGGGATTTCTTCATACTGTGCTAGACAGAAGAATTCTCAGTAACTTCCTTGTGTTGTGTGTATTCAACTCACAGAGTTGAACGATCCTTTACACAGAGCGGAATTGAAACACTCTTTTTGTGAAACTTGCAAGTGGAGATTTCAGCCGCGTTGAGGTCAATGGTAGAAAAGGAAATCTCTTCGTATAAAAACTAGACAGAGTGATTCTCAGAAACTCCTTTGTGATGTCTGCGTTCAACTCACCGAGTTTAACCTTTCTTTTCATAGAGCAGTTAGGAAACACTCTGTTTGTAAAGTCTGCAAGTGGATATTCAGACCTCCTTGAGGCCTTCGTTGGAAACGGGATTTCTTCATATTCTGCTATACAGAAGAATTCCCAGTAACTTTCCTTGTGTTGTGTGTGTTCAACTCACAGAGTTGAACTTTCATTTACACAGAGCAGATTTGAAACACTCTTTTTGTGGAATTTGCAAGTGGAGATTTCAAGCGCTTTGAGGCCAAAGGCAGAAAAGGAAATATCTCCGTTTCAAAACTAGACAGAATCATTCTCAGAAACTGCTCTGCGATGTGTGCGTTCAACTCTCAGAGTTTAACTTTTCTTTTCATTCAGCAGTTTGGAAACACTCTGTTTGTAAAGTCTGCACGTGGATATTTTGACCATTTAGAGGCCTTCGTTGGAAACGGGTTTTTTTTCTTGTAAGGCTAGACAGAAGAATTCCCAGGAACTTCCTTGTGTTGTGTACATTCAACTCACAGAGTTGAACGTTCCCTTAGACAGAGCAGATTTGAAACACTCTTTTTGTGCAATTGGCAAGTGGTGATTTCAGCCGCTTTGAGGTCAATGGTAGAAAAGGAAATATCTTCGTATAAAAACTAGACAGAATCATTCCCACAAACTGCGTTGTGATGTGTTCGTTCAACTCACAGAGTTTAACCTTTCTGTTCATAGAGCAGTTAGGAAACACTCTGTTTGTAAAGTCTGCAAGTGGATATTCAGACCTCTTTGAGGCCTTCGTTGGAAACGGGATTTCTTCATATTCTGCTAGACAGAAGAATTCTCAGTAACTTCATTGTGTTGTGTGTATTCAACTCACAGATTTCAACGATCCTTTACACAGAGCAGACTTGAAACACTCTTTTTCTGGAATTTGCAAGTGGAGATTTCAGCCGCTTTGAGGTCAATGGTAGAATAGGAAATATCTTCCTATAGACACTAGACAGAATGATTCTCAGAAACTCCTTTATGATGTGTGCGTTCAACTCACAGAGTTTAACCTTTCTGTTCATAGAGCAGTTAGGAAACACTCTGTTTGTAAAGTCTGCAAGTGGATATTCAGACCTCCTTGAGGCCTTCGGTGGAAACGGGATTTCTTCATATTCTGCTAGACAGAAGAATTCTCAGTAACTTCCTTGTGTTGTGTGTATTCAACTCACAGAGTTGAACGATCCTTTACACAGAGCAGACTTGAAACACTCTTTTTGTGGAATTTGCAAGTGGAGATTTCAGCCGATTTGAGTTCAATGGTAGAATAGGAAATATCTTCCTATAGAAACTAGACAGAATGATTCTCAGAAACTCCTTTGTGATGTGTGCGTTCAACTCATAGAGTTTAACCTTTCTTTTCATAGAGCAGTTAGGAAACACTCTGTTTGTAAAGTCTGCAAGTGGATATTCAGACCTCTTTGAGGCCATCGTTGGAAACGGGATTTCTTCATATTCTGCTAGAGAGAAGAATTCTCAGTAACTTCCTTGTGTTGTGTGTATTCAACTCACAGAGTTGAACGATCCTTTACACAGAGCAGACTTGAAACTCTCTTTTTGTGGAATTTGCAAGTGGAGATTTCAGCCGCTTTGAGGTCAATAGTAGAAAAGTAAATATCTTCGTAGAAAAACTAGACAGAATGATTCTCAGAAACTCTTTTGTGATGTGGGCGTTCAACTCACAGAGTTTAACCATTCTTTTCATAGAGCAGTTAGGAAACACTCTGTTTGTAAAGTCTGCATGTGGATATTTGGACTTCTTTGAGGCCTTCGTTGGAAACGGGTTTTTTTCATGTAAGGCTAGACAGAAGAATTCTCAGTAACTTCCTTGTGTTTTGTGTATTCAACTCACAGAGTTGAACGATCCTTTACACAGAGCAGACTTGAAACACTCTTTTTGTGGAATTTGCAAGTGGATATTTCAGCCGCTTTGAGTTCAATGGTAGAATAGGAAATATCTTCCTATAGAAACTAGACAGAATGATTCTCAGAAACTCCTTTGTGATGTGTGCGTTCAACTCACAGATTTCAACCTTTCTTTTCATAGAGCAGTTGGGAAACACTCTGTTTGTAAAGTCTGCAAGTGGATATTCAGACTTCTTTGAGGCCTTCGTTGAAAGCGGGATTTCTTCATATTCTGCTAGACAGAAGAATTCTCAGTAACTTCCTTGTGTTGTGTGTATTCAACTCACAGAGTTGCACGATCGTTTACACAGAGCAGACTTGAAACACTCTTTTTGTGGAATTTGCAAGTGGAGATTTCAGCCGCTTTGAGGTCAATAGTAGAAAAGGAAATATCTTCGTAGAAAAACTACACAGAATGATTCTCAGAAACTCCTTTGTGATGTGGGTGTTCAACTCACAGAGTTTAACCTTTCTTTTCATAGAGCAGTTAGGAAACACTCTGTTTGTAAAGTCTGCAAGTGGATATTTTCACCTCTTTGAGGCCTTCATTGGAAACGGGTTTTTTTTCATGTAAGGCTAGACAGAAGAATTCTCAGTAACTTCCTTGTGTTGTGTGTATTCAACTGACAGAGTTGAACTTTCATTTAGACAGAGCAGATTTGAAACACTCTTTTTCTGGAATTTGCAAGTGGAGATTTCAAGCGCTTTGAGGCCAAAGGCAGAAAAGGAAATATCTTCGTATAAAAACTACACAGAATCATTCTCAGAAACTGCTCTGCGATGTGTGCGTTCAACTCTCAGAGTTTAACTTTTCTTTTCATTCAGCAGTTTGGAAACACTCTGTTTGTAAAGTCTGCACGTGGATATTTTGACCATTTAGAGGCCTTCGTTGGAAACGGGTTTTGTCCTTGTAAGCCTAGACAGAAGAATTCCCAGTAACTTCCTTGTGTTGTGTGCATTCAACTCACAGAGTTGAACGTTCCCTTAGACAGAGCAGATTTGAAACACTCTATTTGTGCAATTTGCAAGTGTAGTTTTCAAGCTCTTTAAGGTCAACGGCAGAAAAGGAAATATCTTGGTTTCAAAACTAGACAGAATGATTCTCAGAAACTCCTTTGTGATGTGTGCGTTCAACTCACAGAGTTTAACCTTACTGTTCATAGAGCAGTTAGGAAACACTCTGTTTGTAAAGTCTGCAAGTGGATATTCAGACCTCTTTGAGGCCTTCGTTGGAAACGGGATTTCTTCATATTATGCTAGACAGAAGAATTCTCAGTAACTTCCTTGTGTTGTGTGTATTCAACTCACAGAGTTGAACGATCCTTTACACAGAGCAGACTTGAAACACTCTTTTTGTGGAATTTGCAAGTGGAGATTTCAGCCGCTTTGAGTTCAATGGTAGAATAGGAATTATCTTCCTACAGAAACTAGACAGAATGATTCTCAGAAACTCCTTTGTGATGTGTGTGTTCAACTCACAGAGTTTAAGCTTTCTTTTCATAGAGCAGTTAGTAAACACTCTGTTTATAATGTCTGCAAGTGGATATTCAGACCCCTTTGACGCCTTCGTTTGAAACGGGATTTCTTCATATTATGCTAGACAGAAGAATTCTCAGTAACTTCCTTGTGTTGTGTGTATTCAACTGACAGAGTTGAACTTTCATTTAGAGAGAGCAGATTTGAAACACTGTTTTTGTGGAATTTGCAAGTGGAGATATCAAGCGCCTTGGGGCCAAAGGCAGAAAAGGAAATATCTTCGTATAAAAAGTAGACAGAATGATTCTCAGAAACTTCTTTGTGATGTGTGCGTTCAACTCACAGAGTTTAACCTTTCTTTTCATAGAGCAGTTAGGAAACACTCTGTTTGTAAACTATGCAAGTGGATATTCAGACCTCTTTGAGGCCTTCGTTGGATACGGGATTTCTTCATACTATGCTAGACAGAAGAATTCTCAGTAACTTCCCTTGTGTTGTGTGTATTCAACTCACAGAGTTGAACGATCCTTTACACAGAGCAGACTTGAAACATTCTTTTTGTGGAATTTGCAAGGGGAGATTTCAGCCGCTTTGAGGTCAATGGTAGAATAGGAAATATCTTCCTATAGAAACTAGACAGAATGATTTTCAGAAACTGCTTTGTGATGTGTGCGTTCAACTCACAGAGTTTCACCTTTCTTTTCATAGAGCAGTTAGGAAACACTCTGTTTGTAAAGTCTACAAGTGGATATTCAGACCTCTTTGAGGCCTTCGTTGGAAACGGGATTTCTTCATATTATGCTAGACAGAAGAATTCTCAGTAACTTCCTTGTGTTGTGTGTATTCAACTGACAGAGTTGAACTTTCATTTGGAGAGAGCAGATTTGAAACACTGTTTTTTTGGAATTTGCAAGTGGAGATTTCAAGCGCTTTGGGGCCAAAGGCAGAAAAGGAAATATCTTCGTATAAAAACTAGACAGAATCATTCTCAGAAACTGCTCTGTGATGTGTACGTTCAACTCTCAGCAGTTTAACTTTTCTTTTCATTCAGCAGTTTGGAAACACTCTGTTCGTAAAGTCTGCACGTGGATAATTTGACCACTTAGAGGCCTTCGTTGGAAACGGGTTTTTTTCATGTAAGGCTAGACAGAAGAATTCTCAGTAACTTCCTTGTGTTGTGTGTATTCAACTCACAGAATTGAACGATCCTTTACACAGAGCAGACTTGAAACACTCTTTTTGTGGAATTTGCAAGTGGAGATTTCAGCCGCTTTGAGGTCAATAGTAGAAAAGGAAATATCTTCGTAGAAAAACTAGACAGAATGATTCTCAGAAAATGTTTTGTGATGTGTGCGTTCAACTCACAGAGTTTAACTTTTCTTCTCATAGAGCAGTTAGGAAACACTCTGTTTGTAAAGTCTGCAAGTGGATATTGAGACCTCTTTGAGGCCTTCGTTGGAAACGGGATTTCTTCATATTATGCTAGACAGAAGAATTCTCAGTAACTTCCTTGTGTTGTGTGTATTCAACTGACAGAGTTGAACTTTCATTTAGAGAGAGCAGATTTGAAACACTGTTTTTGTGGAATTTGCAAGTGGAGATTTCAAGCGCTTTGAGGTCAATGGTAGAATAGGAAATATCTTCCTATAGAAACTAGACAGAATCATTCTCAGAAACTGCTGCGTGATGTGTGAGTTCAACTCTCAGAGTTTAACTTTTCTTTTCATTCAGCGGTTTGGAAACACTCTGTTTGTAAAGTCTGCACGTGGAAATTTTGACCACTTAGAGGCCTTCGTTGGAAACGGGTTTTCTTCATGTAAGGCTAGACAGAAGAATTCCCAGTAACTTCCTTGTGTTGTGTACATTCAACTCACAGAGTTGAACGTTCCCTTAGACAGAGCAGATTTGAAACACTCTTTTTGTGCAATTGGCTAGTGTTGATTTCAGCCGCTTTGAGGTCAATTGTATAAAAGGATATATCTTCATATAAAAACTAGACAGAATGATTCTCAGAAACTCCTTTGTGATGTGTGCGTTCAACTCACAGAGTTTAACCTTTCTTTCCATAGAGCAGTTAGGAAACACTCTGTTTGTAAAGTCTGCAAGTGGATATTCAGACCTCTTTGAGGCCTTCGTTGGAAACGGGTTTTTTTCTTATAAGGCTAGACAGAAGAATTCTCAGTAACTTCCTTGTGTTGTGTGTATTCAACTCACAGAGTTGAACGATCCTTTACACAGAGCAGACTTGAAACACTCTGTTTGTGGAATTTGCAAGTGGAGATTTCAGCCGCTTTGAGGTCAATAGTAGAAAAGGAAATATCTTCGTAGAAAAACTAGACAGAATGATTCTCAGAAACTCCTTTGTGATGTGTGCGTTCAACTCACAGAGTTTAAACTTTCTTTTCATAGAGCAGTTAGGAAACACTCTGTTTGTAAAGTCTGCAAGTGGATATTCAGACCTCTTTGAGGCCTTCGTTGGAAACGGGTTTTTTTCATATAAGGCTAGACAGAAGAATTCCCAGTAACTTCCTTGTGTTGTGTGTGTTCAACTCACAGAGTTGAACTTTCATTTACACAGAAAAGATTTGAAACACTCTTTTTGTGGAATTTGCAAGTGGAGATTTCAAGCGCTTTGAGGCCAAAGGCAGAAAAGGAAATATCTCCGTTTCAAAACTAGACAGAATCATTCTCAAAAACTGCTCTGCGATGTTTGCGTTCAACTCTCAGAGTTTAACTTTTCTTTTCATTCAGCAGTTTGGAAACACTCTGTTTGTAAAGTCTGCACGTGGATAACTTGACCACTTAGAGGACTTCGTTGGAAACGGGTTTTTTTCCTGTAAGGCTAGACAGAAGAATTCCCAGTAACTTCCTTGTGTTGTGTACATTCAACTCACAGAGTTGAACGTTCCCTTAGACAGAGCAGATTTGAAACACTCTTTTTGTGCAATTGGCAAATGGAGATTTCAAGCGCTTTAAGTTCAATGGCAGAAAAGGAAATATCTTCGTTTCAAAACTAGACAGAATCATTCTCAGAAACTGCTCTGCGATGTGTGCGTTCAACTCTCAGAGTTTAACTTTTCTTTTCATAGAGCAGTTAGGAAACAGTCTGTTTGTCAATTCTGTAAGTGGATATTCTGACATCTTGTGGCCTTCGTTGGAAACGGGATTTCTTCATATTCTGCTAGACAGAAGAATTCTCAGAATCTTCCTTGTGTTGTGTGTATTCAACTCACAGATTTGAACGATCCTTTACACAGAGCAGACTTGAAACACTCTTTTTGTGGAATTTGCAAGTGGAGATTTCAGCCGCTTTGAGGTCCATGGTAGAAAAGGAAATATCTTCGTATAAAAACTAGACAGAATGATTCTCAGAAACTCCTTTGTGATGTGTGCGTTCAACTCACAGAGTTTAACCTTTCTTTTCATAGAGCAGTTAGGAAACACTCTGTTTGTAAAGTCTGCAAGTTGATATTCAGACCTCTTTGAGGCCTTCGTTGGAAACGGGATTTCTTCATATTATGCTAGACAGAAGAATTCTCAGTAACTTCCTTGTGTTGTGTGTATTCAACTCACAGAGTTGAACGATCCTTTACACAGAGCAGACTTGAAACACTCTTTTTATGGAATTTGCAAGTGGAGATTTCAGCCGCTTTGAGGTCAATGGTAGAAAAGGAAATATCTTCGTATAAAAACTAGACAGAATGATTCTCATAAACTCCTTTGTGATGTGTGCGTTCAACTCACAGAGTTTAACCTTTCTTTTCATAGAGCAGTTAGGAAACACTCTCTTTGTGAAGTCTGCAAGTGGATATTCAGACCTCCTTGAGGCCTTCGTTGGAAACGGGATTTCTTCATATTCTGCTAGACAGAAGAATTCTCAGTAACTTCCTTGTGTTGTGTTTATTCAACTCACAGAGTTAATGATCCTTTACACAGAGCAGACTTGAAACACTCTTTTTGTGGCATTTGCAAGTGGAGATTTCAGCCGCTTTGAGGTCAATGGTAGAAAAGTAAATATCTTCGTATAAAGACTAGACAGAATCATTCTCAGAAACTGCTCTGCGATGTGTGCGTTCAACTCTCAGAGTTCAACTTTTCTTTTCATTCAGCAGTGTGGAAACACTCTGTTTGTAAAGTCTGCACGTGGATATTTTGACCACTTAGAGGCCTTTGTTGGAAACGGGTTTTTTTCCTGTAAGGCTAGACAGAAGTTTTCCCAGTAACTTCCTTGTGTTGTGTACATTCAACTCACAGAGTTGAACGTTCCCTTAGACAGAGCAGATTTGAAACACTCTTTTTGTGCAATTGGCAAATGGAGATTTCAAGCGCTTTAAGGTCAATGGCAGAAAAGGAAATATCTTCGTTTCAAAACTAGACAGAATCATTCCCACAAACTGCGTTGTGATGTGTTCGTTCAACTCACAGAGTTTAACCTTTCTGTTCATAGAGCAGTTAGGAAACACTCTGTTTGTAAAGTCTGTAAGTGGATATTCTGACATCTTGTGGCCTTCGTTGGAAACGGGATTTCTTCATATTATGGTAGACAGAAGAATTCTCAGTAACTTCCTTGTGTTGTGTGTATTCAACTCACAGAGTTAAACGATCCTTTACACAGAGCAGACTTGAAACACTCTTTTTGTGGAATTTGCAAGTGGAGATTTCAGCCGCTTTGAGGTCAATGGTAGAAAAGGAAACTATCTTCATATAAACACTAGACAGAATGATTCTCAGAAACTCCTTTGTGATGTGTGTGTTCAACTCACAGAGTTTAACCTTTCTTTTCATAGAGCAGTTAGTAAACACTCTGTTTATAAAGTCTGCAAGTAGATATTCAGACCCCTTTGAGGCCTTCGTTGGAAACGGGATTTCTTCATATTATGCTAGACAGAAGAATTCTCAGTAACTTCCCTTGTGTTGTGTGTATTCAACTCACAGAGTTGAACGATCCTTTACACAGAGCAGAGTTGAAACATTCTTTTTGTGGAATTTGCAAGTGGAGATTTCAGCCGCTTTGAGGTCAATGGTAGAATAGCAAATATCTTCCTATAGAAACTAGACAGAATGATTCTCAGAAACTCCTTTGTGATGTGTGCATTCAACTCACAGAGTTTAACCTTTCTTTTCATAGAACAGTTAGGAAACACTCTGTTTGTAAAGTCTTCAGGTGGATATTCAGACCTCTTAGAGGCCTTCGTTGGAAACAGGATTTCTTCATATTATGCTAGACAGAAGAATTCTCAGCAATCTTCCTTGTGTTGTGTGTATTCAACTCACAGAGTTGAACGATGGTTTACACAGAGCAGATTTGAAACACTCTTTTTGTGGAATTTGCAAGTGGAGATTTCAGCCGCTTTGAGGTCAATGGTAGAAAAGGAAATATCTTCCTATAAAAACTAGACAGAATGATTCTCAGAAACTCCTTTGTGATGTGTGCGTTCAACTCACAGAGTTTCACTTTTCTTTTCATAGAGCAGTTACGAAACACTCTGTTTGTAAAGTCTTCAAGTGGATATTCAGACCTCTTTGAGGCCTTCGTTGGAAACGGGATTTCTTCATATTCTGCTACACAGAAGAATTCTCAGTAACTTCCTTGTGTTGTGTGTATTCAACTCACAGAGTTGAACGATCCTTTACACAGAGCAGACTTGAAACACTCTTTTTGTGGAATTTGCAAGTGGAGATTTCAGCCGCTTTGAGGTCAATGGTAGAAAAGGAAACTATCTTCATATAAAGACTAGACTGAATCATTCTCAGAAACTGCTCTGTGATGTGTGCATTCAACTCTCAGAGTTTAACTTTTCTTTTCATTCAGCAGTTTGGAAACACTCTGTTTGTAAAGTCTGCACGTGGATAATTTGACCACTTAGAGGCCTTCGTTGGAAACGGGTTTTTTTCATGTAAGGCTAGACAGAAGAATTCTCAGTAACTTCCTTGTGTTGTGTGTATTCAACTCACACAGTTGAACGATCCTTTACACAGAGCAGACTTGTAACACACTTTTTGTGGAATTTGCAAGTGGAGATTTCAGCCGCTTTGAAGTCAAAGGTAGAAAAGGAAATATCTTCCTATAAAAACTAGACAGAATGATTCTCAGAAACTCCTTTGTGATGTGTGCGTTCAACTCACAGAGTTTAACCTTTCTTTTCATAGAGCAGTTAGGAAACACTCTGTTTGAAAAGTCTGCAAGTGGATATTCAGACCTCTTAGAGGCCTTCGTTGGAAACGGGATTTCTTCATATTATGCTAGACAGAAGAATTTTCAGTAACTTCCTTGTGTAGTGTGTATTCAACTCACAGAGTTGAACGATCCTTTACACAGAGCAGACTTGAAACACTCTTTTTGTGGAATTTGCAAGTGGAGATTTCAGCCGCTTTGAGGTCAATGGTAGAAAAGGAAATATCTTCGTATAAAGACAAGACAGAATGATTCTCAGAAACTCCTTTGTGATGTGTGCGTTCAACTCACAGAGTTTAACCTTTCTTTTCATAGAGCACTTAGGAAACACTCTGTTTGTAAAGTCTGCAAGTGGATATTCAGACCTCTTTGAGGCCATCGTTGGAAACGGGATTTCTTCATATTCTGCTAGACAGAAGAATTCTCAGTAACTTCCTTGTGTTGTGTGTATTCAACTCACAGAGTTGAACGATCCTTTACACAGAGCAGACTTGAAACACTCTTTTTGTGGAATTTGCAAGTGGAGATTTCACCCGCTTTGAGGTCAATGGTAGAAAAGGAAATATCTTCGTATAAAGACTAGACTGAATGATTCTCAGAAACTCCTTTGTGATGTGTGCGTTCAACTCACAGAGTTTAACCTTTCTTTTCATAGAGCAGTTAGGAAACACTCTGTTTGTAAAGTCTGCAAGTGGATATTCAGACCTCCTTGAGGCCTTCATTGGAAACAGGATTTCTTCATATTCTGCTAGACAGAAGAATTCTCAGTAACTTCCTTGTGTTGTGTGTATTCAACTCACAGAGTTGAACGATCCTTTACAGCAGAGCAGACTTGAAACACTCTTTTTGTGGAATTTGCAAGTGGAGATTTCAGCCGCTTTGAGGTCAATGGTAGAAAAGGAAATATCTTCCTATAAAGACTAGACAGAGTGATTCTCAGAAACTCCTTTGTGATGTCTGCGTTCAACTCACAGAGTTTAACCTTTCTTTTCATAGAGCAGTTAGGAAACACTCTGTTTGTAAAGTCTGCAAGTGGATATTCAGACCTTCTTGAGGCCTTCGTTGGAAACGGGATTTCTTCATATTATGCTAGACAGAAGAATTCTCAGTAACTTCCTTGTGTTCTCTGTATTCAACTCACAGAGTTGAACGATCCTTTACAGAGAGCAGACTTGAAACACTCTTTTTGTGGAATTTGCAAGTGGAGATTTCAGCCGCTTTGAGGTCAATGGTAGAAAAGGAAATATCTTCGTATAAAGACTAGACAGAATGATTCTCAGAAACTCCTTTGTGATGTGTGCGTTCAACTCACAGAGTTTAACCTTTGTTTTCATAGAGCAGTTAGGAAACACTCTGTTTGTAAAGTCTGCAAGTGGATATTCAGACATCTTTGAGGCCTTCGTTGGAAACGGGATTTCTTCATGTTCTGCTGGACAGAAGAATTCTCAGAATCTTCCTTGTGTTGTGTGTCTTCAAGTCACAGAGTTGAACAATGGTTTACACAGAGCAGATTTGAAACACTCTTTTTGTGGAATTTGCAAGTGGAGATTTCAGCCGCTTTGAGGTCAATGGTAGAAAAGGAAATATCTTCGTATAAAAACTAGACAGAATGATTCTCAGAAACTCCTTTATGATGTGTGCGTTCAACTCACAGAGTTTAACCTTTCTTTTCATAGAGCAGTTAGGAAACACTCTGTTTGTAAACTCTGCAAGTGGATATTCAGACCTCTTTGAAGCCTTGGTTGGAAACGGGATTTCTTCATATTATGCCTGAGAGAAGAATTCTCAGTAACTGCCTTGTGTTGTGTGTATTCAACTCACAGAGTTGAATGATCCTTTACACAGAGCAGACTTGAAACACTCCTTTTGTGGAATTTGCAAGTGGAGATTTCAGCCGCTTTGAGGTCAATGGTAGAATAGGAAATATCTTCCTATAGAAACTAGACAGAATGATTCTCAGAAACTCCTTTGTGATGTGTGTGTTCAACTCACAGAGTTTAACCTTTCTTTTCATGGAGCAGTTAGGAAACACTCTGTTTGTAAAGTCTGCAAGGGGATATTCAGACCTCTTTGAGGCTTCCGTTGGAAACGGGATTTCTTCATATTCTGCTAGACAGAAGAATTCTCAGTAACTTCATTGTGTTGTGTGTATTCAACTCACAGAGTTGAACGATCCTTTACACAGAGCAGACTTGAAACACTCTTTTTGTGGAATTTGCAAGTGGAGATTTCAGCCGCTTTGAGGTCAATGGTAGAAAAGGAAATATCTTCGTATAAAGACTAGACAGAATGATTCTCAGAAACTCCTTTGCGATGTGTGCATTCAACTCACAGAGTTTAACCTTTCTTTTCACAGAGCAGTTAGGAAACACTCTGTTTGTAAAGTCTGCAAGTGGATATTCAGACCTCCTTGAGGCCTTCGTTGGAAACGGGATTTCTTCATATTATGCTAGACAGAAGAATTCTCAGAAACTTCCTTGTGTTGTGTGTTTTCAACTCACAGAGTTGAACGATGGTTTACACAGAGTAGACTTGAAACACTCTTTTTGTGTAATTTGCAAGTGGAGATTTCAGCCGCTTTGAGGTCAATGGTAGAAAAGGAAATATCTTCGTATAAAAAGTAGACAGAATGATTCTCAGAAACTCCTTTGTGATGTGTGCGTTCAACTCACAGAGTTTAACTTTTCTTTTCATAGAGCAGTTAGGAAACACTCTGTTTGTAAAATCTGCAAGTGGATATTCAGACCTCTTTGAGGCCTTCGTTGGAAACGGGATTTCTTCATATTATGCTAGACAGAAGAATTCCCAGTAACTTCCTTGTGTTGTGTGTGTTCAACTCACAGAGTTGAACTTTCATTTACACAGAGCAGATTTGAAACACTCTTTTTGTGGAATTTGCAAGTGGAGATTTCAAGCGCTTTGAGGCCAAAGGTAGAAAAGGAAATATCTTCGTATAAAAACTAGACAGAATCATTCTCAGAAACTGCTGCGTGATGTGTGCGTTCAACTCTCAGAGTTTAACTTTTCTTTTCATTCAGCGGTTTGGAAACACTCTGTTTGTAAAGTCTGCACGTGGATATTTTGACCACTTAGAGGCCTTCGTTGGAAACGGGTTTCTTGCATGTAAGGCTAGACAGAAGAATTCCCAGTAACTTCCTTGTGTTGTGTGTATTCAACTCACAGAGTTGAACGTTCCCTTAGACGGAGCAGATTTGAAACACTCTATTTGTGCAATTTGCAAGTGTAGATTTCAAGCGCTTTAAGGTCAATGGCAGAAAAGGAAATATCTTCGTTTCAAAACTAGACAGAATCATTCCCACAAACTGCGTTGTGATGTGTTCGTTCAACTCACAGAGTTTAACCTTTCTGTTCATAGAGCAGTTAGGAAACACTCTGTTTGTAAAGTCTGTAAGTGGATATTCTGACATCTTGTGGCCTTCGTTTTAAACGGGATTTCTTCATATTGTGCTAGACAGAAGAATTCTCAGTAACTTCCTTGTGTTGTGTGTATTCAACTCACAGAGTTGAACTATCCTTTACAGAGAGCAGACTTCAAACACTCTTTTTGTGGAATTTGCAATTGGATATTTCAGCCGCTTTGAGGTCAATGGTAGAAAAGGAAATATCTTCGTATAAAGACTAGACAGAATGATTCTCAGAAAATCTTTTGTGATGTGTGCGTTCAACTCACAGAGTTTAACTTTTCTTCTCATAGAGCAGTTAGGAAACACTCTGTTTGTAAAGTCTGCAAGTGGATATTCAGACCTCTTTGAGGCCTTCGTTGGAAACGGGATTTTTTCATATTATGCTAGACAGAATAATTCTCAGTAACTTCCTTGTGTTCTGTGTATTCAACTCACAGAGTTGAACGATCCTTTACAGAGAGCAGACTTGAAACACTCTATTTGTGGAATTTGCAAGTGGAGATTTCAGCCGCATTGAGGTCAATGGTACAAAAGGAAATATCTTCGTATAAAGACTAGACAGAATGATTCTCAGAAACTCCTTTGTGATGTGTGCGTTCAACTCACAGAGTTTAACCTTTCTTTTCATAGAGCAGTTAGGAAACACTCTGTTTCTAAAGTCTGCAAGTGGATATTCAGACATCCTTGAGGCTTTCGTTGGAAACGGGATTTCTTCATATTCTGCTAGAAAGAAGAATTCTCAGTAACTTCCTTGTGTTGTGTGTATTCAACTCACAGTGTTGAACGATCCTTTACACAGAGCA
Source organism: Homo sapiens (assembly GCF_000001405.40). NCBI lineage: Eukaryota > Metazoa > Chordata > Mammalia > Primates > Hominidae > Homo > Homo sapiens. The sequence continues at coordinate 47,480,452 of NC_000005.10, forward strand.
GACTTGAAACACTCTTTTTGTGGAATTTGCAAGTGGAGATTTCAGCCGCTTTGAGTTCAATGGTAGAATAGGAAATATCTTCTTATAGAAACTAGACAGAATGATTCTCAGAAACTCCTTTGTGATGTGTGCGTTCAACTCACAGAGTTCAACCTTTCTTTTCATAGAGCAGTTGGGAAACACTCTGTTTGTAAAGTCTGCAAGTGGATATTCAGATTTCTTTGAGGCCTTCGTTGGAAGCGGGATTTCTTCATGTTCTGCTAGACAGAACAATTCTCAGTAACTTCCTTGTGTTGTGTGTATTCAACTCACAGAGTTGAACGATCCTTTACACAGAGCAGACTTGAAACACTCTTTTTGTGGAATTTGTAAGTGGAGATTTCAGCCGCTTTGAGGTCAATAGTAGAAAAGGAAATATATTCGTAGAAAAACTAGACAGAATGATTCTCATAAACTCCTTTGTGATGTGTGCGTTCAACTCACAGAGTTTAACCTTTCTTTTCATAGAGCAGTTAGGAAACACTCTGTTTGTAAAGTCTGCAAGTGGATATTCAGACCTCGTTGAGGCCTTCGTTGGAAACGGGATTTCTTCATATTCTGCTAGACAGAAGAATTCTCAGTAACTTCCTTGTGTTGTGTGTATTCAACTCACAGAGTTGAACGATCCTTTACACAGAGCAGACTTTAAATACTCTTTTTGTGGAATTTGCAAGTGGAGATTTCAGCCGCTTTGAGTTCAATGGTAGAATAGGAAATATCTTCCTATAGAAACTAGACAGAATGATTCTCAGAAACTCCTTTGTGATGTGTGCGTTCAACTCACAGAGTTTAACCTTTCTTTTCATAGAGCAGTTAGGAAACACTCTGTTTGTATAGTCTGCAAGTGGATATTCAGACCTCTTTGAGGCCTTCGTTGGAAACGGGTTTTTTTCATATAAGGCTAGACAGAAGAATTCTCAGTAACTTCCTTGTGTTGTGTGCTTTCAACTCACAGAGTTCAACGATCCTTTACACAGAGCAGATTAGAAACACTCTTTTTGTGGAATTTGCAAGTGGAGATTTCAGCCACTTTGAGGTCAATGGTAGAAAAGGAAATATCTTCGTATAAAAACTAGACAGATTGATTCTCAGAAAATCTTTTGTGATGTGTGCGTTCAACTCACAGAGTTTAACTTTTCTTCTCATAGAGCAGTTAGGAAACACTCTGTTTGTAAAGTCTGCAAGTGGATATTCAGACCTCTTTGAGGCCTTCGTTGGAAACGGGATTTCTTCATATTATGCTAGACAGAAGAATTCTCAGTAACTTTCCTTGTGTTGTGTGTATTCAACTCACAGAGTAGAACGATCCTTTACACAGAGCAGACTTGAAACACTCTTTTTGTGGAATTTGCAAGTGGAGATTTCAAGCGCTTTGAGGCCAAAGGCAGAAAAGGAAATATCTTCGTATAAAAACTAGACAGAATGATTCTCAGAAACTCCTTTGTGATGTGTGCGTTCAACTCACAGAGTTGAAGTTTTCTTTTCTTAGAGCAGTTAGGAAACACTCTGTTTGTAAAGTCTGCAAGTGGATATTCAGAACTCTTTGAGGCCTTCGTTGGAAACGGGGTTTCTTCATATTCTGCTAGACAGAAGAATTCTCAGTAACTTCCTTGTGTTGTGTGTATTCAACTCACAGAGTTGAACGATCCTTTACACAGAGCAGACTTGAAACATTCTTTTTGTGGAATTTGCAACTGGAGATTTCAGCCGCTTTGAGGTCAACGGTAGAATAGGAAATATCTTCCTATAGAAACTAGACACAATGATTCTGAGAAACTCCTTTGTGATGTGTGCGTTCAACTCACAGAGTTTAACCTTTCTTTTCATAGAGCAGTTAGGAAACACTCTGTTTGTAAAGTCTGCAAGTGGATATTCAGACCTCCTTGAGGCCTTCGTTGGAAACGGGATTTCTTCATATTATGCTAGACACAATAATTCTCAAGTAACTTCCTTGTGTTGTGTGTATTCAACTCACAGAGTTGAACGATCCTTTACAGAGAGCAGACTTGAAACACTCTTTTTGTTGAATTTGCAAGTGGAGATTTCAGCCGCTTTGAGGTCAATGGTAGAAAAGGAAACTATCTTCGTATAAAGACTAGACAGAATGATTGTCAGAAACTCCTTTGTGATGTGTGCGTTCAATTCACAGAGTTTAACCTTTCTTTTCATAGAGCAGTTAGGAAACACTCTGTTTGTAACGTCTGCAAGTGGATATTCAGACATCTTTGAGGCTTTCGTTGGAAACGGGATTTCTTCATATTCTGCTATACAGAAGAATTCCCAGTAACTTCCTTTTGTTGTGTGTGTTCAAGTCACAGAGATGAACTCTCATTTACACAGAGCAGATTTGAAACTCTCTTTTTGTGGAATTTGCAAATGGAGATTTCAAGCGCTTTGAGGCCAAAGGCAGAAAAGGAAATATCTTCCTATAAAAACTAGACAGAATCATTCTCAGAAACAGCTCTGTGATGTGTGCGTTCAACTCTCAGAGTTTAACTTTTCTTTTCATTCAGCAGTTTGGAAACACTCTGTTTGTAAAGTCTGCACGTGGATATTTTGACCACTTAGAGGCCTTCGTTGGAAACGGGTTTTTTTTCACGTAAGGCTAGACGGTAGCATTCCCAGTAACTTCCTTGTGTTGTGTGCATTCAACTCACAGAGATGAACGTTCCCTTAGACAGAGCAGATTTGAAACGCTCTATTTGTGCAATTTGCAAGTGTAGATTTCAAGCGCTTTAAGGTCAATGGCAAAAAAGGAAATATCTTCGTTTCAAAACTAGACAGAATCATTCCCACAAACTGCGTTGTGATGTGTTCGTTCAACTCACAGAGTTTAACCTTTCTGTTCATAGAGCAGTGAGGAAACACTCTGTTTGTAAACTCTGTAAGTGGATATTCTGACATCTTGTGGCCTTCGTTGGAAAAGGGATTTCTTCATATTCTGCTAGACTGAAGAATTCTCAGTAACTTCCTTGTGTTGTGTGTATTCAACTCACAGAATTGAACGATCCTTTACACAGAGCAGACTTGAAACACTCTTTTTGTGGAATTTGCAAGTGGAGATTTCAGCCGCTTTGAGGTCAATGGTAGAAAAGGAAATATCTTCGTATGGAAACAAGACAGAATGATTCTCAGAAACTCCTTTGTGATGTGTGCGTTCAACTCACAGAGTTTAACCTTTCTTTTCATAGAGCAGTTGGGAAACACTCTGTTTGTAAAGTCTGCAAGTGGATATTCCGACATCCTTGAGGCTTTCGTTGGAAATGGGATTTCTTCATATTCTGCTAGAAAGAAGAATTCTCAGTAACTTCCTTGTGTTGTGTGTATTCAAAGGACAGAGTTGAACTTTCATTTAGAGAGAGCAGATTTGAAACACTGTTTTTGTGGAATTTGCAATTGGAGATTTCAAGCGCTTTGGGGCCAAAGGCAGAAAAGGAAATATCTTCGTATAAAAACTAGACAGAATCATTCTAAGAAACTGCTGCGTGATGTGTGCGTTCAACTCTCAGAGTTTAACTTTTCTTTTCATTCAGCGGTTTGGAAACACTCTGTTTGTAAAGTCTGCACGTGGATATTTTGACCACTTAGAGGCCTTCGTTGGAAACGGGTTTTTTTCATGTAAGGCTAGACAGAAGAATTCCCAGTAACTTCCTTGTGTTGTGTACATTCAACACACAGAGTTGAACGTTCCCTTAGACAGAGCAGATTTGAAACACTCTTTTTGTGCAATTGGCAAGTGGAGATTTCAAGCGCTTTAAGGTCAATGGCAGAAAAGGAAATATCTTCGTTTCAAAACTAGACAGAATGATTCTCAGAAACTCCTTTGTGATGTGTGCGTTCAACTCACAGAGTTTAACCTTTCTTTTCATAGAGCAGTTAGGAAACACTCTGTTTGTAAAGTCTGCAAGTGGATATTCTGACCTCTTTGAGGCCTTCGTTGGAAACGGGATTTCTTCATATTCTGCTAGACAGAAGAATTCTCAGTAACTTCCTTGTGTTGTGTACTTTCAACTCACAGAGTTGAACGTTCCTTTACACAGAGCAGATTAGAAACACTCTTTTTGTGGAATTTGCAAGTGGAGATTTCAGCCGCTTTGAGGTCAATGGTAGAAAAGGAAATATCTTCATAAAAAAACTAGACAGAATGATTCTCAGAAACTCCTTTGTGATGTGTGCGTTCAACTCACAGAGTTTAACCTTTCTTTTCATAGAGCAGTTAGGAAACACTCCGTTTGTAAAGTCTGCAAGTGGATATTCAGACCTCCTTGAGGCCTTCGTTGGAAACGGGATTTCTTCATATTATGCTAGACAGAAGAATTCTCAGTAACTTCCTTGTGTTGTGTGTATTCAACTCACAGAGTTGAACGATCCTTTGCACAGAGCAGACTTGAAACACTCTTTTTGTGGAATTTGAAAGTGGAGATTTCAGCCGCTTTGAGGTCAATGGTAGAATAGGAAATATCTTCCTATAGAAACTAGACAGAATGATTCTCAGAAACTCCTTTGTGATGTGTTCGTTCAACTCACAGAGTTCAACTTTTCTTTTCATAGAGCAGTTGGGAAACACTCTGTTTGTACAGTCTACAAGTGGATATTCAGACCTCTTTGAGGCCTTCGTTGGAAACGGGATTTCTTCATATTCTGCAAGACAGAAGAATTCTCAGTAACTTCCTTGTGTTGTGTGTATTCAACTCACAGAGTTGAACGATCCTTTACACAGAGTAGACTTGAAACACTCCTTTTGTGGAATTTGCAAGTGGAGATTTCAGCCGCTTTGAAGACAATGGTAGAATAGGAAATATCTTCCTATAGAAACTAGACAGAATGATTCTCAGAAACTCCTTTGTGATGTGTGCGTTCAACTCACAGAGTTTAACTTTTGTTTTCATAGAGCAGTTAGGAAACACTCTGTTTGTAAAGTCTTCAAGTGGATATACAGACCTCTTTGAGGCCTTCGTTGGAAACGGGATTTCTTCATATTCTGCTAGACAGAATAATTCTCAGTAACTTCCTTGTGTTGTGTGTATTCAACCCACAGAGTTGAACGATCCTTTACAGAGAGCAGACTTGAAACACTCTTTTTGTGGAATTTGCAAGTGGAGATTTCAGCCGCTTTGGGTCAATGGTAGAATAGGAAATATCTTCCTATAGAAACTAGACAGAATGATTCTCAGAAACTCCTTTGTGATGTGTGTGTTCAACTCACAGAGTTTAACCTTTCTTTTCATAGAGCAGTTAGTAAACACTCTGTTTATAAAGTCTGCAAGTGGATATTCAGACCCCTTTCAGGCCTTCGTTGGAAACGGGATTTCTTCATATTCTGCTAGACAGAAGAATTCCCAGTAACTTCCCTTGTGTTGTGTGCATTCAACTCACAGAGTTGAACGTTCCCTTAGACAGAGCAGATTTGAAACACTCTATTTGTGCAATTTGCAAATGTAGATTTCAAGCGCTTTAAGGTCAATGGCAGAAAAGGAAATATCTTCGTTTCAAAACTAGACAGAATCATTCCCACAAACTGCGTTGTGATGTGTTCGTTCAACTCACAGAGTTTAACCTTTCTGTTCATAGAGCAGCTAGGAAACACTCTGTTTGTAAAGTCTGTAAGTGGATATTCTGACATCTTGTGGCCTTCGTTGGAAACGGGATTTCTTCATATTCTGCTAGACAGAAGAATTCTCAGAATCTTCCTTGTGTTGTGTCTATTCAACTCACAGAGTTGAACGATCCTTTACACAGAGCAGACTTGAAACACTCTTTTTGTGGAATTTGCAAGTGGAGATTTCAGCCGCTTTGAGGTCCATGGTAGAAAAGGAAATATCTTCGTATAAAAACTAGACAGATTGATTCTCAGAAACTCCTTTGTGATGTGTGCGTTCAACTCACAGAGTTTAACCTTTCTTTTCATAGAGCAGTTAGGAAACACTCTGTTTGTAAAGTCTGCAAGTGGATATTCAGACCTCTTTGAGGCCTTCGTTGGAAACGGGATTTCTTCATATTCTGCTAGACAGAAGAATTCTCAGTAACTTCCTTGTGTTGTGTGTATTCAACTCACAGAGTTGAACGATCCTTTACACAGAGCAGACTTGTAACACTCTTTTTGTGGAATTTGCAAGTGGAGATTTCAGCCGCTTTGAAGTCAAAAGTAGAAAAGGAAATATCTTCCTATAAAAACTAGACAGAGTGATTCTCAGAAACTCCTTCGTGATGTCTGCGTTCAACTCACAGAGTTTAACCTTTCTTTTCATAGAGCAGTTAGGAAACACTCTGTTTGTAAAGTCTGCAAGTGGATATTCAGACCTCCTTGAGGCCTTCGTTGGAAACGGGATTTCTACATATTATGCTAGACAGAAGAATTCTCAGTAACTTCCTTGTGTTGTGTGTATTCAACTGACAGAGTTGAACTTTCATTTAGAGAGAGGAGATTTGAAACACTGTTTTTGTGGAATTTGCAAGTGGAGATTTCAAGCGCTTTGGGGCCAAAGGCAGAAAAGGAAATATCTTCGTATAAAAACTAGACAGAATCATTCTCAGTAACTGCTCTGTGATGTGTGCGTTCAACTCTCAGAGTTTAACTTTTCTTTTCATTCACCAGTTTGGAAACACTCAGTTTGTAAAGTCTGCACGTGGATATTTTGACCACTTAGGGGTCTTCGTTGGAAACGGGTTTTTTTCATGTAAGGCTAGACAGAAGAATTCCCAGTAACTTCCTTGTGTTGTGTGCATTCAACTCACAGAGTTGAACGTTCCCTTAGGCAGAGCAGATTTGAAACACTCTATTTGTGCAATTTGCAAGTGTAGATTTCAAGCGCTTTAAGGTCAACGGCAGAAAAGGAAATATCTTCGTCTCAAAACTAGACAGAATCATTCCCACAAACTGCGTTGTGATGTGTTCGTTCAACTCACAGAGTTTAACCTTTCTGTTCATAGAGCAGTTAGGAAACACTCTGTTTGTAAAGTCTGTAAGTGGATATTCTGACATCTTGTGGCCTTCGTTGGAAACGGGATTTCTTCATAGTCTGCTAGACAGAAGAATTCTCAGTAACTTCCTTGTGTTGTGTGTATTCAACTCACAGAGTTGAACGATCCTTTACACAGAGCAGACTTGAAACACTCTTTTTGTGGAATTTGCAAGTGGAGTTTTCAGCCGCTTTGAGGTCAATGGTAGAATAGGAAATATCTTCCTATAGAAACTAGACAGAATGATTCTCAGAAACTCCTTTGTGATGTGTGCGTTCAACTCACAGAGTTTAACTTTTCTTTTCATAGAGCCGTTAGGAAACACTCTGTTTGTAAAGTCTGCAAGTGGATATTCAGACCTCTTTGAGGCCTTCTTTGGAAAAGGGATTTCTTCATATTATGCTAGACAGAAGAATTCTCAGCAACTTCCTTGTGTTGTGTGTATTCAACTCACAGAGTTGAACGATCCTTTACACAGAGCAGACTTGTAACACTCTTTTTGTGGAATTTGCAAGTGGAGATTTCAGCCGCTTTGACGTCAAAGGTAGAAAAGGAAATATCTTCCTATAAAAACTAGACAGAATGATTCTCAGAAACTCCTTTGTGATGTGTGCGTTCAACTCACAGAGTTTAACCTTTCTTTTCATAGAGCAGTTAGGGAACACTCTGTTTGTAAAGTCTGCAAGTGGATATTCAGACCTCTTTGAGGCCTACGTAGGAAACGGGATTTCTTCATATTATGCTAGACAGAAGAATTCTCAGAAACTTCCTTGTGTTGTGTGTATTCAACTCACAGAGTTGAACGATCCTTTACACAGAGCAGACTTGAAACACTCTTTTTCTGGAATTTGCAAGTGGAGATTTCAGCCGCTTTGAGGTCAATGGTAGAATAGGAAATATCTTCCTATAGATACTAGACAGAATGTTTCTCATAAACTCCTTTGTGATGTGTGCATTCAACTCAAAGACTTTAACCTTTCTTTTCATAGAGCAGTTAGGAAACACTCTGTTTGTAAAGTCTGCAAGTGGATATTCAGACCTCCTTGAGGCCTTCGTTGGAAACGGGATTTCTTCATATTCTGCTAGACAGAAGAATTCTCAGTAACTTCCTTGTGTTGTGTGTATTCAACTCACAGAGTTGAACGATCCTTTACACAGAGCAGACTTGAAACACTCTTTTTGTGGAATTTGCAAGTGGAGATTTCAGCCGCTTTGAGGTCAATGGTAGAATAGGACATATCTTCCTATAGAAACTAGACAGAATGATTCTCAGAAACTCCTTTGTGATGTGTGCGTTCAACTCACAGAGTTTAACCTTACTGTTCATAGAGCAGTTAGGAAACACTCTGTTTGTAAAGTCTGCAAGTGGATATTCAGACCTCCTTGAGGCCTTCGTTGGAAACGGGATTTCTTCATATTCTGCTAGACAGAAGAACTCTCAGAATCTTCCTTGTGTTGTGTGTATTCAACGCACAGAGTTGAACGATCCTTTACACAGAGCAGACTTGAAACACTCTTTTTGTGGAATTTGCAAGTGGAGATTTCAGCCGCTTTGAGGTCCATGGTAGAAAAGGAAATATCTTCGTATAAAAACTAGACAGAATGATTCTCAGAAACTTCATTGTGATGTGTGCGTTCAACTCACAGAGTTTAACCTTTCTTTTCATAGAGCAGTTAGGAAACACTCTGTTTGTAAAGTCTGCAAGTGGATATTCAGACATCCTTGAGGCTTTCGTTGGAAACGGGATTTCTTCATATTCTGCTAGAAAGAAGAATTCTCAGTAACTTCCTTGTGTTGTGTGTATTCAACTCACAGAGTTGAACGATCCTTTACACAGAGCAGACTTGAAACACTGTTTTTGTGGAATTTGCAAGTGGAGATTTCAGCCGCTTTGAAGTCAATGGTAGAATAGGAAATATCTTCCTATAGAAACTAGACAGAATGATTCTCAGAAACTCCTTTGTGATGTGTGCGTTCAACTCACAGAGTTTAACCTTTCTTTTCATAGAGCAGTTAGGAAACACTCTGTTTGTAAAGTCTGCAAGTGGATATTCAGACCTCCTTGAGGCCTTCGTTGGAAGCGGGATTTCTTCATGTTCAGGTAGACAGAAGAATTCTCAGTAACTTCCTTGTGTTGTGTGTATTCAACTCACAGAGTTGAACGATCCTTTACACAGAGCAGACTTCAAACACTCTTTTTGTGGAATTTGCAAGTGGAGATTTCAGCCGCTTTGAAGTCAATGGTAGAATAGGAAATATCTTCCTATAGAAACTAGACAGAATGATTCTCAGAAACTCCTTTGTGATGTGTGCGTTCAACTCACAGAGTTTAACCTTTCTTTTCTCAGAGCAGTTAGGAAACACTCTGTTTGTAAAGTCTGCAAGTGGATATTCAGACATCTTTGAGGCTTTCGTTGGAAACGGGGTTTCTTCATATTCTGCTAGACAGAAGAATTCTCAGTAACTTCCTTGTGTTGTGTGTATTCAACTCACAGAGTTGAACGATCCTTTACACAGAGCATACTTGAAACACTCTTTTTGTGGAATTTGCAAGTGGAGATTTCAGCCGCTTTGAGGTCAATGGTAGAATAGGAAGTATCTCCCTATAGAAACTAGACAGAATGATTCTCAGAAACTCCTTTGTGATGTGTGCGTTCAACTCACACAGTTTAACCTTTCTTTTCATAGAGCTGTTAGGAAACACTCTGTTTGTAAAGTCTGCAAGTGGATATTCAGACCTCCTTGAGGCCTTCGTTGGAAACGGGATTTCTTCATATTATGCTAGACAGAAGAATTCCCAGTAACTTCCATGTGTTGTGTGTGTTCAACTCACAGAGTTGAAATTTCATTTACACAGAGCAGATTTGAAACACTCTTTTTGTGGAATTTGCAAATGGAGATTTCAAGCGGTTTGAGGCCAAAGGCAGAAAAGGAAATATCTTCGTATAAAAACTAGACAGAATCATTCTCAGAAACTGCTCTGTGATGTGTGCGTTCAACTCTCAGAGTTTAACTTTCCTTTTCATTCAGCAGTTTGGAAACACTCTGTTTGAAAAGTCTGCTGCTGGATAATTTGACCACTGAGAGGCCATCGTTGGAAACGGGTTTTTTCCATGTAACGCTAGACAGAAGAATTCTCAGTAACTTCCTTGTGTTGTGTGTATTCAACTCACAGAGTTGAACGATCCTTTACACAGAGCAGACTTGAAACACTCTTTTTGTAGAATTTGCAAGTGGAGATTTCAGCCGCTTTGAGGTCAATGGTAGAATAGGAAATATCTTCCTTTAGAAACTAGACAGAATGATTCTCAGAAACTCCTTTGTGATGTGTGCGTTCAACTCACAGAGTTTAACTTTTCTTTTCATAGAGCAGTTAGGAAACACTCTGTTTGTAAAGTCTGCAAGTGGATATTCAGACATCTTTGAGGCTTTCGTTGGAAACGGGATTTCTTCATATTCTGCTATACAGAAGAATTCCCAGTAACTTTCCTTGTGTTGTGTGTGTTCAACTTACAGAGTTGAACTTTCATTTACACAGAGCAGATTTGAAACACTCTTTTTGTGGAATTTGCAAGTGGAGATTTCAAGCGCTTTGAGGCCAAAGGCAGAAAAGGAAATATCTTCGTATAAAAACTAGACAGAATCATTCTCAGAAACTGCTCTGTGATGTGTGCGTTCAACTCTCAGAGTTTAACTTTTCTTTTCATTCAGCAATTTGGAAACACTCTGTTTGTAAGGTCTGCACGTGGATAATTTGACCACTTAGAGGCCTTCGTTGGAAACGGGTTTTTTTCATGTAAGGCTAGACAGAAGAATTCCCAGTAACTTCCTTGTGTTGTGTACATTCAACTCACAGAGTTGAACGTTCCCTTAGACAGAGCAGATTTGAAACACTCTTTTTGTGCAATTGGCAAATGGAGATTTCAAGCGCTTTAAGGTCAATGGCAGGAAAGGAAATATCTTCGTTTCAAAACTAGACAGAATCATTCCCACAAACTGCGTTGTGATGTGTTCGTTCAACTCACAGAGTTTAAACTTTCTTTTCATAGAGCAGTTAGGAACCAGTCTGTTTGTAAATTCTGTAAGTGGATATTCTGACATCTTGTGACCTTCGTTGGAAACGGGATTTCTTCATATTCTGCTAGACAGAAGAATTCTCAGTAACTTCATTGTGTTGTGTGTATTCAACTCACAGAGTTCAACGATGCTTTACACAGAGTAGACTTGAAACACTCTTGTTGTGGAATTTGCAAGTGGAGATTTCAGCCGCTTTGAGGTCAATGGTAGAATAGGAAATATCTTCCTATAGAAACTAGACAGAATGATTCTCAGAAACTCCTTTGTGATGTGTGCGTTCAACTCACACAGTTTAACCTTTGTTTTCATAGAGCAGTTAGGAAACACTCTGTTTGTAAAGTCTGCAAGTGGATATTCAGACCTCCTTGAGGCATTCGTTGGAAACGGGATTTCTACATATTATGCTAGACAGAAGAATTCTCAGTAACTTCCTTGTGTTGTGTGTATTCCACTCACAGAGTTGAACGATCCTTTACACAGAGCAGGCTTGTAACACTCTTTTTGTGGAATTTTCAAGTGGAGATTTCAGCCGCTTTGAAGTCAAAGGTAGAAAAGGAAATATCCTCCTATAAAAACTAGACAGAATGATTCTCAGAAACTCCTTTGTGATGTGTGCGTTCAACTCACAGAGTTTAACCTTTCTGTTCATAGAGCAGTTAGGAAACACTCTGTTTGTAAAGTCTGCAAGTGGATATTCAGACCTCTTTGAGGCCTTCGTTGGAAACGGGATTTCTTCATATTATGCTAGACCGAAGAATTCCCAGTAACTTCCTTGTGTTGTGTCTGTTCAACTCACAGAGTTGAACTTTCATTTACACAGAGCAGATTTGAAACACTCTTTTTCTGGAATTTGCAAGTGGAGATTTCAAGCGCTTTGAGGCCAAAGGCAGAAAAGGAAATATCTTCGTATAAAAACTAGACAGAATCATTCTCAGAAACTGCTCTGCGATGTGTGCGTTCAACTCTCAGAGTTTAACTTTTCTTTTCATTCAGCAGTTTGGAAACACTCTGTTTGTAAAGTCTGCACGTGGATATTTTGACCACTTAGAGGCCTTCGTTGGAAACGGGTTTTTTTCCTGTAAGCCTAGACAGAAGAATTCTCAGTAACTTCCTTGTGTTGTGTGTATTCAACTCACACAGTTGAACGATCCTTTACACAGAGCAGACTTGTAACACTCTTTTTGTGGAATTTGCAAGTGGAGATTTCAGCCGCTTTGAAGTCAAATGTAGAAAAGGAAATATCTTCCTATAAAAACTAGACAGAATGATTCTCAGAAACTTCTTTGTGATGTGTGCGTTCAACTCACAGAGTTTAACCTTTCTTTTCATAGAGCAGTTAGGAAACACTCTGTTTGTAAACTCTGCAAGTGGATATACAGACCTCTTTGAGGCCTTCGTTGGAATCGGGATTTCTTCATACTATGCTAGACAGAATATTTCTCAGTAACTTCTTTGTGTCGTGTGTATGCAACTCACAGAGTTCAACCTTCCTTCAGACAGAGCAGATTTGAAACACTCTTTTTGTGGAATTTGCAAGTCGAGATTTCAAGCGCTTTGAGGCCAAAGGCAGAAAAGGAAATACTTTCGTATAAAAACTAGACAGAATCATTCTCAGACACTGCTGCATGATGTGTGCGTTCAACTCTCAGAGTTTAACTTTTCTTTTCATTCAGCGGTTTGGAAACACTCTGTTTGTAAAGTCTGCACGTGGATATTTTGACCACTTAGAGGCCTTCGTTGGAAACGGGTTTTTTTCATGTAAGGCTAGACAGAAAGAATTCCCAGTAACTTCCTTGTGTTGTGTGCATTCAACTCACAGAGTTGAACGTTCCCTTAGACAGAGCAGATTTGAAACACTCTATTTGTGCAATTTGCAAGTGTAGTTTTCAAGCTCTTTAAGGTCAACGGCAGAAAAGGAAATATCTTCGTTTCAAAACTAGACAGAATCATTCCCACAAACTGCGTTGTGATGTGTTCGTTCATCTCACAGAGTTTAACTTTTCTGTTCATAGAGCAGTTAGGAAACACCCTGTTTGTAAAGTCTGCAAGTGGATATTCAGACCTCCTTGAGGCCTTCGCTGGAAACGGGATTTCTTCATATTCTGCTAGACAGAAGAATTCTCAGTAAATTCCTTGTGTTGTGTGTATTCAACTCACAGAGTTGAACGATCCTTTACACAGAGCAGACTTGAAACACTCTTTTTGTGGAATTTGCAAGTGGAGATTTCAGCCGCTTTGAGGTCAATGGTAGAATAGGAAATATCTTCCTATAGAAACTAGACACAATGATTCTCAGAAACTCCTTTGTGATGTGTGTGTTCAACTCACAGAGTTTAACCTTTCTTTTCATAGAGCAGTTAGGAAACACTCTGTTTGTAATGTCTGCAAGTGGATATTCAGACCTCTTTGAGGCCTTCGTTGGAAACGGGTTTTTTCATATAAGGCTAGACAGAAGAATTCTCAGTAACTTCCTTGTGTTGTGTGTATTCAACTGACAGAGTTGAACTTTCATTTAGAGAGAGCAGATTTGAAACACTGTTTTTGTGGAATTTGCAAGTGGAGATTTCAAGTGCTTTGGGGCCAAAGGCAGAAAAGGAAATATCTTCGTATAAAAACTAGACAGAATCATTCTCAGAAACTGCTCTGCGATGTGTGCGTTCAACTCTCAGAGTTTAACTTTTCTTTTCATTCAGCAGTTTGGAAACACTCTGTTTGTAAAGTCTGCACGTGGATATTTTGAACATTTAGAGGCCTTCGTTGGAAACGGGTTTTTTTCCTGTAAGGCTAGACAGAATAATTCTCAGTAACTTCCTTGTGTTGTGTGTATTCAACTCACAGAGTTGAACGATCCTTTACAGAGAGCAGACTTGAAACACTCTTTTTGTGGAATTTGCAAGTGGAGATTTCAGCCGCTATGAGGTCAATGGTAGAAAAGGAAATATCTTCGTATAAAGACTAGACAGAATGATTCTCCTAAACTCCTTCGTGATGTGTGCGTTCAAATCACAGAGTTGAACTTTTCTTTTCATAGAGCAGTTAGGAAACACTCTGTTTATATAGTCTGCAAGTGGATATTCAGACCCCTTTGAGGCCTTCGTTGGAAACGGGATTTCTTAATATTATGCTAGACAGAAGAATTCCCAGTAACTTCCTTGTGATGTGTGTGTTCAACTCTGTGAGTTGAACTTTCATTTACACAGAGCAGATTTGAAACACTCTTTTTGTGGAATTTGCAAATGGAGATTTCAAGCGCTTTGAGGCCAAAGGCAGAAAAGGAAATATCTTCGTATAAAAACTAGACAGAATGATTCTCAGAAACTCCTTTGTGATGTATGCGTTCAACTCACAGAGTTTAACCTTTCTTTTCATAGAGCAGTTAGGAAACACTCTGTTTGTAAAGTCTGCAAGTGGATATTCAGACCTCCTTGAGGCCTTCGTTGAAAACGGGTTTTCTTCATATTATGCTAGACAGAAGAATTCTCAGTAACTTCCTTGTGTTGTGTGTATTCAACTCACAGAGTTCAATGATCCTTTACACAGAGCAGACTTGAAACACTCTTTTTGTGGAATTTGCAATTGGGGATTTCAGCCGCTTTGAGGTCAATGGTAGAAAAGGAAATATCTTCGTATAAAAACTAGACAGAATGATTCTCAGAAACTCCTTTGTGATGTGTGCGTTCAACTCACAGAATTTAACCTTCCTTTTCATAGAGCAGTTGGGAAACACTCTGTTTGTAAAGTCTGCAAGTGGATATTCAGACCTCTTTGAGGCCTTCGTTGGAAACGGGATTTCTTCATATTCTGCTAGACAGAAGAATTCTCAGTAACTTCCTTGTGTTGTGTGTATTCAACTGACAGAGTTGAACTTTCATTTAGACAGAGCAGATTTGAAACACTCTTTTTGTGGAATTTGCAAGTGGAGATTTCAAGCGCTTTGAGGCCAAAGGCCGAAAAGGAAATATCTTCGTATAAAAACTAGACAGAATCATTCTCAGAAACTGCTCTGCGATGTGTGCGTTCAACTCTCAGAGTTTAACTTTTCTTTTCATTCAGCAGTTTGGAAACACTCTGTTTGTAAAGTCTGCACGTGGATATTTTGACCACTTAGAGGCCTTCGTTGGAAACGGGTTTTTTCCTGTAAGGCTAGACAGAAGAATTCTCAGTAACTTCCTTGTGTTGTGTGTATTCAACTCACAGAGTTGAACGATCCTTTACACAGAGCAGACTTGAAACACTCTTTTTGTGGAATTTGCAAGTGGAGATTTCAGCCGCTTTGAGGTCAACGGTAGAATAGGAAATATCTTCCTAAAGAAACTAGACAGAATGATTCTCAGAAACTCCTTTGAGCTGTGTGCGTTCAACTCACAGAGTTTAACCTTTCTTTTCATAGAGCAGTTAGGAAACACTCTGTTTGTAAAGTCTGCAAGTGGATATTCAGACATCTTTGAGGCTTTCGTTGGAAACGGGTTTTCTTCATATTCTGCTAGACAGAAGAATTCTCAGAAACTTCCTGGTGTTGTGTGTTTTCAACTCACAGAGTTCAACGATCCTTTACACAGAGTAGACTTGAAACACTCTTTTTGTGGAATTGGCAAGTGGAGATTTCAGCCGCTTTGAGGTCAAGGGTAGAAAAGGAAATATCTTCGTACAAAAACTAGACAGAATGATTCTCAGCAAACTCCTTTGTGATGTGTGCGTTCAACTCACAGAGTTCAACCTTTCTTTTCATAGAGCAGTTGGGAAACACTCTGTTTGTAAAGTCTGCAAGTGGATATTCAGACTTCTTTGAGGCCTTCGTTGGAAGCGGGATTTCTTCATATTCTGCTAGACAGAAGAATTCCCAGTAACTTCCTTGTGTTGTGTGTGTTCAACTCACAGAGTTGAACTTTCATTTACACAGAGCAGATTGGAAACACTCTTTTTGTGGAATTTGCAAGTGGAGATTTCAAGCGCTTTGAGGCCAAAGGCAGAAAAGGAAATATCTTCAGTATAAAAATTAGACAGAATCATTCTCAGAAACCGCTCTGTGATGTGTGCGTTCAACTCTCAGAGTTTAACTTTTCTTTTCATTCAGCAGTTTGGAAACACTCTGTTTGTAAAGTCTCCTCGTGGATATTTTGACCACTTAGAAGCCTTCGTTGGAAACGTGTTTTTTTTCATGTAAGGCTAGACAGAAGAATTCCCAGTAACTTCCTTTTGTTGTGTGCATTCAACTCACAGAGATGAACGTTCCCTTAGACAGAGCAGATTTGAAACACTCTATTTGTGCAATTTGCAAGTGTAGATTTCAAGCGCTTTAAGGTCAATGGCAGAAAAGGAAATATCTTCGTTTCAAAACTAGACAGAATTATTCCCACAAACTGCGTTGTGATGTGTTCGTTCAACTCACAGAGTTAAACCTTTCTTTTCATAGAGCAGTTAGGAAACAGTCTGTTTGAAAATTCTGTAAGTGGATATTCTGACATCTTGTGGCCTTCGTTGGAAACGGGATTTCTTCATATTCTGCTAGACAGAAGAATTCTCAGAATCTTCCCTGTGTTGTGTGTATTCAACTCACAGAGTTGAACGATGGTTTACACAGAGCAGATTTGAAACACTCATTTGGTGGAATTTGCAAGTGGAGATTTCAGCCGCTTTGAGGTCAATGGTAGAAAAGGAAATATCTTCGTATAACAACTAGACAGAATGATTCTCAGAAAATCTTTTGTGATGTGTGCGTTCAACTCACAAAGTTTAACTTTTCTTCTCATAGAGCAGTTAGGAAACACTCTGTTTGTAAAGTCTGCAAGTGTATATTCAGACCTACTTTGAGGCCTTCGTTGGAAACGGGATTTCTTCATATTATGCTAGACAGAAGAATTCTCAGTAACTTCCTTGTGTTGTGTGTATTCAACTCACAGAGTTGAATGATCCTTTACACAGAGCAGACCTGAAACACTCTTTTTGTGGAATTTGCAAGTGGAGATTTCAGCTGCTTTGAGGTCAATGGTAGAAAAGGAAACTATCTTCGTATAAAGACTAGACAGAATGATTCTCAGAAACTCCTTTGTGATGTGTGTGTTCAACTCACAGAGTTTAACCTTTCTTTTCATAGAGCAGTTAGTAAACACTTTGTTTATAAAGTCTGCAAGTGGATATTCAGACCCCTTTGAGGCCTTCGTTGGAAACGGGATTTCTTCATATTATGCTAGACAGAAGAATTCCCAGTAACTTCCTTGTGTTGTGTGTGTTCAACTCACAGAGTTGAACTTTCATTTACACAGAGCAGATTTGAAACACTCTTTTTGTGGAATTTGCAAATGGAGATTTCAAGCGCTTTGAGGCCAAAGGCAGAAAAGGAATTATCTTCGTATAAAAACTAGACAGAATCATTCTCAGAAACTGCTGCGTGATGTGTGCATTCAACTCTCAGAGTTTAACTTTTCTTTTCATTCAGCGGTTTGGAAACACTCTGTTTGTAAAGTCTGCACGTGGATATTTTGACCACTTAGAGGCCTTCGTTGGAAACGGGTTTTTTTTCATGTAAGGCTAGACAGAAGAATTCCCAGTAACTTCCTCGTGTTGTGTGCATTCAACTCACAGAGTTGAACGTTCCCTTAGACAGAGCAGATTTGAAACACTCTATTTGTGCAATTGGCAAGTGTAGATTTCAAGCGCTTTAAGGTCAATGGCAGAAAAGGGAATATCTTCGTTTCAAAACTAGACAGAATCATTCCCACAAACTGCGTTGTGATGTGTTCGTTCAACTCACAGAGCTTAACCTTTCTTTTCATAGAGCACTTAGGAAACACTCTGTTTGTAAATTCTGTAAGTGGATATTCTGAAATCTTGTGGCCTTCGTTGGAAACGGGATTTCTTCATATTCTGCTAGACAGAAGAATTCTCAGTAACTTCCCTTGTGTTGTGTGTATTCAACTCACAGAGTTGAATGATCCTTTACACAGAGCAGACTTGAAACATTCTTTTTGTGGAATTTGCAAGTGGAGATTTCAGCCGCTTTGAGGTCAATGGTAGAAAAGTAAATATCTTCGTATAAAGACTAGACAGAATGATTCTCAGAAACTCCTTTGTGATGTGTGCGTTCAACTCACAGAGTTTAACCTTTCTGTTCATAGAGCTGTTAGGAAACACTCTGTTCGTAAAGTCTGCAAGTGGATATTCAGACCTCCTTGAGGCCTTCGTTGGAAACGGGATTTCTTCATATTCTGCTAGACAGAAGAATTCTCAGTAACTTCCTTGTGTTGTGTTTATTCAACTCACAGAGTTGAATGATCCTCTACACAGAGCAGACTTGAAACACTCTTTTTGTGGAATTTGCAAGTGGAGATTTCAGCCGCTTTGAAGTCAATGGTAGAAAAGTAAATATCTTCGTATAAAGACTAGACAGAATGATTCTCAGAAACTCCTTTGTGATGTGTGAGTTCAACTCACAGAGTTTATCCTTTCTTTTCATAGAGCAGTTAGGAAGCACTCTGTTTGTAAAGTCTGCAAGTGGATATTCAGACCTCTTTCAGGCCTTCGTTGGAAACGGGATTTCTTCATATTCTGCTAGACAGAAGAATTCTCAGTAACTTCCTTGTGTTGTGTGTATTCAACTCACAGAGTTGAACGATCCTTTACACAGAGCAGACTTGAAACACTCTTTCTGTGGAATTTGCAAGTGGAGATTTCAGCCGCTTTGAGGTCAATAGTAGAAAAGGAAATATGCTTCGTAGAAAAACTAGACAGAATGATTCTCAGAAACTCCTTTGTGATGTGTGCGTTCAACTCACAGAGTTTAACCTTTCTTTTCATAGAGCAGTTGGGAAACACTCTGTTTGTAAAGTCTGCAAGTGGATATTCAGACATCCTTGAGGCATTCGTTGGAAACGGGATTTCTTCATATTCTGCTAGAAAGAAGAATTCTCAGTAACTTCCTTGTGTTGTGTGTATTCAACTCACAGAGTTGAACGATCCTTTACACAGAGCAGACTTGAAACATTCTTTTTGTGGAATTTGCAAGTGGAGATTTCAGCCGCTTTGGGGTCAATGGTAGAATAGGAAATATCTTCCTATAGAAACTAGACAGAATGATTCTGAGAAACTCCTTTGTGATGTGTGCGTTCAACTCACAGAGTTTAACCTTTCTTTTCATAGAGCAGTTGGGAAACACTCCGTTTGTAAACTCTGCAAGTGGATATTCAGACCTCCTTTAGGCCTTCGTTGGAAACGGGATTTCTTCATATTATGCTAGACAGAAGAATTCTCAGTAACTTCCTTGTGTTGTGTGTATTCAACTGACAGAGTTGAACTTTCATTTAGAGAGAGCAGATTTGAAACACTGTTTTTCTGGAATTTGCAAGTGGAGATTTCAAGCGCTTTGGGGCCAAAGGCAGAAAAGGAAATATCTTCGTATAAAAACTAGACAGAATCATTCTCAGAATCTGCTGCGTGATGTGTGCGTTCAACTCTCAGAGTTTAACTTTTCTTTTCATTCAGCGGTTTGGAAACACTCTGTTTGTAAAGTCTGCACGTGGATATTTTGACCACTTAGAGGCCTTCGTTGGAAACGGGATTTTTTCATGTAAGGCTAGACAGAAGAATTCCCAGTAACTTCCTTGTGTTGTGTGCATTCAACTCACAGAGTTGAACGTTCCCTTAGACAGAGCAGATTTGAAACACTCTATTTCTGCAATTTGCAAGTGTAGTTTCCAAGCTCTTTAAGGTCAACGGCAGAAAAGGAAATATCTTCGTTTCAAAACTAGACAGAATCATTCCCACAAACTGCGTTGTGATGTGTTCGTTCAACTCACAGAGTTTAACCTTTCTGTTCATAGAGCAGTTAGGAAACACTCTGTTTGTAAAGTCTGTAAGTGGATATTCTGACATCTTGTGGCCTTCGTTGGAAACGGGATTTCTTCATATTCTGCTAGATAGAACAATTCTCAGTAACTTCCTTGTGTTGTGTGTATTCAACACACAGAGTTGAACGATCCTTTACACAGAGCAGACTTGAAACACTCTTTTTGTGGAATTTGCAAGTGGAGATTTCAGCCGCTTTGAGGTCAATGGTAGAATAGGAAATATCTTCCTATAGAAACTAGACAGAATGATTCTCAGAAACTCCTTTGTGATGTGTGCGTTCATCTCACAGAGTTTAACCTTTCTTTTCATAGAGCAGTTGGGAAACACTCTGTTTGTAAAGTCTGCAAGTGGATATTCAGACATCCTTGAGGCTTTCGTTGGAAACGGGATTTCTTCATATTCTGCTAGAAAGAATAATTCTCAGTAACTTCCTTGTGTTGTGTGTATTCAACTCACAGAGTTGAAGGATCCTTTACAGAGAGCAGGCTTGAAACACTCTTTTTGTCGAATTTGCAAGTGGAGATTTCAGCCGCTTTGAGGTCAATGGTAGAATAGGTAATATCTTCTTATAGAAACTAGACAGAATGATTCTCATGAACTCCTTTGTGATGTGTGCGTTCAACTCACAGAGTTTAACCTTTCTTTTCATAGAGCAGTTAGGAAACACTCTGTTTGTAAAGTCTGCAAGTGGATATTCAGACCTCCTTGAGGCCTTCGTTGGAAACGGGATTACTTCATATTCTGCTAGACAGAAGAATTCTCAGTAACTTCCTTGTGTTGTGTGCATTCAACTCACAGAGTTGAATGATCCTTTACACAGAGCAGATTAGAAACACTCTTTTTGAGGAATTTGCAAGTGGAGATTTCAGCCGCTTTGAGGTCAATGGTAGAAAAGGAAATATCTTCGTATAAAAACTAGACAGAATGATTCTCATAAACTCCTTTGTGATGTGCGCATTCAACTCACAGAGTTTCACCTTTCTTTTCATAGAGCAGTTAGGATACACTCTGTTTGTAAAGTCTGCAAGTGGATATTCAGACCTCCTTGAGGCCTTCGTTGGAAACGGGAATTCTTCATATTCTGCTAGACAGAAGAATTCTCAGTAACTTCCCTGTGTTGTGTGTATTCAACTGACAGAGTCGAACTTTCATTTAGAGAGAGCAGATTTGTAACACTGTTTTTGTGGAATTTGCAAGTGGAGATTTCAAGCGCTTTGGGGCCAAAGGTAGAAAAGGAAATATCTTCGTATAAAAACTAGACAGAATCATTCTCAGAAACTGCTCTGCGATGTGTGCGTTCAACTCTCAGAGTTTAACTTTTCTTTTCATTCAGCAGTTTGGAAACACTCTGTTTGTAAAGTCTGCACGTGGATAACTTGACCACTTAGAGGACTTCGTTGGAAACGGGTTTTTTTCCTGTAAGGCTAGACAGAAGAATTCCCAGTAACTTCCTTGTGTTGTGTGCATTCAACTCACTGAGATGAACGTTCCCTTAGACAGAGCAGATTTGAAACACTCTATTTGTGCAATTTGCAAGTGTAGATTTCAAGCGCTTTAAGGTCAATGGCAGAAAAGGAAATATCTTTGTTTCAAAACTAGACAGAATCATTCCCACAAACTGCGTTGTGATGTGTTCGTTCAACTCACAGAGTTTAACCTTTCTGTTCATAGAGCAGTTAGGAAACACTCTGTTTGTAAAGTCTGTAAGTGGATATTCTGACATCTTGTGGCCTTCGTTGGAAACGGGATTTCTTCATATTCTGCGAGACAGAATAATTCTCAGTAACTTCCTTGTGTTGTGTGTATTCAACTCACAGAGTTGAACGATCCTTTACACAGAGCAGACTTGAAACACTCTTTTTGTGGAATTTGCAAGTGGAGATTTCAGCCGCTTTGAGGTCAATGGTAGAATAGGAAATATCTTCCTATGGAAACTAGACAGAATGATTCTCAGAAACTCCTTTGTGATGTGTGTGTTCAACTCACAGAGTTTAACCTTTCTTTTCATAGAACAGTTAGTAAACACTCTGGTTTTAAAGTCTGCAAGTGGATATTCAGACCCCTTTGAGGCCTTCGTTGGAAACAGGATTTCTTCATATTCTGCTAGACAGAATAATTCTCAGTAACTTCCTTGTGTTGTGTGTATTCAACTAACAGAGTTGAACTTTCATTTGGAGAGAGCAGATTTGAAACACTGTTTTTGTGGAATTTGCAAGTGGAGATTTCAAGCGCTTTGGGGCCAAAGGCAGAAAAGGAAATATCTTCGTATAAAAACTAGACAGAATCATTCTCAGAAAATGCTCTGTGATGTGTGCGTTGAACTCTCAGAGTTTAACTTTTGTTTTCATTCAGCAGTTTGGAAATACTCTGTTTGTAAAGTCTGCACGTGGATATTTTGACCACTTAGAGGCCTTATTTGGAAACGGGTTTTTTTCATGTAAGGGTAGACAGAAGAATTCCCAGTAACTTTCCTTGTGTTGTGTACATTCAACTCACAGAGTTGAACGTTCCCTTAGACAGAGCAGATTTGAAACACTCTTTTTGTGCAATTGGCAAGTGGTGATTTCAGCCGCTTTGAGGTCAATGGTAGAAAAGGAAATATCTTCCTATAAAAACTAGACAGAATCATTCCCACAAACTGCGTTGTGATGTGTTCGTTCAACTCACAGAGTTTAACCTTTCTTTTCATAGAGCAGTTAGGAAACAGTCTGTTTGTAAATTCTGTAAGTGGATATTCTGACATCTTGTGGCCTTCGTTGGAAACGGGATTTCTTCATATTCTGCTAGAGAGAATACTTCTCAGTAACTTCCTTGTGTTGTGTGTATTCAACTCACAGAGTTGAAGGATCCTTTACAGAGAGCAGGCTTGAAACACTCTTTTTGTCGAATTTGCAAGTGGAGATTTCAGCCGCTTTGTGGTCAATGGTAGAATAGGAAATATCTTCTTATAGAAACTAGACAGAATGATTCTCAGAAACTTCTTTGTGATGTGTGCGTTCAACTCACAGAGTTTAACCTTTCTTTTCATAGAGCAGTTAGGAAACACTCTGTTTGTAAACTCTGCAAGTGGATATTCAGACCTGTTTGAGGCCTTCGTTGGAAACGGTATTTCTTCATACTATGCTAGACAGAAGAATTCTCAGTAACTTCCTTGTGTTGTGTGTATTCAACTCACAGAGTTGAACGATCCTTTACACAGAGCAGACTTGTAACACTCTTTTTGTGGAATTTGCAAGTGGAGATTTCAGCCGCTTTGAAGTCAAAGGTAGAAAAGGAAATATCTTCCTATAAAAACTAGATAGAATGATTCTGAGAAACTCCTTTGTGATGTCTGCGTTCAACTCACAGAGTTCAACCTTTCTTTTCATAGAGCAGTTAGGAAACACTCTGTTTGTAAAGTCTGCAAGTGGATATTCAGACTTCTTTGAGGCTTTCGTTGGAAACGGGATTTCTTCATATTCTGCTAGACAGAAGAATTCCCAGTAACTTCCTTGTGTTGTGTGTGTTCAACTCACAGAGTTGAACTTTCATTCACACAGAGCAGATTTGAAACACTCTTTTTGTGGAATTTGCAAGTGGAGATTTCAAGCGCTTTGAGGCCAAAGGCAAAAAAGGAAATATCTTCGTATAAAAACTAGACAGAATCATTCTCAGAAACTGCTCTGCGATGTGTGCGTTCAACTCTCAGAGTTTAACTTTTCTTTTCATTCAGCAGTTTGGAAACACTCTGTTTGTAAAGTCTGCACGTGGATATTTTGACCACTTAGGGGCCTTCGTTGGAAACGGGTTTCTTTCCTGTAAGGCTAGACAGAAGAATTCCCAGTAACTTCCTTGTGTTGTGTACATTCAACTCACAGAGTTGAACGTTCCCTTAGACAGAGCAGATTTGAAACACTCTTTTTGTGCAATTGGCAAGTGGAGATTTCAAGCGCTTTGAGGTCAATGGCAGAAAACGAAATATCTTCGTTTCAAAACTAGACAGAATCATTCCCACAATCTGCGTTGTGATGTGTTCGTTCAACTCACAGAGTTTAACCTTTCTTTTCATAGAGCAGTTAGGAAACAGTCTGTTTGTCAATTCTGTAAGTGGATATTCTGACATCTTGTGGCCTTCGTTGGAAACGGGATTTCTTCATATTCTGCTAGACAGAAGAATTCTCAGAAACTTCCTTGTGTTGTGTGTTTTCAACTCACAGATTTGAACGATGCTTTACACAGAGTAGACTTGAAACACTCTTTTTGTGGAATTTGCAAGTGGAGATTTCAGCCGCTTTGAGGTCAATGGTAGAAAAGGAAATATCTTCGTTTAAAAACTAGACAGAATGATTCTCAGAAACTCATTTGTGATGTGTGCGTTCAACTCACAGAGTTTAACCTTTCTTTTCATAGAGCAGTTAGGAAACACTCTGTTTGTAATGTCTGCAAGTGGATATTCAGACCTCTTTGAGGCCTTCGTTGGAAACGGGATTTCTTCATATTACGCTAGACAGAAAAATTCTCAGTAACTTCCTTGTATTCTGTGTATTCAACTCTCAGAGTTGAATGATCCTTTACACAGAGCAGACTTGAAACACTCTTTTTGTGGAATTTGCAAGTGGAGATTTCAGCCGCTTTGTGGTCAATGGTAGAATAGGAAATATCTTCCTATAGAAACTAGACAGAATGATTCTCAGAAACTCCTTTGTGATGTGTGCGTTCAACTCACAGAGTTTAACCTTTCTGTTCATAGAGCAGTTAGGAAACATTCCGTTTGTAAAGTCTGCAAGTGGATATTCAGACCTCTTTGAGGCCTTCGTTGGAAACGGGATTTCTTCATATTATGCTAGACAGAAGAATTCTCAGCAACTTCCTTGTGTTGTGTGTATTCAACTCACAGAGTTGAACGATCCTTTACACAGAGCAGACTTGAAACACTCTTTTTGTGGAATTTGCAAGTGGAGATTTCAGCCGCTTTCAGGTCAATAGTAGAAAAGGAAATATCTTCGTAGAAAAACTAGACAGAATCATTCTCAGAAACTCCTTCGTGATGTGTGCCGTTCAACTCACAGAGTTTAACCTTTCTTTTCATAGAGCAGTTAGGAAACACTCTGTTTATAAAGTCTGCAAGTGGATATTCAGACCTCTTTGAGGCCTTCGTTGGAAACAGGATTTCTTCATATGATGCTAGACAGAAGAATTCTCAGTGACTTCCTTGTGTTGTGTGTATTCAACTCACAGAGTTGAACGATCCTTTACACAGAGCAGACTTGAAACACTCTTTTTGTGGAATTTGCAAGTGGAGATTTCAGCCGCTATGTGGTCAATGGTAGAATAGGAAATATCTTCCTATAGAAACTAGACAGAATGATTCTCAGAAACTCCTTTGTGATGTGTGCCTTCAACTCACAGAGTTTAACCTTTCTTTTCATAGAGCAGTTAGGAAACACTCTGTAAAGTCTGCAAGTGGATATTCAGACCTCTTTGAGGCCTTCGTTGGAAACGGGATTTCTTCATATTCTGCTAGACAGAAGAATTCTCAGTAACTTCCTTGTGTTGTGTGTATTCAACTCACAGAGTTGAACGATCCTTTACACAGAGCAGACTTGAAACACTCTTTTTGTGGAAATTGCAAGTGGAGATTTCAGCCGCTTTGAGGTCAATGGTAGAAAAGGAAATATCTTCGTATAAAAACTGGAGAGAATGATTCTCAGAAACTCCTTTGTGATGTGTGCGTTCAACTCACAGAGTTTAACCTTTCTTTTCGTAGAGCAGTTAGGAAACACTCTGTTTGTAAAGTCTGCAAGTGGATATTCAGACCTCCTTGAGGCCTTCGTTGGAAACGGGATTTCTTCATATTCTGCTCTACAGAAGAATTCTCAGTAACTTCCTTGTGTTGTGTGTATTCAACTCACAGAGTTGAACGATCCTTTACACAGTGCAGACTTGAAACACTCTTTTTGTGGAATTTGCAAGTGGAGATTTCAGCCGCTGTGAGTTCAATGGTAGAATAGGAAATATCTTCCTATAGAAACTAGACAGAATGATTCTCAGAAACTCCTTTGAGATGTGTGTGTTCAACTCACAGAGTTTAACCTTTCTTTTCATAGAGCAGTTAGGAATCACTCTGTTTGTAAAGTCTGCAAGTGGATATTGAGACCTCTTTGAGGCCTTCGTTGGAAACGGGATTTTTTCATATAAGGCTAGACAGAATAATTCTCAGTAACTTCCTTGTGTTGTGTGTATTCAACTCACAGAGTTGAACGATCCTTTACACAGAGCAGACTTGAAACACTCTTTGTGTGGAATTTGCAAGTGGAGATTTCAGCCGCTTTGAGGTCAATGGTAGAATAGGAAATATCTTCCTATAGAAACTAGACAGAATGATTCTCAGAAACTCCTTTGTGATGTGTGCGTTCAACTCACAGAGTTTAACTTTCCTTTTCATAGAGCAGTTAGGAAACACTCTGTTTGTAATGTCTGCAAGTGGATATTCAGACCCCTTTGAGGCCTTCGTTGGAAACGGGATTTCTTCATATTATGCTAGACAGAATAATTCTCAGTAACTTCCTTGTTTTGTGTGTATTCAACTCACAGAGTTGAACGATCCTTTACAGAGAGCAGACTTGAAACACTCTTTTTGTGGAATTTGCAAGTGGAGATTTCAGGCGCTTTGAGGTCAATGGTAGAATAGGAAATATCTTCCTATAGAAACTAGACAGAATGATTCTGAGAAACTCCTTTGTGATGTGTGCGTTCAACTCACACAGTTTAACCTTTCTTATCATAGAGCAGTTAGGAAACACTCTGTTTGTAAAGTCTGCAAGTGGATATTCAGACCTCCTTGAGGCCTTCGTTGGAAACGGGATTTCTTCATATTATGCTAGACATAAGAATTCTCAGTAACTGCCTTGTGTTGTGTGTATTCAACTCACAGAGTTGAACGATCCTTTACACAGGGCAGACTTGAAACACTCTTTTTGTGGAACTTGCAAGTGGAGATTTCAGCCGCTTTGAGGTCAATGGTAGAATAGGAAATATCTTCCTATAGAAACTAGACAGAATGATTCTCAGAAACTCCTTTGTGATGTGTGCGTTCAACTCGCAGAGTTCAACCTTTCTTTTCATAGAGCAGTTGGGAAACACTCTGTTTGTAAAGTCTGCAAGTGGATATTCAGACATCCTTGAGGCTTTCGTTGGAAACGGGTTTTCTTCATATTCTGCTAGAAAGAAGAATTCTCAGTAACTTCCTTGTGTTGTGTGTATTCAACTCACAGAGTTCAACGATCCTTTACACAGAGCAGACTTGAAACACTCTTTTTGGGGAATTTGCAAGTGGAGATTTCAGCCGCTTTGAGGTCAATGGTTGAAAAGGAGATATCTTCGTATAAAAACTAGACAGAATGATTCTCAGAAACTCCTTTGTGATGTGTGCGTTCAACTCACAGAGTATAACCTTTCTTTTCTTAGAGCAGTTAGGAAACACTCTGTTTGTAAAGTCTGCAAGTGGATATTCAGACCTCCTTGAGGCCTTCGTTGGAAACGGGTTTTTTTCATATAAGGCTAGACAGAAGAATTCTCAGTAACTTCCTTGTGTTGTGTGTATTCAACTCACAGAGTTGAACGATCCTTTACACAGAGCAGACTTGAAACTCTCTTTTTGTGGAATTTGCAAGTGGAGATTTCAGCCGCTTTGAGTTCAATGTTAGAATAGGAAATATCTTCCTATAGAAACTAGACAGAATGATTCTCAAAAACTCCTTTGTGATGTGTGCGTTCAACTCACAGAGTTCAACCTTTCTTTTCCTAGAGCAGTTGGGAAACACTCTGTTTGTAAAGTCTGCAAGTGGATATTCAGACTTCTTTGAGGCCTTCGTTGGAAGCGGGATTTCTTCATATTCTGCTAGACAGAAGAATTCTCAGTAACTTCCTTGTGTTGTGTGTATTCAACTGACAGAGTTGAACTTTCATTTGGAGAGAGCAGATTTGAAACACTGTTTTTGTGGAATTTGCAAGTGGAGATTTCAAGCGCTTTGGGGCCAAAGGCAGAAAAGGATATATCTTCGTAGAAAAACTAGACAGAATCATTCTCAGAAACTGCTCTGCAATGTGTGCGTTCAACTCTCAGAGTTTAACTTTGCTTTTCATTCAGCAGTTTGGAAACACTCTGTTTGTAAAGTCTGCACGTGGATATTTTGACCACTTAGAGGCCTTCGTTGGAAACGGGTTTCTTTCCTGTAAGGCTAGACAGAAGAATTCCCAGTAACTTCCTTGTGTTGTGTGCATTCAACTCACAGAGTTGAACGTTGCCTTAGACAGAGCAGATTTGAAACACTCTATTTGTGCAATTTGCAAGTGTAGATTTCAAGCGCTTTAAGGTCAATGGCAGAAAAGGAAATATCTTCGTTTCAAAACTAGACAGAATGATTCTCAGAAACTTCATTGTGATGTGTGCGTTCAACTCACAGAGTTAAACCTTTCTTTTCATAGAGCAGTTGGGAAACAGTCTGTTTGTAAATTCTGTAAGTGGATATTCTGACATCTTGTGGCCTTCGTTGGAAACAGGATTTCTTCATATTCTGCTAGACAGAAGAATTCTCAGAAACTTCCTTGTGTTGTGTGTATTCAACTCACAGAGTTGAACGATCGTTTACACAGAGCAGACTTGAGACACTCTTTTTGTGGAATTTGTAAGTGGAGATTTCAGCCGCTTTGAGGTCATTGGTAGAAAAGGAAATATCTTCATATAAAAACTAGACAGAATGATTCTCATAAACTCCTTTGTGATGTGTGCGTTCAACTCACAGCAGTTTAACTTTTCTTTTCATAGAGCAGTTAGGAAAAACTCTGTTTGTAAAGTCTGCAAGTGGATATTCAGACCTCTTTGAGGCCTTCGTTGGAAACGGGATTTCTTCATATTATGCTAGACAGAAGAATTCTCAGTAACTTCCTTGTGTTGTGTGTATTCAACTCACAGAGTTGAACGATCCTTTACACAGAGCAGACTTGAAACACTCTTTTTGTGGAATTTGCAAGTGGAGATTTCAGCCGCTTTGAGTTCAATTGTAGAATAGGAAATATCTTCCTATAGAAACTAGACAGAATGATTCTCAGAAACTCCTTTGTGATGTGTGCGTTCAACTCACAGAGTTTAACCTTTCTTTTCATAGAGCAGTTAGGAAACACTCTGTTTGTAAAGTCTGCAAGTGGATATTCAGTCTTCTTTGAGGCTTTCGTTGGAAACGGGATTTCTTCATATTCTGCTATACAGAAGAATTCTCAGTAACTTCCTTGTGTTGTGTGCATTCAACTCAGAGAGTTGAACGATCTTTTACACAGAGCAGATTGGACACACTCTTGTTGTGGAATTGCAAGTGGAGATTTCAGCCCCTTTGAGGTCAATGGTAGAAAAGGAAATATCTTTGTATAAAAACAAGACAGAATGATTCTCAGAAACTCCTTTGTGATGTGTGCGTTCAAGTCACAGAGTTTAACCTTTCTTTTCATAGAGCAGTTAGGAAACACTCTGTTTCTAAAGTCTGCAAGTGGATATTCAGACCTCTTTGAGGCCTTCGTTGGAAACGGGATTTCTTCATATTCTGCTAGACAGAAGAATTCTCAGTAACTTCCTTGTGTTGTGTGTATTCAACTCACAGAGTTGAACGATCCTTTATACAGAGCAGACTTGTAACACTCTTTTTGTGGAATTTGCAAGTGGAGATTTCAGCCGCTTTGAAGTCAAAGGTAGAAAAGGAAATATCTTCCTATAAAAACTAGACAGAATGATTCTCAGAAAATCTTTTGTGATGTGTGCGTTTAACTCACAGAGTTTAACTTTTCTTCTCATAGAGCAGTTAGGAAACACTCTGTTTGTAAAGTCTGCAAGTGGATATTCAGACCTCTTTGAGGCCTTCGTTGGAAACGGGATTTCTTCATATTATGCTAGACAGAAGAATTCTCAGTAACTTCCTTGTGTTGTGTGTATTCAACTGACAGAGTTGAACTTTCATTTAGACAGAGCAGATTTGAAACACTCTTCTTGTGGAATTTGCAAATGGAGATTTCAAGCGCTTTGAGGCCAAAAGCAGAAAAGGAAATATCTTCGTATAAAAACTAGACAGAATCATTCTCAGAAACTGCTCTGCGATGTGTGCGTTCAACTCTCAGAGTTTAACTTTTCTTTTCATTCAGCAGTTTGGAAACACTCTGTTTGTAAAGTCTGCACGTGTTTATTTTGACCACTTAGAGGCCTTCGTTGGAAACGGGTTTTTTTCCTGTAAGGCTAGACAGAAGAATTCCCAGTAACTTCCTTGTGTTGTGTGCATTCAACTCACAGAGGTGAACGTTCCCTTAGACAGAGCAGATTTGAAACACTCTATTTGTGCAATTTGCAAGTGTAGATTTCAAGCGCTTTAAGGTCAATGGCAGAAAAGGAAATATCTTCGTTTCAAAACTAGACAGAATCATTCCCACAAACTGCGTTGGGATGTGCTCGTTCAACTCACAGAGTTTAAACTTTCTGTTCATAGAGCAGTTAGGAAACACTCTGTTTGTAAAGTCTGTAAGTGGATATTCTGACATCTTGTGGCCTTTGTTGGAAACGGGATTTCTTCATATTCTGCTAGACAGAAGAATTCTCAGTAACTTCCTTGTGTTGTGTGTTTTCAACTCACAGAGTTGCACGATCCTTTACACAGAGCAGACTTGAAACACTCCTTTTGTGGAATTTGCAAGTGGAGATTTCAGCCGCTTTGAGGTCAATGGTAGAATAGGAAATATCTTCCTATAGAAAGTAGACAGAATGATTCTCAGAAACTCCTTTGTGATGTGTGCGTTCAACTCACAGAGTTTAACTTTTCTTTTCATAGAGCAGTTAGGAAACACTCTGTTTGTAAAGTCTGCAAGTGGATATTCAGACCTCTTTGAGGCCTTCGTTGGAAACGGGATTTCTTCATATTATGCTAGACCGAAGAATTGCCAGTAACTTCCTTGTGTTGTGTGTGTTCAACTCACAGAGTTGAACTTTCATTTACACAGAGCAGATTTGAAACACTCTTTTTGTGGAATTTGCAAATGGAGATTTCAAGCACTTTGAGGCCAAAGGCAGAAAAGGAAATGTCTTCGTTTCAAAACTAGACAGAATCATTCCCAGAAACTGCTCTGCGATGTGTGCGTTCAACTCTCAGAGTTTAACTTTTCTTTTCATTCAGCAGTTTGGAAACACTCTGTTTGTAAAGTCTGCACGTGGATAATTTGACCACTTAGAGGCCTTCGTTGGAAACGGGTTTTTTTCATGTAAGGCTAGACAGAAGAATTCTCAGTAACTTCCTTCTGTTGTGTGTATTCAACTCACAGAGTTGAACGATCCTTTACACAGAGCAGACTTGTAACACTCTTTTTGTGGAATTTGCAAGTGGAGATTTCAGCCGCTTTGAAGTCAAAGGTAGAAAAGGAAATATCTTCCTATAAAAACTAGACAGAATGATTCTCAGAAACTCCTTTGTGATGTGTGCTTTCAACTCACAGAGTTTAACGTTTCTTTTCATAGAGCAGTTAGGAAACACTCTGTTTGTAAAGTCTCCAAGTGGATATTCAGACCTCTTTGAGGCCTTCGTTGGAAACGGGTTTTTTTCATATAAGGCTAGACAGAAGAATTCTCAGTAACTTCCTTGTGTTGCGTGTATTCAACTGACAGAGTTGAACTCTCATTTAGATAGAGCAGATTTTAAACACTGTTTTTGTGGAATTTGCAAGTGTATAT
Source organism: Homo sapiens (assembly GCF_000001405.40). Taxonomy (NCBI): domain Eukaryota; kingdom Metazoa; phylum Chordata; class Mammalia; order Primates; family Hominidae; genus Homo; species Homo sapiens. The sequence continues at coordinate 47,512,110 of NC_000005.10, forward strand.
TTCAACCGCTTTGGGGCCAAATGCAGAAAAGGAAATATCTTCGTATAAAAACTAGACAGAATGATTCTCAGAAACTCCTTTGTGATGTGTGCGTTCAACTCACAGAGTTTATCCTTTCTTTTCATAGAGCAGTTAGGAAACACTCTGTTTGTAAAGTCTGCAAGTGGATATTCAGACATCTTTGAGGCTTTCGTTGGAAACGGGATTTCTTCATATTCTGCTAGACAGAAGAATTCTCAGAAACTTCGTTGTGTTGTGTGTGGTCAACTCACAGAGTTCAACGATCCTTTACACAGAGTAGACTTGAAACACTCTTTTTGTGGAATTGGCAGGGTGGAGATTTCAGCCGCTTTGAGGTCAATTTTAGAAAAGGAAATATCTTCGTATAAAAACTAGACAGAATGATTCTCAGAAACTCCTTTTTGCTGTGTGCGTTCAGCTCACAGAGTTTAACCTTTCTTTTCATAGAGCAGTTAGGAAACACTCTGTTTGTAAAGTCTGCAAGTGGATATTCAGACCTCCTTGAGGCCTTCGTTGGAAACGGGATTTCTTCATATTCTGCTATAGAGAAGAATTCCCAGTAACTTCCTTGTGTTGTGTGTGTTCAACTCACAGAGTTGAACTTTCATTTACACAGAGCAGATTTGAAACACTCTTTTTGTGGAATTTGCAAGTGGAGATTTCAAGCACTTTGAGGCCAAAGGCAGAAAAGGAAATATCTTCGTTTCAAAACTAGACAGAATCATTCTCAGAAACTGCTCTGCGATGTGTGCTTTCAACTCTCAGAGTTTAACTTTTCTTTTCATTCAGCAGTTTGAAAACACTCTGTTTGTAAAGTCTGCACGTGGATAACTTGACCACTTAGAGGCCTTCGTTGGAAACGGGTTTTTTTCATGTAAGGCTAGACAGAAGAATTCCCAGTAACTTCCTTGTGTTGTGTACATTCAACTCACAGAGTTGAACGTTCCCTTAGACAGAGCAGATTTGAAACACTCTTTTTGTGCAATTGGCAAGTGGAGATTTCAAGCGCTTTAAGGTCAATGGCAGAAACGGAAATATCTTCGTTTCAAAACTAGACAGAATCATTCCCACAAACTGCGTTGTGATGTGTTCGTTCAACTCACAGAGTTTAACCTTTCTTTTCATAGAACAGTTAGGAAACAGTCTGTTTGTAAATTCTGTAAGTGGATATTCTGACATCTTGTGGCCTTCGTTGGAAACGGGATTTCTTCATATTCTGCTAGACAGAAGAATTCTCAGTAACTTCCTTGTGTTGTGTGTATTCAACTCACAGAGTTGAACGATCGTTTACACAGAGCAGACTTGAGACACTCTTTTTGTGGAATTTGTAAGTGGAGATTTCAGCCGCTTTGAGGTCAACGGTAGAAAAGGAAATATCTTCATATAAAAACTAGACAGAATGATTCTCAGAAACTTCTTTGTGATGTGTGCGTTCAACTCACAGAGTTTAACCTTTCTTTTCATAGAGCAGTTAGGAAACACTCTGTTTGTAAACTCTGCAAGTGGATATTCAGACCTGTTTGAGGCCTTCGTTGGAAACGGGATTTCTTCATATTATGCTAGACAGAAGAATTATCAGAAACTTCCTTGTGTTGTGTGTATTCAACTCAAAGAGTTGAACGATCCTTTACACAGTGCAGACTTGAAACACTCTTTTTGTGGAATTTGCAAGTGGAGATTTCAGCCGCTTTGAGGTCAATGGTAGAATAGGAAATATCTTCCTATAGGAACTAGACAGAACGATTCTCAGAAACTCCTTTGTGATGTGTGCGTTCAACTCACAGAGTTTAACCTTTCTTTTCATAGAGCAGTTAGGAAACACTCTGTTTGTAAAGTCTGCAAGTGGATATTCAGACCTGTTTGAGGCCTTCGTTGGAAACGGGATTTCTTCATATTCTGCTAGACAGAAGAATTCCCAGTAACTTCCTTGTGTTGTGTGTGTTCAACTCACAGAGTTGAACTTTCATTTACAAAGAGCAGATTTGAAACACTCTTTTTGTGGAATTTGCAGGTGGAGATTTCAAGCGCTTTGAGGCCAAAGGCAGAAAAGGAAATATCTTCGTATAAAAACTAGACAGAATCATTCTCAGAAACTGCTCTGCGATGTGTGCGTTCAACTCTCAGAGTTTAACTTTTCGTTTCATTCAGCAGTTTGGAAACACTCTGTTTGTAAAGTCTGCACGTGGATATTTTGACCACTTAGAGGCCTTCGTTGGAAACGGGTTTTTTTCATGTAAGGCTAGACAGAAGAATTCTCAGTAACTTCCTTGTGTTGTGTGTATTCAACTCACAGATTTGAACGATCCTTTACACAGAGCAGACTTAAAACACTCTTTTTGTGGAATTTGCAAGTGGAGATTTCAGCCGCTTTGAGGTCAATGTTAGAAAAGGAAACTATCTTCGTATAAAAACTAGACAGAATGATTCTCATAAACTCCTTTGTGATGTGTGCGTTCAACTCACAGAGTTTAACTTTTCTTTTCATAGAGCAGTTAGGAAACACTCTGTTTGTAAAGTCTGCAAGTGGATATTCAGACCTGTTTGAGGCCTTCGTTGGAAACGGGATTTCTTCATATTCTGCTAGACAGAAGATTTCCCAGTAACTTCCTTGTGTTGTGTGTGTTCAACTCACAGAGTTGAACTTTCATTTACACAGAGCAGATTTGAATCACTCTTTTTGTGGAATTTGCAAATGGAGATTTCAAGCGCTTTGAGGCCAAAGGCAGAAAAGGAAATATCTTCGTATAAAAACTAGACAGAATCATTCTCAGAAACCGCTCTGTGATGTGTGCGTTCAACTCTCAGAGTTTAACTTTTCTTTTCATTCAGCAGTTTGGAAACACTCTGTTTGTAAAGTCTGCACGTGGATATTTTGACCACTTAGAAGCCTTCGTTGGAGACAGGTTTTTTTCATGTAAGGCTAGACAGAAGAATTCTCAGTAACTTCCTTGTGTTGTGTGTATTAAACTCACAGAGTTGAACGATCCTTTACACAGAGCAGACTTGAAACACTCTTTTTGTGGAATTTGCAAGTGGAGATTTCAGCCGCTTTGAGGTCAATGGTAGAATAGGAAATATCTTCCTATAGAAAATAGACACAATGATTCTCAGAAACTCCTTTGTGATGTGTGCGTTCAACTCACACAGTTTAACCTTTCTTTTCATAGAGCAGTTAGGAAACACTCTGTTTGTAAAGTCTGCAAGTGGATATTCAGACCTCCTTGTGGCCTTCGTTGGAAACGGGATTTCTTCCTATTATGCTAGACAGAAGAATTCTCAGTAACTTCCTTGTGTTGTGTGTATTCAACTCACAGAGTTGAACGATCCTTTACACAGAGCAGACTTGAAACACTCTTTTTGTGGAATTTGCATGTGGAGATTTCAGCCGCTTTGAGTTCAATGGTAGAATAGGAAATATCTTCTTATAGAAACTAGACAGAATGATTCTCAGAAACTGCTTTGTGATGTGTGTGTTCAACACACAAGGTTTAACCTTTCTTTTCATAGAGCAGTTAGGAAACACTCTGTTTGTAAAGTCTGCAACTGGATATTCAGACATCCTTGAGGCTTTCGTTGGAAACGGGATTTCTTCATATTCTGCTAGAAAGAAGAATTCTCAGTAACTTCCTTGTGTTGTGTGTATTCAACTCACAGAGTTGAACGATCCTTTACACAGAGCAGACTTGAAACACTCTTTTTGTGGATATTTGCAAGTGGAGATTTCAGCCGCTTTGAGGTCAATGTTAGAAAAGGAAATATCTTCGTATAAAAACTAGACAGAATGATTCTGAGAAACTCCTTTGTGATGTGTGCGTTCAACTCACAGAGTTTAACCTTTCTTTTCATAGAGCAGTTAGGAAACACTCTGTTTGTAAAGTCTGCAAGTGGATATTCAGACCTCCTTGAGGCCTTCGTTGGAAACTGCATTTCTTCATATTCTGCTATACAGAAGAATTCTCAGTAACTTCCTTGTGTTGTGTGTATTCAACTCACAGATTTGAACGATCCTTTACACAGAGCAGACTTGAAACACTCTTTTTGTGGAATTTGCAAGTGGAGATTTCAGCCTCTTTGTGGTCAATGGTAGAATAGGAAATATATTCCTATAGAAACTAGACAGAATCATTCTCAGAAACTGCTGCGTGATGTGTGCGTTCAACTCTCAGAGTTTAACTTTTCTTTTCATTCAGCGGTTTGGAAACACTCTGTTTGTAAAGTCTGCACGTGGAACTTTTGACCACTTAGAGGCCTTCGTTGGAAACGGGTTTTTTTCATGTAAGGCTAGACAGAAGAATTCCCAGTAACTTCCTTGTGTTGTGTGCATTCAACTCACAGAGTTGAACGTTCCCTTAGACAGAGCAGATTTGAAACACTCTATTTGTGCAATTTGCAAGTGTAGTTTTCAAGCTCTTTTAGGTCAACGGCAGAAAAGGAAATATCTTGGTTTCAAAACTAGACAGAATCATTCCCACAAACTGCGTTGTGATGTGTTCGTTCAACTCACAGAGTTTAACCTTTCTGTTCATAGAGCAGTTAGGAAACACTCTGTTTGTAAAGTCTGTAAGTGGATATTCTGACATCTTGTGGCCTTCGTTGGGAACGGGATTTCTTCATATTCTGCTAGACAGAAGAATTCTCAGTAACTTCCTTGTGTTGTGTGTATTCAACTCACAGAGTTGAACGATCCTTTACACAGAGCAGACTTGAAACATTCTTTTTGTGGAATTTGCAAGTGGAGATTTCAGCCGCTTTGAGGTCAATGGTGGAATAAGAAATATCTTCCTATAGAAACTAGACAGAATGATTCTCAGAAACTCCTTTGTGATGTGTGCGTTCAACTCACAGAGTTTAACCTTTGTTTTCATAGAGCAGTTAGGAAACACTCTGTTTGTAAAGTCTGCAGGTGGATATTCAGACATCTTTGAGGCTTTCGTTGGAAACGGGATTTCTTCATATTCTGCTATACAGAAGAATTCCCAGTAACTTCTTTGTGTTGTGTGTGTTCAACTCACAGAGATGAACTCTCATTTACACAGAGCAGATTTGAAACTCTCTTTTTGTGGAATTTGCAAATGGAGATTTCAAGCGCTTTGAGGCCAAAGGCAGAAAAGGAAATATCTTCGTATAAAAACTAGGCAGAATCATTCTCAGAAACTGCTCTGCGATGTGTGCGTTCAACTCTCAGAGTTTAACTTTTCTTTTCATTCAGCAGTTTGGAAACACTCTGTTTGTAAAGTCTGCACTTGGATAATTTGACCACTTAGAGGCCTTTGTTGGAAACGGGTTTTTTTCATGTAAGGCTAGACAGAAGAATTCTCAGAAACTTCGTTGTGTTGTGTGTTTTCAACTCACAGAGTTGAACGATCCTTTACACAGCGTAGACTTGAAACACTCTTTTTGTGGAATTTGCAAGTGGAGATTTCATCCGCTTTGAGGTCAATGGTAGAAAAGGAAATATCTTCGTATAAAAACTAGACAGAATGATTCTCAGAAACTCCTTTGTGATGTGTGCGTTGAACTCACAGAGTTTAACCTTTCTTTTCATAGAGCAGTTAGGAAACACTCTGTTTGTAAAGTCTGCAAGTGGATATTCAGACCTCTTTGAGGCCTTCGTTGGAAACGGTTTTTTTTCATATAAGGCTAGACAGAAGAATTCTCAGTAACTTCCTTGTGTTTTGTGTATTCAACTGACAGAGTTGAACTTTCATTTAGAGAGAGCAGATTTGAAACACTGTTTTTGTGGAATTTGCAATTGGAGATTTCAAGCGCTTTGGGGCCAAAGGCAGAAAAGGAAATATCTTCGTATAAAAACTAGACAGAATCATTCTCAGAAACTGCTCTGCGATGTGTGCGTTCAACTCTCAGAGTTTAACTTTTCTTTTCATTCAGCAGTTTGGAAACACTCTGTAAAGTCTGCACGTGGATATTTTGACCATTTAGAGGCTTTCGTTGGAAACGGGTTTTTTTTTGTAAGGCTAGACAGAAGAATTCCCAGGAACTTCCTTGTGTTGCGTACATTCAACTCACACATTTGAACGTTCCCTTAGACAGAGTAGATTTGAAATACTCTTTTTCTGCAATTGGCAAGTGGTGATTTCAGCCGCTTTGAGGTCAATGGTAGAAAAGGAAATATCTTCGTATAAAAACTAGACAGAATCATTCCCACAAACTGCGTTGTGATGTGTTCGTTCAACTCACAGAGTTTAACCTTTCTGTTCATAGAGCAGTTAGGAAACACTCTGTTTGTAAAGTCTGAAAGTGGATATTCTGACATCTTGTGGCCTTCGATGGAAACGGGATTTCTTCATATTCTGCTAGACAGAAGAATTCTCAGAAACTTCCTTGTGTTGTGTGTATTCAACTCACAGAGATGAACGATCCTTTACACAGAGCAGACTTGAAACACTCTTTTTGTGGAATTTGCAAGTGGAGATTTCAGCCGCTTTGAGGTCCATGGTAGAAAAGGAAATATCTTCGTATAAAAACTAGACAGAATGATTCTCAGAAACTCCTTTGTGATGTGTGCGTTCAACTCACAGAGTTCAACCTTTCTTTTCATAGAGCAGTTAGGAGACACTCTGTTTGTAAAGTCTGCAAGTGGATATTCAGACCTCTTTGAGGCCTTCGTTGGAAACGGGTTTTCTTCATATTCTGCTAGAGAGAAGAATTCCCAGTAACTTCCTTGTGTTGTGTACATTCAACTCACAGAGTTGAACGTTCCCTTAGACAGAGCAGACTTGTAACACTCTTTTTGTGGAATTTGCAAGTGGAGATTTCAGCAGCTTTGAAGTCAAAGGTAGAAAAGGAAATATCTTCCTATAAAAACTTGACAGAATGATTCTCAGAAACTCCTTTGTGATGTGTGCGTTCAACTCACAGAGTTTAACCTTTCTTTTCATAGAGCAGTTAGGAAACACTCTATTTGTAAATTCTGCAAGTGGATATTCAGACCTCCTTAAGGCCTTCGTTGGAAACGGGATTTCTTCATATTATGCTAGACAGAAGAATTCCCAGTAACTTCCTTGTGTTGTGTGTGTTCAACTCACAGAGTTGAACTTTCATTTACACAGAGCAGATTTGAAACACTCTTTTTGTGGAATTTGAAATGGAGATTTCAAGCGCTTTGAGGCCAAAGGCAGAAAAGGAAATATCTTCGTATAAAAACGAGACAGAATCATTCTCAGAAACTGCTCTGCGATGTGTGCGTTCAACTCTCAGAGTTTAACTTTTCTTTTCATTCAGAAGTTTGGAAACACTCTGTTTGTAAAGTCTGCACGTGGATAACTTGACCACTTAGAGGCCTTCGTTGGAAACGGGTTTTTTTCATGTAAGTCTAGACAGAAGAATTCCCAGTAACTTCCTTGTGTTGTGTACATTCAACTCACAGAGTTGAACGTTCCCTTAGACAAAGCAGATTTGAAACACTCTTTTTGTGCAATTGGCAAATGGAGATTTCAAGCGCTTTAAGGTCAATGGCAGAAAAGGAAATATCTTCGTTTCAAAACTAGACAGAATCATTCCCACAAACTGCGTTGTGATGTGTTCATTCAACTCACAGAGTTTAACCTTTCCGTTCATAGAGCAGTTAGGAAACACACTGTTTGTAAAGTCTGTAAGTGGATATTCTGACATCTTGTGGCCTTCGTTGGAAACGGGATTTCTTCATATTCTGCTAGACAGAAGAATTCTGAGAATCTTCCTTGTGTTGTGTGTATTCAACTCACAGAGTTGAACGATCCTTTACACAGAGCAGACTTGAAACACTCTTTTTGTGGAATTTGCAAGTGGAGATTTCAGCCGCTTTGAGGTCCATGGTAGAAAAGGAAATATCTTCGTATAAAAACTAGACAGAATGATTCTCAGAAAATCCTTTGTGATGTGTGCGTTCAACTCACAGAGTTTAACTTTTCTGTTCATAGAGCAGTTAGGAAACACTCTGTTTGTAAAGTCTGCAAGTGGATATTCAGACCTCTTTGAGGCCTTCGTTGGAAACGTTATTTCTTCATATTATGCTAGACAGAAGAATTCTCAGTAACTTCCCTTGTGTTGTGTGTATTCAACTCACAGAGTTGAACGGTCCTTTACACAGAGCAGACTTGAAACACTCTTTTTGTTGAATTTGCAAGTGGAGATTTCAGCCGCTTTGAGGTCAATGGTAGAATAGGAAATATCTTCCTATAGAAACTAGACAGAATGATTCTCAGAAACTCCTTTGTGATGTGTGTGTTCAACTCACAGAGTTTAACCTTTCTTTTCATAGAACAGTTAGGGAACACTCTGTTTGTAAAGTCTGCAAGTGGATATTCAGACCTCTTTGAGGCCTTCGTTGGAAACACGTTTTTTTAATCTAAGGCTAGACAGAAGAATTCCCAGTAACTTCCTTGTGTTGTGTGTGTTCAACTCACAGAGTTGAACTTTCATTTACACAGAGCAGATTTGAAACACTCTTTTTGTGGAATTTGCAGATGGAGATTTCAAGCGCTTTGAGGCCAAAGGCAGAAAAGGAAATATCTTCGTATAAAAACTAGACAGAATCATTCTCAGAAACTGCTCTGTGATGTGTGCGTTCAACTCTCAGAGTTTAACTTTTCTTTTCATTCAGCAGTTTGGAAACACTCTGTTTGTAAAGTCTGCACGTGGATAATTTGACCACTTAGAGGCCTTCGTTGGAAACGGGTTTTTTTCATGTAAGGCTAGACAGAATAATTCTCAGTAACTTCCTTTTGTTGTGGGTATTCAACTCAGAGTTGTACGATCCTTTACAGAGAGCAGACTTGAAACACTCTTTTTGTGGAATTTGCAAGTGGAGATTTCAGCCGCTTTGAGGTCAATGGTAGAATAGGAAATATCTTCCTATAGAAACTAGACAGAATGATTCTCAGAAACTCCTTTGTGATGTGTGCGTTCAACTCACAGAGTTTAACCTTTCTTTTCGTAGAGCAGTTAGGAAACACTCTGTTTGTAAAGTCTGCAAGTGGATATTCAGACCTCCTTGAGGCCTTCGTTGGAAATGGGATTTCTTCATATTCTGCTAGACAGAAGAATTCTCACTAACTTCCTTGTGTTGTGTGTATTCAACTCACAGAGTTGAACGATCCTTTACACAGAGCAGACTTGAAACACTCTTTTTGTGGAATTTGCAAGTGGAGATTTCAGCCGCTTTGAGGTCAACGGTAGAAAAGGAAATATCTCCGTATAAAGACTAGACAGAATCATTCTCAGAAACTGCTCTGCGATGTGTGCGTTCAACTCTCAGAGTTTAACTTTTCTTTTCATTCAGCAGTTTGGAAACACTCTGTTTGTAAAGTCTGCACGTGGATATTTTGACCATTTAGAGGCCTTCGTTGGAAACGGGTTTTTTTCATGTAAGGCTAGACAGAAGAATTCCCAGTAACTTCCTTGTGTTGTGTACATTCAACTCACAGAGTTGAACGTTCCCTTAGACAGAGCAGATTTGAAACACTCTTTTTGTGCAATTGGCAAGTGGTGATTTCAGCCGCTTTGAGGTCAATGGTAGAAAAGGAAATATCTTCCTATAAAAACTAGACAGAATCATTCCCACAAACTGCGTTGTGATGTGTTCGTTCAACTCACAGAGTTTAACCTTTCTGTTCATAGAGCAGTTAGGAAACACTCTGTTTGTAAAGTCTGCAAGTGGATATTCAGACCTCCTTGAGGCCTTCGTTGGAAACGGGATTTCTTCATATTACTGCTAGACAGAATAATTCTCAGTAACTTCCTTGTGTTGTGTGTATTCAACTCACAGAGTTGAAGGATCCTTTACAGAGAGCAGGCTTGAAACACTCTTTTTGTCGAATTTGCAAGTGGAGATTTCAGCCGCTTTGTGGTCAATGGTAGAAAAGTAAATATCTTCCTATAAAGACTAGACAGAATGATTCTCAGAAACTCCTTTGTGATGTGTGCGTTCAACTCACAGAGTTTAACCTTTCTTTTCATAGAGCAGTTAGGAAACACTCTGTTTGTAAAGTCTGCAAGTGGATATTCAGACAACTTTGAGGCCTTCGTTGGAAACGGGATTTCTTCATGTTCTGCTAGACAGAAGAATTCCCAGTAACTTTCCTTGTGTTGTGTGTGTTCAACTCACAGAGTTGAACTCTCATTTACACAGAGCAGATTTGAAACACTCTTTTTGTGGAATTTGCAAGTGGAGATTTCAAGCGCTTTGAGGCCAAAGGCAGAAAAGGAAATATCTTCGTATAAAAACTAGACAGAATCATTCTCAGAAACTGTTGCGTGATGTGTGCGTTCAACTCTCAGAGTTTAACTTTTCTTTTCATTCAGCGGTTTGGAAACACTCTGTTTGTAAAGTCTGCACGTGGATATTTTGACCACTTAGAGGCCTTCGTTGGAAACGGGTTTTTTTTCATGTAAGGCTAGACAGAAGAATTCCCAGTAACTTCCTTGTGTTGTGTGCATTCAACTCACAGAGTTGAACGTTCCCTTAGACAGACCAGATTTGAAACACTCTATTTGTGCAATTTGCAAGTGTAGATTTCAAGCGCTTTGAGGTCAATGGCAGAAAAGGAAATATCTTCGTTTCAAAACTAGACAGACAATCATTCTCACAAACTACGTTGTGATGTGTTCGTTCAACTCACAGAGTTTAAACTTTCTGTTCATAGAGCAGTTAGGAAACATTCTGTTTGTAAAGTCTGTAAGTGGATATTCTGACATCTTGTGGCCTTCGTTGGAAACGGGATTTCTTCATATTCTGCTAGACAGAAGAATTCTCAGTAACTTCCTTGTGTTGTGTGTATTCAACTCACAGAGTTGAACGATCCTTTACACAGAGCAGACTTGAAACACTCTTTTTGTGGAATTTGCAAGTGGAGATTTCTGCCGCTTTGAGGTCAATGGTAGAATAGGAAATATCTTCGTATAAAAACTAGACAGAATGATTCTCAGAAACTCCTTTGTGCTGTGTGTGTTCAACTCACAGAGTTTAACCTTTCTTTTCATAGAGCAGTTAGGAAACACTCTGTTTGTAAAGTCTGCAAGTGGATATTCAGACCTCTTTGAGGCCTTCGTTGGAAACGGGTTTTTTTCATATAAGGCTAGACAGAAGAATTCTCAGTAACTTCCTTGTGTTGTGTGTATTCAACTGACAGAGTTGAACTTTCCTTTAGAGAGAGCAGATTTGAAACACTGTTTTTGTGGAATTTGCAAGTGGAGATTTCAAGCGCTTTGGGGCCAAAGGCAGAAAAGGAAATATCTTCGTATAAAAACTAGACAGAATCATTCTCAGAAACTGCTCTGCGATGTGTGCGTTCAACTCTCAGAGTTTAACTTTTCTTTTCATTCAGCAGTTTGGAAACACTCTGTTTGTAAAGTCTGCACGTGGATATTTGACCACTTAGAGGCCTTCGTTGGAAACGGGTTTTTTTCCTGTAAGGCTAGACAGAATAAATCCCAGTAACTTCCTTGTGTTGTGTGCATTCAACTCACAGAGTTGAACGTTCCCTTAGACAGAGCAGATTTGAAACATTCTATTTGTGTAATTTGCAAGTGTAGATTTCAAGCGCTTTAAGGTCAATGGCAGAAAAGGAAATATCTTCGTTTCAAAACTAGACAGAATCATTCCCACAAACTGCGTTGTGATGTGTTCGTTCAACTCACAGAGTTTAACCTTTCTGTTCATAGAGCAGTTAGGAAACACTCTGTTTGTAAAGTCTGTAAGTGGATATTCTGACATCTTGTGGCCTTCGTTTTAAACGGGATTTCTTCATATTCTGCTAGACAGAAGAATTCTCAGTAACTTCTTTGTGTTGTGTGTATTCAACTCACAGAGTTGAACGATCCTTTACACAGAGCAGACTGGAAACACTCTTTTTGTGGAATTTGCAAGTGGAGATTTCAGCCGCTTTGAGGTCAATGTTAGAATAGGAAATATCTTCCTATAGAAACTAGAGAGAATGATTCTCATAAACTCCTTTGTGATGTGTGCGTTCAACTCACAGAGTTTAACCTTTCTTTTCATAGAGCAGTTAGGAAACACTCTGTTTGTAAATTCTGCAAGTGGATATTCAGACCTCCTTGAGGCCTTCGTTGGAAACGGGATTTCTTCATATTCTGCTAGACAGAAAAATTCTCAGTAACTTCCTTGTGTTGTGTGTATTCAACTCACAGAGTTGAACGATCCTTTACACAGAGCAGACTTGAAACGCTCTTTTTGTGGAATTTGCAAGTGGAGATTTCAGCCGCGTTGAGGTCAATGGTAGAAAAGGAAATATCTTCGTATAAAAACTAGACAGAATGATTCTCAAAAACTCCTTTGTGATGTGTGCGTTCAACTCACAGAGTTTAACCTTTCTGTTCATAGAGCAGTTAGGAAACACTCTGTTTGTAAAGTCTGCAAGTGGATATTCAGACCTCCTTGAGGCCTTCTTTGGAAACGGGATTTCTTCATATTCTGATAGACAGAAGAATTCTCAGTAACTTCCTTGTGTTGTGTGTATTCAACTCAAAGAGTTGAACGATCCTTTACACAGAGCAGACTTGAAACACACTTTTTGTGGAATTTGCAAGTGGAGATTTCAGCCGCTTTGAGGTCAAAGGTAGAAAAGGAAACTATGTTCGTATAAAGAGTAGACAGAATGATTCTGAGAAACTCCTTTGTGATGTGGCGTTCAACTCACAGAGTTTAACCTTTCTTTTCATAGAGCAGTTAGGAAACACTCTGTTTGTAACGTCTGCAAGTGGATATTCAGACCTCCTTGAGGCCTTCGTTGGAAACGGGTTTTCTTCATATTATGCTAGACAGAAGAATTCTCATTAACTTCCTTGTGTTGTGTGTATTCAACTCACAGAGTTGAACGATCCTTTACACAGAGCAGACTTGAAACACTCTTTTTGTGGAATTTGCAAGTGGAGATTTCAGCCGCTTTGAGTTCAATGGTAGAATAAGAAATATCTTCCTATAGAAACTATACAGAATGATTCTCAGAAACTCCTTTGTGATGTGTGCATTCAACTCACAGAGTTTAACCTTTCTTTTAATAGAGCAGTTAGGAAACACTCTGTTTGTAAAGTCTGCAAGTGGATATTCAGACCTCCTTGAGGCCTTCGTTGGAAACGGGATTTCTTCATATTATGCTAGACAGAAGAATTCTCAGTAACTTCCTTGTGTTGTGTGTATTCAACTGACAGAGTTGAACTTTCATGTAGAGAGAGCAGATTTGAAACACTGTTTTTGTGGAATTTGCAAGTGGAGATTTCAAGCGCTTTGGGGCCAAACGCAGAAAAGGAAATATCTTCGTATAAAACTAGACAGAATCATTCTCAGAAACTGCTCTGCGATGTGTGCGTTCAACTCTCAGAGTTTAACTTTTCTTTTCATTCAGCAGTTTGGAAACACTCTGTTTGTAAAGTCTGCACGTGGATATTTTGACCACTTAGAGGCCTTCGTTGGAAACGGGTTTTTTTCCTGTAAGGCTAGAAAGAAGAATTCCCAGTAACTTCCCTTGTGTTGTGTACATTCAACTCACAGAGTTGAACGTTACCTTAGACAGAGCAGATTTGAAACACTCTTTTTGTGCAATTGGCAAATGGAGATTTCAAGCGCTTTAAGGTCAATGGCAGAAAAGGAAATATCGTCGTTTCAAAACTAGACAGAATCATTCCCACAAACTGCGTTGTGATGTGTTCGTTCAACTCACAGAGTTTAACCTTTCTTTTCATAGAGCAGTTAGGAAACAGTCTGTTTGTCAATTCTGTAAGTGGATATTCTGACATCTTGTGGCCTTCGTTGGAAACGGGATTTCTTCATATTCTCCTAGACGGAAGAATTCTCAGTAACTTCCTTGTGTTTTGTGTATTCAACTCACAGAGTTGAATGATCCTTTACGCAGAACAGACTTGAAACACTCTTTTTGTGGAATTTGCAAGTGGAGATTTCAGCCGCTTTGAGGTCAATGGTAGAAAAGGAAATATATTCGTATAAAAACTAGACAGAATGATTCTCAGAAACTTCTTTGTGATGTGTGCGCTCAACTCACAGAGTTTAACCTTTCTTTTCATAGAGCAGTTAGGGAACACTCTGTTTGTAAAGTCTGCAAGTGGATATTCAGACCTCTTTGAAGCCTTCGTTGGAAACGGGATTTCTTCATATTATGCTAGACAGAAGAATTCTCAGTAACTTCCTTGTGTTGTGTGTATTCAACTCACAGAGTTCAACGATCCGTTACACAGAGCAGACTTGAAACACTCTTTTTGTGGAATTTGCAAGTGGAGATTTCTGCCGCTTTGAGGTCAATGGTAGACAAGGAAATATCTTCGTATAAAAACTAGACAGAATCATTCTCAGAAACTGCTCTGCGATGTGTGCGTTCAACTCTCAGAGTTTAACTTTTCTTTTCATTCAGCAGTTTGGAAACACTCTGTTTGTAAAGTCTGCACGTGGATATTTTGACCACTTAGAGGCCTTCGTTGGAAACGGGTTTTTTTCCTGTAAGGCTAGACGGTAGAATTCCCAGTAACTTTCCTTGTGTTGTGTACATTCAACTCACAGAGTTGAACGTTTCCTTAGAGAGAGCAGATTTGAAACACTCTTTTTGTGCAATTGGCAAGTGGTGATTTCAGCCGCTTTGAGGTCAATGGTAGAAAAGGAAATATCTTCGTATAAAAACTAGACAGAATCATTCCCACAAACTGCGTTGTGATGTGTTCGTTCAACTCACAGAGTTTAACCTCTCCGTTCATAGAGCAGTTAGGAAACACACTGTTTGTAAAGTCTGTAAGTGGATATTCTGACATCTTGTGGCCTTCGTTGGAAACGGGATTTCTTCATATTCTGCTAGACAGAAGAATTCTCAGAATCTTCCTTCTGTTGTGTGTATTCAACTCACAGAGTTGAACGATCCTTTACACAGAGCAGACTTGAAACACTCTTTTTGTGGAATTTGCAAGTGGAGATTTCAGCCGCTTTGAGGTCCATGGTAGAAAAGGAAATATCTTCGTATAAAAACTAGACAGAATGATTCTCAGAAAATCTTTTGTGATGTGTGCGTTCAACTCACAGAGTTTAACTTTTCTTCTCGTAGAGCAGTTAGGAAACACTCTGTTTGTAAAGTCTGCAAGTGGATATTCAGACCTCTTTGAGGTCTTCGTTGGAAACGGGATTTCTTCATATTATGCTAGACAGAAGAATTCTCAGTAACTTCCTTGTGTTGTGTGTATTCAACTCACAGAGTTGAACGACCCTTTACACAGAGCAGACTTGTAACACTCTTTTTGTGGAATTTGCAAGTGGAGATTTCAGCCGCTTTCAAGTCAAAGGTAGAAAAGGAAATATCTTCCTATAAAAACTAGACAGAACGATTCTCAGAAACTCCTTTGTGATGTGTGCGTTCAACTCACAGAGTTTAACTTTTCTTTTCATAGAGCCATTAGGAAACACTCTGTTTGTAAAGTCTGCATGTGGATATTCAGACCTCCTAGAGGCCTTCGTTGGAAACGGGATTTCTTCATATTCTGCTAGACAGAAGAATTCCCAGTAACTTCTTTCTGTTGTGTGTGTTCAACTCACAGAGTTGAACTTTGATTTACACAGAGCAGATTTGAAACACTCTTTTTGTGGAATTTGCAAGTGGAGATTTCAAGCGCTTTGAGGCCAAAGGCAGAAAAGGAAATATCTTCGTATAAAAACTAGACAGAATCATTCTCAGAAACTGCTGCGTGATGTGTGCGTTCAACTCTCAGAGTTTAACTTTTCTTTTCATTCAGCGGTTTGGAAACACTCTGTTTCTAAAGTCTGCACGTGGATATTTTGACCACTTAGACGCCTTCGTTGGAAACGGGTTTTTTTCATGTAAGGCTAGACAGAAGAATTCCCAGTAACTTCCTTGTGTTGTGTACATTCAACTCACAGAGTTGAACGTTCCCTTAGACAGAGCAGATTTGAAACACTCTTTTTGTGCAATTGGCAAGTGGTGATTTCAGCCGCTTTGAGGTCAATGGTAGAAAAGGAAATATCTTCGTATAAAAACTAGACAGAATCATTCCCACAAACTGCGTTGTGATGTGTTCGTTCAACTCACAGAGTTTAACCTTTCTTTTCATAGACCAGTTAGGAAACAGTCTGTTTGTAAATTCTGTAAGTGGATATTCTGACATCTTGTGGCCTTCGTTGGAAACGGGATTTCTTCATATTCTGCTAGACAGAAGAATTCTCAGTAACTTCCTTGTGTTGTGTGTATTCAACTCACAGAGTTGAACGATCCTTTACACAGAGCAGACTTGTAACACTCTTTTTGTGGAATTTGCAAGTGGGGATTTCAGCCGCTTTGAAGTCAAAGGTAGAAAAGGAAATATCTTCCTATAAAAACTAGACAGAATGATTCTCAGAAACTCCTTTGTGATGTGTGTGTTCAACTCACAGAGTTTAACCTTACTTTTCATAGAGCAGTTAGGAAACACTCTGTTTGTAAAGTCTGCAAGTGGATATTCAGACCTCTTTGAGGCCTTCGTTGGAAACGGGTTTTTTTCATATAAGGCTAGACAGAAGAATTCCCAGTAACTTCCTTGTGTTGTGTGTGTTCAACTCACAGAGTTGAACTTTCATTTACACAGAGCAGATTTGAAACACTCTTTTTGTGGAATTTGCAAGTGGAGATTTCAAGCGCTTTGAGGCCAAAGGCAGAAATGGAAATATCTTCGTTTCAAAACTAGACAGAATCATTCTCAGAAACTGCTCTGCGATGTGTGCATTCAACTCTCAGAGTTTAACTTTTCTTTTCATTCAGCAGTTTGGAAACACTCTGTTTGTAAAGTCTGCACGTGGATATTTTGACCACTTAGAGGCCTTCTTTGGAAACGGGTTTTTTTCCTGTAAGGCTAGACAGAAGAATTCCCAGTAACTTCCTTGTGTTGTGTGCATTCAACTAACAGAGTTGAACGTTCCCTTAAACAGAGCAGATTTGAAACACTCTATTTGTGCAATTTGCAAGTGTAGATTTCAAGCGCTTTAAGGTCAACGGCAGAAAAGGAAATATCTTCGTTTCAAAACTAGACAGAATCATTCCCACAAACTGCGTTGTGATGTGTTCGTTCAACTCACAGAGTTTAACCATTCTTTTCATAGAGCAGTTAGGAAACAGTCTGTTTGAAAATTCTGTAAGTGGATATTCTGACATCTTGTGGCCTTCGTTGGAAACGGGATTTCTTCATATTCTGCTAGACAGAAGAATTCTCAGTAACTTCCTTGTGTTGTGTGTATTCAACTCACAGAGTTGAACGATCCTTTACACAGAGCAGACTTGAAACACTCTTTTTGTGGAATTTGCAAGTGGAGATTTCAGCCGCTTTGAGGTCAATGGTAGAAAAGGAAATATCTTTGTATAAAGACTAGACAGAATGATTCTCAGAAACTCCTTTGTGATGTGTGCGTTCAACTCACAGAGTTCAACTTTTCTTTTCATAGAGCAGTTAGGAAACACTCTGTTTGTAAAGTCTGCAAGTGGATATTCAGACCTCTTTGAGGCCTTCGTTGGAAACGGGATTTTTTCATATTCTGCTAGACAGAAGAATTCCCAGTAACTTCCTTGAGTTGTGTGTGTTCAAATCACAGAGTTGAACTTTCATTTACACAGAGCAGATTTGAAACACTCTTTTTGTGGAATTTGCAAGTGGAGATTTCAAGCGCTTTGAGGCCAAAGGCAGAAAAGGAAATATCTCCGTTTCAAAACTAGACAGAATCATTCTCAGAAAATGCTCTGTGAAGTGTGCGTTCAACTCTCAGAGTTTAACTTTTCTTTTCATTCAGCAGTTTGGAAACACTCTGTTTGTAAAGTCTGCACGTGGATATTTTGACCACTTAGAGGCCTTCGTTGGAAACGGGTTTTTTTCATGTAAGGGTAGACAGAAGAATTCCCAGTAACTTCCTTGTGTTGTGTACATTCAACTCACAGAGTTGAACGTTCCCTTAGACAGAGCAGATTTGAAACACTCTTTTTGTGCAATTGGCAAGTGGTGATTTCAGCCTCTTTGAGGTCAATGGTAGAAAAGGAAATATCTTCGTATAAAAACTAGACAGAATCATTCCCACAAACTGCGATGTGATGTGTTCGTTCAACTCACAGAGTTTAACCTTTCTGTTCATAGAGCAGTTAGGAAACACTCTGTTTGGAAAGTCTGTAAGTGGATATTCTGACATCTTGTGGCCTTCGTTGGAAACGGGATTTCTTCATATTCTGCTAGACAGAAGAATTCTCAGTAACTTCCCTTGTGTTGTGTGTATTCAACTCACAGAGTTGAACGATCCTTTACACAGAGCAGACTTGAAACACTCTTTTTGTGGAATTTGCAAGTGGAGATTTCAGCCGCGTTGAGGTCAATGGTAGAAAAGGAAATATCTTCGTATAAAAACTAGACAGAATGATTCTCAGAAACTCCTTTGTTATGTGTGCGTTCAACTCACAGAGTTTAACTTTTCTTTTCATAGAGCAGTTAGGAAACACTCTGTTTGTAAAGTCTGCAAGTGGATATTCAGACCTCTTTGACGCCTTCGTTGGAAACGGGATTTCTTCATATTCTGCTAGACAGAAGAATTCTCAGTAACTTCCTTGTGTTGTGTGTATTCAACTCACAGAGTTGAACGATCCTTTACAGAGAGCAGACTTGAAACACTCTTTTTGTGGAATTTGCAAGTGGAGATTTCAGCCGCTTTGAGGTCAATGGTAGAAAAGGAAATATCTTCCTCTAAAGACTAGACAGAATCATTCTCAGAAACTGCTCTGCGATGTGTGCGTTCAACTCTCAGAGTTTAACTTATCTTTTCATTCAGTAGTTTGGAAACACTCTGTTTGTAAAGTCTGCACGTGGATAATTTGACCACTTAGAGGTCTTCGTTGGAAACGGGTTTTTTTCATGTAAGGCTAGACAGAAGAATTCCCAGTAACTTCCTTGTGTTGTGTACATTCAACTCACAGAGTTGAACGTTCCCTTAGAAAGAGCAGATTTGAAACACTCTTTTTGTGCAATTGGCAAGTGGAGATTTCAAGCAATTTAAGGTCAATGGCAGAAAAGGAAATATCTTCGTTTCAAAACTAGACAGAATGATTCTCAGAAACTCCTTTGTGATGTGTGCGTTCAACTCACAGAGTTTAACTTTTCTTTTCATAGAGCCGTTAGGAAACACTCTGTTTGTAAAGTCTGCAAGTGGATATTCAGACCTCTTTGAGGCCTTCGTTGGAAACGGGATTTCTTCATATTCTGCTAGACAGAAGAATTCTCAGTAACTTCCTTGTGTTGTGTGTATTCAACTCAGAGACTTGAATGATCCTTTACACAGAACAGTCTTGAAACACTCTTTTTGTGGAATTTGCAAGTGGAGATTTCAGCCGCTTTGAGGTCAATGGTAGAATAGGAAATATCTTCCTATAGAAACTAGACAGAACGATTCTCAGAAACTCCTTTGTGATGTGTGCGTTCAACTCACAGAGTTTAACCTTTCTTTTCATACAGCAGTTAGGAAACACTCTGTTTGTAAAGTCTGCAAGTGGATATTCAGACCTCTTTGAGACCTTCGTTGGAAACGGGATTTCTTCATATTCTGCTAGACAGAAGAATTCTCAGTAACTTCCTTGTGTTGTGTGTATTCAACTCACAGAGTTGAATGATCCTTTACAGAGAGCAGACTTGAAACACTCTTTTTGTGGAATTTGCAAGTGGAGATTTCAGCCGCTTTGAGGTCAATGGTAGAATAGGAAATATCTTCGAAGAAAAACTATACAGAATGATTCTCAGAAACTGCTTTTTGATGTGTGCGTTCAACTCACAGCGTTTAACCTTTCTTTTCATAGAGCAGTTAGGAAACACTCTGTTTGTAAAGTCTGCAAGTGGATATTCAGACCTCTTTGAGGCCTTCGTTGGAAACGGGATTTCTTCATATTCTGCTAGACAGAGGAATTCTCAGTAACTTCCTTGTGTTGTGTGTATTCAACTGACAGAGTTGAACTTTCATTTAGAGAGAGCAGATTTGAAACACTGTTTTTGTGGAATTTGCAAGTGGAGATTTCAAGCGCTTTGGGGCCAAAGGCAGAAAAGGAAATACCTTCGTATAAAAACTAGACAGAATCATTCTCAGAAACTGCTGCGTGATGTTTGCGTTCAACTCTCAGAGTTTAACTTTTCTTTTCATTCAGCGGTTTGGAAACACTCTGTTTGTAAAGTCTGCACGTGGAAATTGTGACCACTTAGAGGCCTTCGTTGGAAACGGGTTTTTTTCATGTAAGGCTAGACAGAAGAATTCCCAGTAACTTCCTTGTGTTGTGTGCATTCAACTCACAGAGTTGAACGTTCCCTTAGACAGAGCAGATTTGAAACACTCTATTTGTGCAATTTGCAAGTGTAGTTTTCAAGCTCTTTAAGGTCAACGGCAGAAAAGGAAATATCTTGGTTTCAAAACTAGACAGAATCATTCCCAGAAACTGCGTTGTGATGTGTTCGTTCAACTCACAGAGTTTAACCTTTCTGTTCATAGAGCAGTTAGGAAACACTCTGTTTGTAAAGTCTGTAAGTGGATATTCAGACATCTTGTGGCCTTCGTTGGAAACGGGATTTCTTCATATTCTGCTAGACAGAAGAATTCTCAGTAACTTCCTTGTGTTGTGTGTATTCAACTCACAGAGTTGAACGATCCTTTACACAGAGCAGACTTGAAACACTCTTTTTGTGGAGTTTGCAAGTGGAGATTTCAGCCGCTTTGAGGTCAATGGTAGAAAAGGAAATATCTTCGTATAAAGACTAGACAGAACGATTCTCAGAAACTCCTTTGTGATGTGTGCGTTCAACTCACAGAGTTTAACCTTTCTTTTCATAGAGCAGTTAGGAAACACTCTGTTTGTAAAGTCTGCAAGTGGATATTCAGACCTCTTTGAGGCCTTCGTTGGAAACGGGATTTCTTCATATTCTGCTAGAAAGAAGAATTCTCAGTAACTTCCTTGTGTGGCGTGTATTCAACTGACAGAGTTGAACTTTCATTTAGAGAGAGCAGATTTGAAACACTGTTTTTGAGGAATTTGCAAGTGGAGATTTCAAGCGCTTTGGGGCCAAAGGCAGAAAAGGAAATATCTTCGTATAAAAACTAGACAGAATCATTCTCAGAAACTGCTCTGCGATGTGTGCGTTCAACTCTCAGAGTTTAAATTTCCTTTTCATTCAGCAGTTTGGAAACACTCTGTTTGTAAAGTCTGCACGTGGATAACTTGACCACTTAGAGGCCTTCGTTGGAAACGGGTTTTTTTCATGTAAGGCTAGACAGAAGAATTCCCAGTAACTTCCTTGTGTTGTGTGCATTCAACACACAGAGTTGAACGTTCCCTTAGACAGAGCAGATTTGAAACACTCTATTTGTGCAATTTGCAAGTGTAGATTTCAAGCGCTTTATGGTCAACAGCAGAAAAGGAAATATCTTCGTTTCAAAACTAGACAGAATCATTCTCAGAAACTGCTGCGTGATGTGTGCGTTCAACTCTCAGAGTTTAACTTTTCTTTTCATTCAGCTGTTTGGAAACACTCTGTTTGTAAAGTCTGCAAGTGGATATTCAGACCTCTTGAGGCCTTCGTTGGAAACGGGATTTCTTCATATTATGCTAGACAGAATAATTCTCAGTAACTTCCTTTTGTTCTGTGTATTCAACTCACAGAGTTGAACGATCCTTTACAGAGAGCAGACTTGAAACACTCTTTTTGTGGAATTTGCAAGTGGAGATTTCAGCCGCTTTGAGGTCAATGGTAGAAAAGGAAATATCTTCGTATAAAGACTAGACAGAATCATTCTCAGAAACTGCTCTGCGATGTGTGCGTTCAACTCTCAGAGTTTAACTTTTCTTTTCATTCAGCTGTTTGGAAACACTCTGTTTGTAAAGTCTGCACGTGGATATTTTGACCACTTAGAGGCCTTCGTTGGAAACGGGTTTTTTTCCTGTAAGGCTAGACAGAAGAATTCTCAGTAACTTCCTTGTGTTGTGTGTATTCAACTCACAGAGTTGAATGATCCTTTACACAGAGCAGACTTGAAACACTCTTTTTGTGGAATTTGCAAGTGGAGATTTCATCCGCTTTGAGGTCAATGGTAGAAAAGGAGACTATCTTCATATAAAGACTAGACAGACTGATTCCCAGAAACTCCTTTGTGATGTGTGCGTTCAACTCACAGAGTTTAACCTTTCTTTTCATAGAGCAGTTAGGAAACACTCTGTTTGTAAAGTCTGCAAGTGGATATTCAGACCTCTTTGAGGCCTTCGTTGGAAACGGGTTTTTTTCATATAAGGCTAGACAGAAGAATTCTCAGTAACTTCCTTGTGTTGTGTGTATTCAACTGACAGAGTTGAACTTTCATTTAGGGAGAGCAGATTTGAAACACTGTTTTTGTGGAATTTGCAAGTGGAGATTTCAAGCGCTTTGGGGCCAAAGGCAGAAAAGGAAATATCTTCGTATAAAAACTAGACAGAATCATTCTCAGAAACTCCTGCGTGATGTGTGCGTCCAACTCTCAGAGTTTAACTTTTCTTTTCATTCAGCGGTTTGGAAACACTCTGTTTGTAATGTCTGCACGTGGTTATTTTGACCACTTAGAGGCCTTCGTTGGAAACGGGTTTTTTTCATGTAAGGCTAGACAGAAGAATTCACAGTAACTTCCTTGTGTTGTGTGCATTCAACTCACAGAGTTGAACGTTCCCTTAGACAGAGCAGATTTGAAACACTCTATTTGTGGAATTTGCAAGTGTAGATTTCAAGCGCTTTAAGGTCAATGGCAGAAAAGGAAATATCTTCGTTTCAAAACTAGACAGAATCCTTCCCACAAACTGCGTTGTGATGTGTTCGTCCAACTCACAGAGTTTAACTTTTCTTTTCATAGAGCAGTTAGGAAACAGTCTGTTTGTAAAGTCTGTAAGTGGATATTCTGACCTCTTGTGGCCTTCGTTGGAAACGGGATTTCTTCATATTCTGCTAGACAGAAGAATTCTCAGAATCTTCCTTGTGTTGTGTGTATTCAACTCACAGAGTTGAACGATCCTTTACACAGAGCGGACTTGAAACACTCTTTTTGTGGAATTTGCAAGTGGAGATTTCAGCCGCTTTGAGGTCCATGGTAGAAAAGGAAATATCTTCGTATAAAAACTAGACAGAATGATTCTCAGAAACTCCTTTGTGATGTGTGCGTTCAACTCACAGAGTTTAACCTTTCTTTTCATAGAGCAGTTAGGAAACACTCTGTTTGTAAAGTCTGCAAGTGGATATTCAGACCTCCCTGAGGCCTTCTTTGGAAACGGGATTTGTCCATATTATGCTAGACAGAAGAATTCTCAGTAACTTCCTTGTGTTGTGTGTATTCAACTGACAGAGTTGAACTTTCATTTAGAGAGAGCAGATTTGAAACTCTGTTTTTGTGGAATTTGCAAGTGGAGATTTCAAGCGCTTTGGGGCCAAAGGCAGAAAAGGAAATATCTTCGTATAAAAACTAGACAGAATCATTCTCAGAAACTGCTGCGTGATGTGTGCGTTCAACTCTCAGAGTTTAACTTTTCTTTTCATTCAGCGGTTTGGAAACACTCTGTTTGTAAAGTCTGCACGTGGAAAATTTGACCACTTAGAGGCCTTCGTTGGAAACGGGTTTTTTTCATGTAAGGCTAGACAGAAGAATTCCCAGTAACTTCCTTGGGTTGTGTGCATTCAACTCACAGAGTTGAACGTTCCCTTAGACAGAGCAGATTTGAAACACTCTATTTGTGCAATTTGCAAGTGTAGATTTCAAGCGCTTTAAGGTCAACGGCAGAAAAAGAAATATCTTCTTTTCAAAACTAGACAGAATCATTCCCACAAACTGCGCTGTGATGTGTTCGTTCAACTCACAGAGTTTAACCTTTCTGTTCATAGAGCAGTTAGGAAACACTCTGTTTGTAAAGTCTGCAAGTGGATATTCAGACCTCCTTGAGGCCTTCGTTGGAAACGGGATTTCTTCATATTCTGCTAGACAGAAGAATTCTCAGTAACTTCCTTGTGTTGTGTGTATTCAACTCACAGAGTTGAACGATCCTTTACACAGAGCAGACTTGAAACACTCTTTTTGTGGAATTTGCAAGTGGAGATATCAGCCGCTTTGAGGTCAATGGTAGAATAGGAAATATCTTCATATAAAAACTAGACAGAATGATTCTCAGAAACTCCTTTGTGATGTGTGCGTTCAACTCACAGAGTTTAACCTTTCTTTTCATAGAGCAGTTAGGAAACACTCTGTTTGTAAAGTCTGCAAGTGGATATTCAGACATCCTTGAGGCTTTCGTTGGAAACGGGATTTCTTTATATTCTGCTAGAAAGAATAATTCTCAGTAACTTCCTTGTGTTGTGTGTATTCAACTCACAGATTTGAACGATCCATTACAGAGAGCAGACTTGAAACACTCTTTTTGTGGAATTTGCAAGTGGAGATTTCAGCCGCTTTGAGGTCAATGGTAGAATAGGAAATATCTTCCTATAGAAACTAGACAGAATGATTCTAAGAAACTCCTTTGTGATGTGTGCGTTCAACTCACAGAGTTTAACCTTTCTTTTCATAGAGCAGTTAGGAAACACTCTGATTGTAAAGTCTGCAAGTGGATATTCAGACCTCCTTGAGGCCTTCGTTGGAAACGGGATTTCTTCATATTATGCTAGACAGAAGAATTCTCAGTAACTTCCTTGTGTTGTGTGTATGCATCTCACTGAGTTGAACGATCCTTTGCACAGAGCAGACTTGAAACACTCTTTTTGTGGAATTTGCAAGTGGAGATTTCAGCCGCTTTGAGGTCAATGGTAGAAAAGGAAATATCTTCGTATAAAAACTAGACAGAATGATTCTCAGAAACTTCTTTGTGATGTGTGCGTTCAACTCACAGAGTTTAACCTTTCTTTTCATAGAGCAGTTAGGAAACACTCTGTTTGTAAACTCTGCAAGTGGATATATAGACCTCTTTGAGGCCTTCGTTGGAAACGGGATTTCTTCATAGTATGCTAGACAGAAGAATTCTCAGTAACTTCCTTGTGTTGTGTGTATTCAACTGACAGAGTTGAACTTTCATTTAGAGAGAGCAGATTTGAAACACTGTTTTTGTGGAATTTACAAGTGGAGATTTCAAGCGCTTTGGGGCCAAAGGCAGAAAAGGAAATATCTTCGTATAAAAACTAGACAGAATCATTCTCAGAAACTGCTGCGTGATGTGTGCGTTCAACTCTCAGAGTTTAACCTTTCTTTTCATTCAGCGGTTTGGAAACACTCTGTTTGTAAAGTCTGCACGTGGATATTTTGACCACTTAGAGGCCTTCGTTGGAAACGGGTTTTTTTCATGTAAGGATAGACAGAAGAAATTCCCAGTAACTTCCTTGTGTTGTGTGCATTCAACTCACAGAGTTGAACGTTCCCTTAGACAGAGCAGATTTGAAACACTCTATTTGTGCAATTTACAAGTGTAGATTTCAAGCGCTTTAAGGTCAACGGCAGAAAAGGAAATATCTTCGTTTCAAACCTAGACAGAATCATTCCCACAAACTGCGTTGTGATGTGTTCGTTCAACTCACAGAGTTTAACCTTTCTGTTCATAGAGCAGTAAGGAAACACTCTGTTTCTAAAGTCTGTAAGTGGATATTCTGACATCTTGCGGCCTTCGTTGGAAACGGGATTTCTTCATATTCTGCTAGACAGAAGAATTCTCAGTAACTTCCTTGTGTTGTGTGTATTCAACTCACAGAGTTGAACGATCCTTTACACAGAGCAGACTTGAAACACTCTTTTTGTGGAATTTGCAAGTGGAGATTTCAGCCGCTTTGAGGTCAATGGTAGAAAAGGAAATATCTTCGAATAAAGACTAGACAGAATGATTCTCAGAAAATCTTTTGTGATGTGTGCGTTCAACTCACAGAGTTTAACTTTTCTTCTCATAGAGCAGTTAGGAAACACTCTGTTTGTAAAGTCTGCAAGTGGATATTCAGACCTCTTAGAGGTCTTCGTTGGAAACGGGATTTCTTCATATTATGCTAGACAGAAGAATTCTCAGTAACTTCCTTGTGTTGTGTGTATTCAACTGACAGAGTTGAACTTTCATTTAGAGAGAGCAGATTTGAAACACTGTTTTTGTGGAATTTGCAAGTGGAGATTTCAAGCGCTTTGGGGCCAAGGGCAGAAAAGGAAATATCTTCGTATAAAAACTGGACAGAATCATTCTCAGAAACTGCTGCGTGATGTGTGCGTTCAACTCTCAGAGTTTAACTTTTCTTTTCATTCAGCGGTTTGGAAACACTCTGTTTGTAAAGTCTGCACGTGGATATTTTGACCACTTAGAGGCCTTCGTTGGAAACGGGTTTTTTTTCATGTAAGGCTATACAGAAGAATTCCCAGTAACTTCCTTGTGTTGTGTGCATTCAACTCACAGAGTTGAACGTTCCCTTAGACAGAGCAGATGTGAAACACTCTATTTGTGCAATTTGCAAGTGTAGATTTCAAGCGCTTTAAGGTCAATGGCAGAAAAGGAAATATCTTCGTTTCAAAACTAGACAGAGATCATTCCCACAAACTGCGTTGTGATGTGTTCGTTCATCTCACAGAGTTTAACCTTTCTTTTCATAGAGCAGTTAGGAAACACTATGTTTGTAAATTCTGTAAGTGGATATTCTGACATCTTGTGGCCTTCGTTGGAAACGGGATTTCTTCATATTCTGCTAGACAGATAATTCTCAGTAACTTCCTTGTGTTCTGTGTATTCAACTCACAGAGTTGAACGATCCTTTACAGAGAGCAGACTTTAAACACTCTTTTTGTGGAATTTGCAAGTGGAGATTTCAGCCGCTTTGAGGTCAATGGTAGAAAAGGAAATATCTTCGTACAAAGACTAGACAGAATGATTCTCAGAAACTCCTTTGTGATGTGTGCGTTAAACTCACAGAGTTTTACCTTTCTGTTCATAGAGCAGTTAGGAAACACTCTGTTTGTAAAGTCTGCAAGTGGATATTCAGACCTCCTTGAGGCCTTCGTTGGAAACGGGATTTCTTCATATTCTGCTAGACAGAAGAATTCTCAATAACTTCCTTGTTTTGTGTGTATTCAACTCACAGAGTTGAACGATCCTTTACACAGAGCAGACTTGTAACACTCTTTTTGTGGAATTTGCAAGTGGAGATTTCAGCCGCTTTGAAGTCAAAGGTAGAAAAGGAAATATCTTCCTATAAAAACTAGACAGAATGATTCTCAGAAACTCCTTTGTGCTGTGTGCGTTCAACTCACAGAGTTTAACCTTTCTTTTCATAGAGCAATTAGGAAACTCTCTGTTTGTAAAGTCTGCAAGTGGATATTCAGACATCTTTGAGGCTTTCGTTGGAAACGGGATTTCTTCATATTCTGCTAGACAGAAGAATTCTCAGAAATTTCCTTTTGTTGTGTGTTTTCAACTCACAGAGTTGAACGAACCTTTACACAGAGTAGACTTGAAACACTCTTTTTGTGGAATTGGCAAGTGGAGATTTCAGCCGCTTTGAGGTCAATGGTAGAAAAGGAAATATCTTCGTATAAAAACTAGACAGAATGATTCTCAGAAACTTCTTTGTGATGTGTGCGTTCAACTCACAGAGTTTAACCTTTCTTTTCATAGAGCAGTTAGGGAACACTCTGTTTGTAAACTCTGCAAGTGGATATTCAGACCTCTTTGAGGCCTTCGTTGGAAACGGGATTTCTTCATACTATGCTAGACAGAAGAATTCTCAGTAACTTCCTTGTGTTGTGTGTATTCAACTCATAGAGTTGAACGATCCTTTACACAGAGCAGACTTGTAACACTCTTTTTGTGGAATTTGCAAGTGGAGATTTCAGCCGCTTTGACGTCAAAGGTAGAAAAGGAAATATCTTCCTATAAAAACTAGACAGAATGATTCTCATAAACTCCTTTGTGATGTGTGCGTTCAACGCACAGAGTTTAACCTTTCTTTTCATAGAGCAGTTAGGAAACACTGTGTTTGTAAAGTCTGCATGTGGATATTCAGACCTCCTTGAGGCCTTCGTTGGAAACGGGAATTCCTCATATTCTGCTAGACAGAAGAATTCCCAGTAACTTCCTTGTGTTGTGTGTGTTCGACTCACAGAGTTGAACTTTCATTTACACAGAGCAGATTTGAAACACTCTTTTTGTGGAATTTGCAAATGGAGATTTCAAGCGCTTTGAGGCCAAAGGCAGAAAAGGAAATATCTTTGTATAAAAACTAGACAGAATCATTCTCAGAAACTGCTCTGCGATGTGTGCGTTCAACTCTCAGAGTTTAACTTTTCTTTTCATTCAGCAGTTTGGAAACACTCTGTTTGTAAAGTCTGCACGTGGATAACTTGACCACTTAGAGGCCGTCGTTGGAAACGGGTTTTGTTCATGTAAGGCTAGACAGAAGAATTCCCAGTAACTTCCTTGTGTTGTGTACATTCAACTCACAGAGTTGAACGTTCCCTTAGACAGAGCAGATTTGAAACACTCTTTTTGTGGAATTGGCAAGTGGTGATTTCAGCCGCTTTGAGGTCAATGGTAGAAAAGGAAATATCTTCGTATAAAAACTAGACAGAATCATTCCCACAAACTGCGTTGTGATGTGTTCGTTCAACTCACAGAGTTTAACCTTTCTTTTCATAGACCAGTTAGGAAACAGTCTGTTTGTCAATTCTGTAAGTGGATATTCTGACATCTTGTGGCCTTCGTTGGAAACGGGATTTCTTCATATTCTGCTAGAAAGAAGAATTCTCAGAATCTTCCTTGTGTTGTGTGTATTCAACTCAAAGAGTTGAACGATCCTTTACACAGAGCAGGCTTGAAACACTCTTTTTGTGGAATTTGCAAGTGGAGATTTCAGCCGCTTTGAAGTCAATGGTAGAAAAGGAAATATCTTCGTATAAAAACTAGACAGAATGATTCTCAGAAACTTCTTTGTGATGTGTGCGTTCAACTCACAGAGTTTAACCTTTCTTTTCATAGAGCAGTTAGGAAACACTCTGTTTGTAAACTCTGCAAGTGGATATTCAGACCTCTTTGAGGCCTTCGTTGTAAAAGGGATTTCTTCATACTATGCTAGACAGAAGAATTCTCAGTAACTTCCTTGTGTTGTGTGTATTCAACTCACAGAGTTGAACGATTCTTTACACAGAGCAGACTTGTAACACTCTTTTTGTGGAATTTGCAAGTGGAGATTTCAGCCTCTTTGAAGTCAAAGGTAGAAAAGGAAATATCTTCCTATAAAAACTAGACAGAATGATTCTCAGAAACTCCTTTGTGATGTGTGCGTGCAACTCACAGAGTTTAACTTTTCTTTTCATAGAGCAGTTAGGAAACACTCTGTTTGTAAAGTCTGGAAGTGGATATTCAGACCTCCTTGAGGCCTTCGTTGGAAACGGGATTTCTTCATATTCTGCTAGACAGAAGAATTCCCAGTAACTTCCTTGTGTTGTGTGTGTTCGACTCACAGAGTTGAACTTTCATTTACACAGAGCAGATTTGAAACACTCTTTTTGTGGAATTTGCAAATGGAGATTTCAAGCGCTTTGAGGCCAAAGGCAGAAAAGGAAATATCTTCGTATAAAAACTAGACAGAATGATTCTCAGAAACTCCTTTGTGATGTGTGTGTTCAACTCACAGAGATTAACCTTTCTTTTCATAGAGCAGTTAGGAAACACTCTGTTTGTAAAGTCTGCAAGTGGATATTCAGACCTCTTTGAGGCCTTCGTTGGAAACGGGATTTCTCCATACTATGCTAGACAGAAGAATTCTCAGTCACTTCCTTGTGTTGTGTGTATTCAACTCACAGAGTTGAACGATCCTTTACACAGAGCAGACTTGAAACACTCTTTTTGTGGAATTTGCAAGTGGAGATTTCAGCAGCTTTGAGGTCAATAGTAGAAAAGGAAATATCTTCGTAGAAAAACTAGACAGAATGATTCTCAGAAACTCCTTTGTGATGTGTGCGTTCAAGTCACAGAGTTTAACCTTTCTTTTCATAGAGCAGTTAGGAAACACTCTGTTTGTAAAGTCTGCAAGTGGATATTCAGACCTCTTTGAGGCCTTCGTTGGAAACGGGATTTCTTCATATTCTGTTAGACAGAAGAATTCTCAGTAACTTCCCTTGTGTTGTGTGTATTCAACTGACAGAGTTGAACTTTCATTTAGAGAGAGCAGATTTGAAACACTGTTTTTGTGGAATTTGCAAGTGGAGATTTCAAGCGCTTTGTGGCCAAAGGCAGAAAACGAAATATCTTCGTATAAAAACTAGACAGAATCATTCTCAGAAACTGCTCTGCGATGTGTGCGTTCAACTCTCAGAGTTTAACTTTGCTTTTCATTCAGCAGTTTGGAAACACTCTGTTTGTAAAGTCTGCACGTGGATAATTTGACCACTTAGAGGCCTTCGTTGGAAACGGGTTTTTTTCCTGTAAGGCTAGACAGAAGAATTCTCAGTAACTTCCTTGTGTTGTGTGTATTCAACTCACAGAGTTGAACGATCCTTTACAGAGAGCAGACTTTAAACACTCTTTTTGTGGAATTTGCAAGTGGAGATTTCAGCCGCTTTGAGGTCAATGGAAGAAAAGGAAATATCTTCGTATAAAGACTAGACAGAATGATTCTCAGAAACTCCTTTGTGATGTGTGCGTTCAACTCACAGAGTTTAACCTTTCTTTTCATAGAGCAGTTAGGAAACACTCTGTTTGTAAAGTCTGCAAGTGGATATTCAGACCTCTTTGAGGCCTTCGTTGGAAACGGGTTTTTTCCATATAAGGCTAGTCAGAAGAATTCTCAGTAACTTCCTTGTGTTGTGTGTGTTCAACTCACAGAGTTGAAATTTCATTTACACAGAGCAGATTTGAAACACTCTTTTTGTGGAAATTGCAAATGGAGATTTCAAGCGCTTTGAGGCCAAAGGCAGAAAAAGAAATATCTTCGTATAAAAACTGGACAGAATCATTCTCAGAAACTGCTCTGCGATGTGTGCGTTCAACTCTCAGAGTTTAACTTTGCTTTTCATTCAGCAGTTTGGAAACACTCTGTTTGTAAAGTCTGCACGTGGATAATTTGAACACTTAGAGGCCTTCGTTGGAAACGGGTTTTTTTCATGTAAGGCTAGACAGAAGAATTCCCAGTAACTTCCTTGTGTTGTGTACATTCAACTCACAGAGTTGAACGTTCCCTTAGACAGAGCAGATTTGAAACACTCTTTTTGTGCAATTGGCAAGTGGTGATTTCAGCCGCTTTGAGGTCAATGGTAGAAAAGGAAATATCTTCGTATAAAAACTAGACAGAATGATTCTCAGAAACTCCTTTAGGATGTGTGCGTTCAACTCACAGGGTTTAACCTTTCTTTTCATAGAGTAGTTAGGAAACACTCTGTTTGTAAACTCTGCAAGTGGATATTCAAACCTCTTTGAGGCCTTCGTTGCAAACGGGATTTCTTCATATTATTGCTGACAGAAGAATTCTCAGAAACTTCCCTTGTGTTTTGTGTATTCAACTCACAGAGTTGAACGATCCTTTAAACAGAGCAGACTTGAAACACTCTTTTTGTGGAATTTGCAAGTGGAGATTTCAGCCGCTTTGAGGTCAATGGTAGAAAAGGAAATATCTTCGTATAAAAACTAGACAGAATGATTCTGAGAAACTCCTTTGTGATGTGTGCGTTCAACTCACAGAGTTTAACCTTTCTTTTCATAGAGCAGTTAGGAAACACTCTGTTTGTAAAGTCTGCAAGTGGATATTCAGACCTCTTTGAGGCCTTCGTTGGAAACGGGATTTTTTCATATAAGGCTAGACAGAAGAATTCTCAGTAACTTCCTTGTGTTGTGTGTATTCAACTCACAGAGTTGAACGATCCTTTACACAGAGCAGACTTGAAACAGTCTTTTTGTGGAATTTGCAAGTGGAGATTTCAGCCGCTTTGAGGTCAATGGTAGAATAGGAAATATCTTCCTATAGAAACTAGACAGAATGATTCTCAGAAACTCCTTTGTGATGTGTGCGTTCAACTCACAGAGTTTAACCTTTCTTTTCATAGAGCAGTTAGGAAACACTCTGTTTGTAAAGTCTGCAAGTGGATATTCAGACATCCTTGAGGCTTTCGTTGGAAACGGGATTTCTTCATATTCTGCTAGACAGAAGAATTCCCAGTAACTTCCTTGTGTTGTGTGTGTTCAATTCACAGAGTTGAACTTTCATGTACACAGAGCAGATTTGAAACACTCTTTTTGTGGAATTTGCAAATGGAGATTTCAAGCGCTTTGAGGCCAAAGGCAGAAAAGGAAATATCTTCGTATAAAAACTAGACAGAATCATTCTCAGAAACTGCTCTGCGATGTGTGCGTTCAACTCTCAGAGTTTAACTTTTCTTTTCATTCAGCAGTTTGGAAACACTCTGTTTGTAAAGTCTGCACGTGGATATTTTGACCACTTAGAGGCCTTCGTTGGAAACGGTTTTCTTTCCTGTAAGGCTAGACAGAAGAATTCCCAGTAACTTCCTTGTGTTGTGTGCATTCAACTCACAGAGTTGAACGTTCCCTTAGACTGAGCAGATTTGAAACACTCTATTTGTGCAATTTGCAAGTGTAGATTTCAAGCGCTTTAAGGTCAATGGCAGAAAAGGAAATATCTTCGTTTCAAAACTAGACAGAATCATTCCCACAAACTGCGTTGTGATGTGTTCGTTCAACTCACAGAGTTTAACCTTTCTGTTCATAGAGCAGTTAGGAAACACTCTGTTTGTAAAGTCTGCAAGTGGATTTTGAGACCTCCTTGAGGCCTTCGTTGGAAACGGGATTTCTTCATATTCTGCTAGACAGAAGAATTCTCAGTAACTTCCTTGTGTTGTGTGTATTCAACTCACAGAGTTGAACGATCCTTTACACAGAGCAGACTTGTAACACTCTTTTTCTGGAATTTCCAAGTGGAGATTTCAGCCGCTTTGAAGTCAAAGGTAGAAAAGGAAATATCTTCCTATAAAAACTAGACAGAATGATTATCATAAAATCCTTTGTGATGTGTGCGTTCAACTCACAGAGTTTAACTTTTCTTTTCATAGAGCAGTTAGGAAACACTCTGTTTGTAAAGTCTGCAAGTGGATATTCAGACCCCTTTGAGGCCTTCGTTGGAAACGGGATTTCTTCATATTATGCTAGACAGAAGAATTCCCAGTAACTTCCTTGTGTTGTGTGTGTTCAACTCACAGAGTTGAACTTTCATTTACACAGAGCAGATTTGAAACACTCTTTTTGTGGAATTTGCAAGTGGAGATTTCAAGCGCTTTGAGGCCAAAGGCAGAAAAGGAAATATCTTCGGTATAAAAACTAGACAGAATGATTCTCAGAAACTCCTTTGTGATGTGTGCGTTCAACTCACAGAGTTTAACCTTTCTTTTCATAGAGCAGTTAGGAAACACTCTGTTTGTAAAGTCTGCAAGTGGATATTCAGACCTCTTTGAGGCCTTCGTTGGAAACGGGATTTCTTCATAATATGCTAGACAGAAGAATTCTCAGTAACTTCCTTGTGTTGTGTGTATTCAACTCACAGAGTTGAACGAACCTTTACACAGAGCAGACTTGAAACACTCTTTTTGTGGAATTTGCAAGTGTAGATTTCATCCGCTTTGAGGTCAATGGTAGAAAAGGAAATATCTTCGTATAAAAACTAGACAGAATGATTCTCATAAACTCCTTTGTGATGTGTGCGTTCAACTCACAGAGTTTAACTTTTCTTTTCATAGAGCAGTTAGGAAACACTCTGTTTGTAAAGTCTGCAAGTGGATATTCAGACCTCCTTGACTCCTTCGTTGGAAACGGGATTTCTTCATATTCTGCTAGACAGAAGGATTCCCAGTAACTTCCTTGTGTTGTGTGTGTTCAACTCACAGAGTTGAACTTTCATTTACAAAGAGCAGATTTGAAACACTCTTTTTGTGGAATTTGCAATTGGAGATTTCAAGCGCTTTGAGGCCAAAGGCAGAAAAGGAAATATCTTCGTATAAAAACTAGACAAAATGATTCTCAGAATCTTCTTTGTGATGTGTGTGTTCAACTCACAGAGTTTAACCTTTCTTTTCATAGAGCAGTTAGGAAACACTCTGTTTGTAAACTCTGCAAGTGGATATTCAGACCTCATTGAGGCTTTCGTTGGAAACGGGATTTCTTCATACTCTGCTAGACAGAAGAATTCTCAGTAACTTCCTTGTGTTGTGTGTATTCAACTCACAGAGTTGAACGACCCTTTACACAGAGCGGACTTGAAACACTCTTTTTGTGGAATTTGCAAGTGGAGATTTCAGCCGCGTTGAGGTCAATGGTAGAAAAGGAAATATCTTCGTATAGAAACTTGACAGAATGATTCTCAGAAACTCCTTTGTGATGTGTGCGTTCAACTCACAGAGTTCAACCTTTCTTTTAATAGAGCAGTTGGGAAACACTCTGTTTCTAAAGTCTGCAAGTGGATATTCAGACTTCTTTGAGGCCTTCGTTGGAAACGGGATTTCTTCATATTCTGCTAGACAGAAGAATTCTCAGTAACTTCCTTGTGTTGTGTGTATTCAACTGACAGAGTTGAACTTTCATTTAGAGAGGGCAGATTTGTAACACTGTTTTTGTGGAATTTGCAAGTGGAGATTTCAAGCGCTTTGCGGCCAAAGGCAGAAAAGGAAATATCTTCGTATAAAAACTAGACAGAATCATTCTCAGAAACTGCTGCGTGACGCGTGCGTTCAACTCTCAAAGTTTAACTTTTCTTTTCATTCAGCGGTTTGGAAACACTCTGTTTGTAAAGTCTGCACGTGGATATTTTGACCACTTAGAGGCCTTCGTTGGAAACGGGTTTTTTTCATGTAAGGCTAGACAGAAGAATTCCCAGTAACTTCCTTGTGTTGTGTACATTCAACTCACAGAGTTGAACGTTCCCTTAGAAAGAGCAGATTTGAAACACTCTTTTTGTGCAATTGGCAAGTGGTGATTTCAGCCGCTTTGAGGTCAATGGTATAAAAGGAAATACCTTCGTATAAAAACTAGACAGAATCATTCCCACAAACTGCGTTGTGATGTGTTCGTTGAACTCACAGAGTTTAACCTTTCTTTTCATAGAGCAGTTAGGAAACAGTCTGTTTGTAAATTCTGTAAGTGGATATTCTGACATCTTGTGGCCTTCGTTGGAAACGGGATTTCTTCATATTCTGCTAGACAGAAGAATTCTCAGAAACTTCCTTGTGTTTTGTGTTTTCAACTCACAGAGTTGAACGATGCTTTACACAGAGTAGACTTGAAACACTCTTTTTGTGTAATTTGCAAGTGGAGATTTCAGCCGCTTTGAGGTCAATGGTAGAAAAGGAAATATCTTCGTATAAAAACTAGACAGAATGATTCTCAGAAACTCCTTTGTGATGTGTGCGTTCAACTCACAGAGTTTAACCTTTCTTTTCATAGAGCAGTTAGGAAACACTCTGTTTGTAAAGTCTGCAAGTGGATATTCAGACCTCCTTGAGGCCTTCGTTGGATACGGGATTTCTTCATATTATGCTAGACAGAAGAATTCTCAGTAACTTCCTTGTGTTGTGTGTATTCAACTCACAGAGTTGAACGATCCTTTACACAGAGCAGAGTTGAAACACTCTTTTTGTGGAATTTGCAAGTGGAGATTTCAGCCGCTTTGAGGTCAATGGTAGAATAGGAAATATCTTCCTATAGA
Organism: Homo sapiens; assembly: GCF_000001405.40. Taxonomy (NCBI): domain Eukaryota; kingdom Metazoa; phylum Chordata; class Mammalia; order Primates; family Hominidae; genus Homo; species Homo sapiens. Next base: position 47,547,849 of record NC_000005.10, read on the forward strand.
AACTAGACAGAATGATTCTCAGAAAATCTTTTGTGATGTGTGCGTTCAACTCACAGAGTTTAACTTTTCTTCTCATAGAGCAGTTAGGAAACACTCTGTTTGTAAAGTCTGCAAGTGGATATTCAGACCTCTTTGAGGCCTTCGTTGGAAACGGGATTTCTTCATATTATGCAAGACAGAATAATTCTCAGTAACTTCCTTGTGTTGTGTGTATTCAACTCACAGAGTTGAAGGATCCTTTACAGAGAGCAGGCTTGAAACACTCTTTTTGTCGAATTTGCAAGTGGAGATTTCAGCCGCTTTGAGGTGAATGGTAGAATAGGAAATATCTTCTTATAGAAACTAGACAGAATCATTCTCAGAAACTGCTCTGCGATGTGTGCGTTCAACTCTCAGAGTTTAACTTTTCTTTTCATTCAGCAGTTTGGAAACACTCTGTTTGTAAAGTCTGCACGTGGATAATTTGACCACTTAGAGGCCTTCGTTGGAAACGGGTTTTTTTCATATAAGGCTAGACAGAAGAATTCCCAGTATCTTCCTTGTGTTGTGTGCATTCAACTCACAGAGTTGAACGTTCCTTTAGACAGAGCAGATTGGAAACACTCTTTTTGTGCAATTTGCAAGTGGAGATTTCAAGCGCTTTAAGGGCAATTGCAGAAAAGGAAATATCTTCGTTTCAAAACTAGACAGAATCATTCCCACAAACTGCGTTGTGATGGGTGCGTTCAACTCACAGAGTTTAACCTTTCTTTTCATAGAGCAGTTAGGAAACACTCTGTTTGTAAAGTCTGGAAGTGGATATTCTGACCTCTTTGTGGCCTTCGCTGGAACCGGGATTTCTTCATATAATACTAGACAGAAGAATTCTCAGTAACTTCTTTGTGTTGTGTGTATTCAACTCACAGAGTTGAACGATCCTTTACACAGAGCAGACTTGAAACACTCGTTTTGTGGAATTTGCAAGTGGAGATTTCAGCCGCTTTGAGGTCCATGGTAGAAAAGGAAATATCTTCGTATAAAAACTTGACAGAATGATTCTCATGAACTCCTTTGTGATGTGTGCGTTCAACTCAAAGAGTTTAACCTTTCTGTTCATAGAGCAGTTAGGAAACACTCTGTTTGTAAAGTCTGCAAGTGGATATTCAGACCTCCTTGAGGCCTTCGTTGGAAACGGGATTTCTTCATATTCTGCTAGACAGAAGAATTCTCAGTAACTTCCTTGTGTTGTGTGTATTCAACTCAAAGAGTTCAACGATCCTTTATACAGAGCAGACTTGAAACACTCTTTTTGTGGAATTTGCAAATGGAGATCTCAGCCGCTTTGTGGTCAGTAGTAGAAAAGGAAATATCTTCGTATAAAAACTAGACAGAATGATTCTCAGAAACTTCTTTGTGATGTGTGCGTTCAACTCACAGAGTTTAACCTTTCTTTTCATAGAGCAGTTAGGAAACACTCTGTTTGTAAAGTCTGCAAGTGGATATTCAGACCTCTTTGAGCCCTTCGTTGGAAACGGGTTTTTTTCATTTAAGGCTAGACAGAAGAATTCTCAGTAACTTCCTTGTGTTGTGTGTATTCAACTCAAAGAGTTGAACTTTCATTTAGAGAGAGCAGATTTGAAACACTGTTTTTGTGGAATTTGCAAGTGGAGATTTCAAGCGCTTTGGGGCCAAAGGCAGAAAAGGAAATATCTTCGTATAAAAACTAGACAGAATCATTCTCAGAAAACTGCTCTGTGATGTGTGCGTTCAACTCTCAGAGTTTAACTTTTCTTTTCATTCAGCAGTTTGGAAACACTCTGTTTCTAAAGTCTGCACGTGGATAATTTGACCACTTAGAGGCCTTCGTTGGAAACGGGTTTTTTTCATGTAAGGCTAGACAGAAGAATTCCCAGTAACTTCCTTGTGTTGTGTGCATTCAACTCACAGAGTTGAACGTTCCCTTAGACAGAGCAGATTTGAAACACTCTATTTGTGCAATTTGCAAGTGTAGATTTCAAGCGCTTTAAGGTCAACGGCAGAAAAGGAAATATCTTCGTTTCAAAACTAGACACAATCATTCTCAGAAACTGCTCTGCGATGTGTGCGTGCAACTCTCAGAGTTTAACTTTTCTTTTCATTCAGCAGTTTGGAAACACTCTGTTTGTAAAGTCTGCACGTGGATAACTTGACCACTTAGAGGCCTTCGTTGGAAACGGGTTTTTTTCATGTAAGGCTAGACAGAAGAATTCTCAGTAACTTCCTTGTGTTGTGTGTATTCAACTCACAGAGTTGAACGATCGTTTACACAGAGCAGACTTGTAACACTCTTTTTGTGGAATTTGCAAGTGGAGATTTCAGCCACTTTGAAGTCAAAGGTAGAAAAGGAAATAACTTCCTATAAAAACTAGACAGAATGATTCTCAGAAACTTCTTTGTGATGTGTGCGTTCAACTCACAGAGTTTAACCTTTCTTTTCATAGAGCAGTTAGGAAACACTCTGTTTGTAAACTCTACAAGTGGATATTCACACCTCTTTGAGGCCTTCGTTGGAAACGGGATTTCTTCATACTGTGCTAGACAGAAGAATTCTCATTAACTTCCTTGTGTTGTGTGTATTCAACTGACAAAGTTGAACTTTCATTTAGAGAGAGCAGATTTGAAACACTGTTTTTGTGGAATTTGCAAGTGGAGATTTCAAGCGCTTTGGGGCCAAAGGCAGAAAAGGAAATATCTTCGTATAAAAACTAGACAGAATCATTCTCAGAAACTGCTCCGTGATGTGTGCGTTCAACTCTCAGAGTTTAACTTTTCTTTTCATTCAGCGGTTTGGAAACACTCTGTTTGTAAAGTCTGCACGTGGAAATTTTGACCACTTAGAGGCCTTCGTTGGAAACGGGATTTTTTCATGTAAGGCTAGACAGAAGAATTCCCCGTAACTTCCTTGTGTTGTGTGCATTCAACTCACAGAGTTGAACGTTCCCTTAGACAGAGCAGATTTGAAACACTCTATTTGTGCAATTTGCAAGTGTAGTTTTCAAGCTCTTTAAGGTCAACGGCAGAAAAGGAAATATCTTCGTTTCAAAACTAGACAGAATCATTCCCACAAACTGCGTTGTGATGTGTTCGTTCAACTCACAGAGTTTAACCTTTCTGTTCATAGAGCAGTTAGGAAACACTCTGTTTGTAAAGTCTGTAAGTGGATATTCTGACATCTTGTGGCCTTCAGTTGGAAACGGGATTTCTTCATATTCTGCTAGACAGAAGAATTCTCAGTAACTTCCTTGTGTTGTGTGTATTCAACTCACAGAGTTGAACGATCCTTTACACAGAGCAGACTTGAAACACTCTTTTTGTGGAATTTGCAACTGGAGATTTCAGCCGCTTTGAGGTCAATGGTAGAAAAGGAAACTATCTTCATATAAAGACTAGACAGAATGATTCTCAGAAACTCCTTTGTGATGTGTGCGTTCAACTCACAGAGTTTAACCTTTCTTTTCATAGAGCAGTTAGGAAACACTCTGTTTGTAAAGTCTGCAAGTGGATATTGAGACATCTTTGAGGCTTTCGTTGGAAACAGGATTTCTTCATATTCTGCTAGACAGAAGAATTCTCAGTAACTTCCTTGTGTTGTGTGTATTAAACTGACAGAGTTGAACTTTCATTTAGAGAGAGCAGATTTGTAAAACTGTTTTTGTGGAATTTGCAAGTGGAGATTTCAAGCGCTTTGGGGCCAAAGGCAGAAAAGGAATTATCTTGGTATAAAAACTAGACAGAATCATTCTCAGAAACTGCTCTGCGATGTGTGCGTTCAACTCTCAGAGTTTAACTTTTCTTTTCATTCAGCAGTTTGGAAACACTCTGTTTGTAAAGTCTGCACGTGGATAACGTGACCACTTAGAGGCCTTCGTTGGAAACGGGTTTTTTTCATGTAAGGCTAGACAGAAGAATTCTCAGAAACTTCCTTGTGTTGTGTGTATTCAACTCACAGAGTTGAATGATCCTTTACACAGAGCAGACTTGAAACACTCTTTTTGTGGAATTTGCAAGTGGAGATTTCAGCCGCTTTGAGGTCAATGGTAGAATAGGAAATATCTTCCTATGGAAACTAGACAGAATGATTCTCAGAAACTCCTTTGTGCTGTGTGCGTTCAACTCACAGAGTTTAACCTTTCTTTTCATAGAGCAGTTAGGAAACACTCTGTTTGTTAAGTCTGCAGGTGGATATTCAGACCTCTTTGAGGCCTTCGTTGGAAAGGGGATTTCTTCATATTATGCTAGACAGAAAGAATTCTCAGTAACTTCCTTGTGTTGTGTGTATTCAACTGACAGAGTTGAACTATCATTTAGAGAGAGCAGATTTGAAACACTGTTTTTGTGGAATTTGCAAGTGGAGATTTCAAGCGCTTTGGGGCCAAAGGCAGAAAAGGAAATATCTTCGTATAAAAACTAGACAGAATGATTCTCAGAAACTCCTTTGTGATGTGGGCGTTCAACTCACAGAGTTTAACCTTTCTTTTCATAGAGCAGTTAGGAAACACTCTGTTTGTAAAGTCTGCAAGTGGATATTCAGACCTCTTTGTGGCCTTCATTGGAAACGGGATTTCTTCATATTCTGCTAGAGAGAAGTATTCTGAGAAACTTCCTTGCGTTGTGTGTATTCAACTCACAGAGTTCAACGATCCTTTACACAGAGCAGACTTGAAACACTCTTTTTGTGGAATTTGCAAGTGGAGATTTCAGCCGCTTTGAGGTCAATGGTAGAATAGGAAATATCTTCGTATAAAAACTAGACAGAAATGATTCTCAGAAACTCCTTTGTGATGTGTGCGTTCAAGTCACAGAGTTTAACCTTTCTTTTCATAGAGCAGTTAGGAAACACTCTGTTTGTAAAGTCTGCAAGTGGATATTCAGACCTCTTTGAGGCCTTCGTTGGAAACGGGATTTCTTCATATTCTGCTAGACAGAAGAATTCCCAGTAACTTCCTTGTGTTGTGTGTCTTCAACTCACAGAGTTGAACTTTCATTTACACAGAGCAGATTTGAAACACTCTTTTTGTGGAATTTGCAAATGGAGATTTCAAGCGCTTTGAGGCCAAAGGCAGAAAAGGAAATATCTTCGTATAAAAACTTGACAGAATCATTCTCAGAAACTGCTCTGCGATGTGTGCGTTTAACTCTCAGAGTTTAACTTTTCTTTTCATTCAGCAGTTTGGAAACACTCTGTTTGTAAAGTCTGCACGTGGATAATTTGACCACTTAGAGGCCTTCGTTGGAAACGGGTTTTTTTCATGTAAGGCTAGACAGAAGAATTCTCAGTAACTTCCTTGTGTTGTGTGTATTCAACTCACAGAGTTGAACGATCCTTTACACAGAGCAGACTTGAAACATTCTTTTGGTGGAATTTGCAAGTGGAGATTTCAGCCGCTTTGAGGTCAATGGTAGAATAGGAAATATCTTCCTATACAAACTAGACAGAGTGATTCTCAGAAACTCCTTTGTGATGTGTGCGTTCAACTCACAGAGTTTAACCTTTCTTTTCATAGAGCAGTTAGGAAACACTCTGTTTCTAAAGTCTGCAAGTGGATATTCAGACCTCTTTGAGGCCTTCGTTGGAAACGGGTTTTTTTCATATAAGGCTAGAGAGAAGAATTCCCAGTAACTTCCTTGTGTTGTGTGTGTTCCACTCACAGAGTTGAACTTTCGTTTACACAGAGCAGATTTGAAACACTCTTTTTGTGGAATTTGCAAGTGGAGATTTCAAGCGCTTTGAGGCCAAAGGCAGAAAAGGAAATATCTTCGTATAAAAACTAGACAGAATCATTCTCAGAAACTGCTGCGTGATGTGTGCGTTCAACTCTCAGAGTTTAACATTTCTTTTCATTCAGCGGTTTGGAAACACTCTGTTTGTAAAGTCTGCACGTGGAAATTTTGACCACTTAGAGGCCTTCGTTGGAAACGGGTTTTTTTCATGTAAGGCTAGACAGAAGAATTCTCAGTAACTTCCTTGTGTTGTGTGTATTCAACTCACAGAGTTGAACGATCCTTTACACAGAGCAGACTTGTAACACTCTTTTTGTGGAATTTGCAAGTGGAGATTTCAGCCGCTTTGAAGTCAAAGGTAGAAAAGGAATTATCTTCCTATAAAAACTAGACAGAATGATTCTCAGAAACTCCTTTGTGATGTGTGTGTTCAACTCACAGAGTTTAACATTTCTTTTCATAGAGCAGTTAGGAAACACTCTGTTTGGAAAGTCTGCAAGTGGATATTCAGACCTCTTTGAGGCCTTCGTTGGAAACGGGTTTTTTTCATATAAGGCTAGACAGAAGAATTCTCAGTAACTTCCTTGTGTTGTGTGTATTCAACTGACAGAGTTGAACTTTCATTTAGAGAGAGCAGATTTGAAACTCTGTTTTTGTGGAATTTGCAAGTGGAGATTTCAAGGGCTTTGGGGCCAAAGGCAGAAAAGGAAATATCTTCGTATAAAAACTAGACAGAATCATTCTCAGAAACTGCTGCGTGATGTGTGCGTTCAACTCTCAGAGTTTAACTTTTCTTTTCATTCAGCGGTTTGGAAACACTCTGTTTGTAAAGTCTGCACGTGGATAATTTGACCACTTAGAGGCCTTCGTTGGAAACGGGTTTTTTTTCATGTAAGGCTAGACAGAAGAATTCCCAGTAACTTCCTTCTGTTGTGTGCATTCAACTCACAGAGTTGAACGTTCCCTTAGACAGAGCAGATTTGAAACACTCTATTTGTGCAATTTGCAAGTATAGATTTCAAGCGCTTTAAGGTCAACGGCAGAAAAGGAAATATCTTCATTTCAAAACTAGACAGAATCATTCCCACAAACTGCGTTGTGATGTGTTCGCTCAACTTACAGAGTTTAACCTTTCTTTTCATAGAGCAGTTAGGAAACAGTCTGTTTGTAAATTCTGTAAGTGGATATTCTGACATCTTGTGGCCTTCGTTGGAAACGGGATTTCTTCATATTCTGCTAGACAGAAGAATTCTCAGTAACTTCCTTGTGTTGTGTTTATTCAACTCACAGAGTTGAATGATCCTTTACACAGAGCAGACTTGAAACACTCTTTTTGTGGAAATTGCAAGTGGAGATTTCAGCCGCTTTGAGGTCAACGGTAGAAAAGTAAATATCTTCGTATAAAGACTAGACAGAATGATTCTCAGAAACTCCTTTGTGATGTGTGCGATCAACTCACAGAGTTTAACCTTTCTTTTCATAGAGCAGTTAGGATACACTCTGTTTGTAAAGTCTGCAAGTGGATATTCAGACATCCTTGAGGCTTTCGTTGGAAACGGGATTTCTTCATATTCTGCTAGAAAGAAGAATTCCCAGTAACTTCCTTGTGTTGTGTGTGTTCAACTCACAGAGTTGAACTTTCATTTACACAGAGCAGATTTGAAACACTCTTTTTGTGGAATTTGCAAGTGGAGGTTTCAAGCGCTTTGAGGCCAAAGGCAGAAAAGGAAATATCTTCGTATAAAAACTAGACAGAATCATTCTCAGAAACTGCTCTGCGATGTGTGCGTTCAACTCTCAGAGTTTAACTTTTCTTTTCATTCAGCAGTTTGGAAACACTCTGTTTGTAAAGTCTGCACGTGGATAATTTCACCACTTAGAGGTCTTCGTTGGAAACGGGTTTTTTTCATGTAAGGATAGACAGAAGAATTCCCAGTAACTTCCTTGTGTTGTGTACATTCAACTCACAGAGCTGAACGTTCCCTTAGACAGAGCAGATTTGAAACACTCTTTTTGTGCAATTGGCAAGTGGTGATTTCAGCTGCTTTGAGGTCAATGGTAGAAAAGGGAATATCTTCGTATAAAAACTAGACAGAATCATTCCCACAAACTGCGTTGTGATGTGTTCGTTCAACTCACAGAGTTTAACCTTTCTGTTCATAGAGCAGTTAGGAAACACTGTGTTTGTAAAGTCTGTAAGTGGATATTCTGACATCTTGTGGCCTTCGTTGGAAACGGGATTTCTTCATTTTCTGCTAGAAAGTATAATTCTCAGTAACTTCCTTGTGTTGTGTGTATTCAACTCCCAGAGTTGAACGATCCTTTACACAGAGCAGACTTGAAACATTCTTTTTGTGGAATTTGCAAGTGGAGATTTCAGCTGCTTTGAGGTCAATGGTAGAATAGGAAATATCTTCCTATAGAAACTAGACAGAATGATTCTCAGAAAGTCCTTTGTGATGTGTGCGTTCAACTCACAGAGTTTAACCTTTCTTTTCATAGAGCAGTTAGGAAACACTCTGTTTGTAAAGTCTGCAAGTGGATATTCAGACCTCCTTGAGGCCTTCGTTGGAAACAGGATTTCTTCATATTCTGCTAGACAGAAGAATTCTCAGTAACTTCCCTTGTGTTGTGTGTATTCAACTCACAGATTTGAACGATCCTTTACAGAGAGCAGACTTGAAACACTCTTTTTGTGGAATTTGCAAGTGGAGATTTCAGCTGCTTTGAGGTCAATGGTAGAAAAGGAAATATCTTCGTAGAAAAACTAGACAGAATGATTCTCAGAAACTTCTTTGTGATGTGTGCGTTCAACTCACAGAGTTTAACCTTTCTTTTCATAGAGCAGTTAGGAAACACTCTGCTTGTAAACTCTGCAAGTGGATATTCAGACCTCTTTGAGGCCTTCGTTGGAAACGGGATTTCTTCATACTATGCTAGACACAAGAATTCTCAGTAACTTCCTTGTGTTGTGTGTATTCAACTGACAGAGTTGAACTTTCATTTAGACAGAGCAGATTTGAAACACTCTTTTTGTGGAATTTGCAAGTAGAGATTTCAAGCGCTTTGAGTCCAAAGGCAGAAAAGGAAATATCTTCGTATAAAAACTAGACAGAATCATTCTCAGAAACTGCTGCGTGATGTGTGCGTTCAACTCTCCGAGTTTAACTTTTCTTTTCATTCAGCGGTTTGGAAACACTCTGTTTGTAAAGACTGCACGTGGATATTTTGACCACTTAGAGGCCTTCGTTGGAAACGGGTTTTTTTTCATGTAAGGCTAGACAGAAGAATTCCCAGTAACTTCCTTGTGTTGTGTGCATTCAACTCACAGAGTTGAACGTTCCCTTAGACAGAGCAGATTTGAAACACTCTATTTGTGCAATTTGCAAGTGTAGATTTCAAGCGCTTTAAGGTCAATGGTAGAAAAGGAAATATCTTCGTTTCAAAACTAGACAGAATCATTCCCACAAACTGCGTTGTGATGTGTTCGTTCAACTCACAGAGTTTAACCTTTCTTTTCATAGAGCAGTTAGGAAACAGTCTGTTTGTAAACTCTGCAAGTGGATATTCAGACCTCTTTGAGGCCTTCGTTGGAAACGGGATTTCTCCATACTGTGCTAGACAGAAGAATTCTCAGTAACTTCCTTGTGTTGTGTTTATTCAACTCACAGAGCTGAATGATCCTTTACACAGAGCAGACTTGAAACACTCTTTTTGTGGAATTTGCAAGTGGAGATTTCAGCCGCTTTGCGGTCAATGGTAGAAAAGTAAATATCTTCGTATAAAGACTAGACAGAATGATTCTCAGAAACTCCTTTGTGATGTGTGCGTTCAACTCACAGAGTTCAACCTTTCTTTTCATAGAGCAGTTGGGAAACCCTCTGTTTGTAAAGTCTGCAAGTGGATATTCAGACTTCTTTGAGGCCTTCGTTGGAAGCGGGATTTCTTCATGTTCTGCTAGACAGAAGGATTCTCAGTAACTTCCTTGTGTTGTGTGTATTCAACTCACAGAGTTGAACGATCCTTTACACAGAGCAGACTTAAAACACTCTTTTTGTGGAATTTGCAAGTGGAGATTTCAGCCGCTTTGAGGTCAATGTTAGAAAAGGAGATATCTTCGTATAAAAACTAGACAGAATGATTCTCAGAAACTCCTTTGTGATGTGGGCGTTCAACTCACAGAGTTTAACCTTTCTTTTCATAGAGCAGTTAGGAAACACTCTGTTTGTAAGATTGCAAGTGGATATTCAGATATCTTTGAGGCTTTCGTTGGAAACGGGATTTCTTCATATTCTGCTATACAGAAGAATTCTCAGAAACTTCCTTGTGTTGTGTGTATTCAACTCACAGAGTTGAACGATCGTTTACACAGAGCAGACTTGAGACACTCTGTTTGTGGAATTTGTAAGTGGAGATTTCAGCCGCTATGAGGTCAATGGTAGAATAGGAAATATCTTCCTATAGAAACTAGACAGAATCATTCTCAGAAACTGCTCTGTGATGTGTGCGTTCAACTCTCAGAGTTTAACTTTTCTTTTCATTCAGCAGTTTGGAAACACTCTGTTTGTAAAGTCTGCACGTGGATAATTTGACCACTTAGAGGCCTTCATTGGAAAAGGGTTTTTTTCATGTGAGGCTAGACAGAAGAATTCCCAGTAACTTCCTTGTGTTGTGTACATTGAACTCACAGAGTTGAACGTTCCCTTAGACAGAGCAGATTTGAAACACTCTTTTTGTGCAATTGGCAAGTGGAGATTTCAAGCGCTTTAAGGTCAATGGCAGAAAAGGAAATATCTTCGTTTCAAAACTAGACAGAATCATTCCCACAAACTGCGTTGTGAGGTGTTCGTTCAACTCACAGAGTTTAACCTTTCTTTTCATAGAGCAGTTAGGAAACAGTCTGTTTGTAAATTCTGTAAGTGGATATTCTGACATCTTGTGGCCTTCTTTGGAAACGGGATTTCTTCATATTCTGCTAGACAGAAGAATTCTCAGTAACTTCCTTGTGTTGTGTGTATTCAACTCACAGAGTTCAACGATCCTTTACACAGAGCAGACTTGAAACACTCTTTTTGTGGAATTTGCAAGTGGAGATTTCAGCCGACTTGAGGTCAATGGTAGAAAAGGAAATATCTTCTTATAAAAACTAGACAGAATGATTCTCAGAAACTCCTTTGTGATGTGTGCGTTCAACTCACAGAGTTTAACCTTTCTTCTCATAGAGCAGTTAGGAAACATTCTGTTTGTAAAGTCTGCAAGTGGATATTCAGACCTCTTTGAGGCCTTCGTTGGAAACGGGATTTCTTCATATTATGCTAGACAGAAGAATTCTCAGTAACTTCCTTGTGTTGTGTGTATTCAACTCACAGAGTTCAATGATCATTTACACAGAGCAGACTTCAAACACTCTTTTTGTGGAATTTGCAAGTGGAGATTTCAGCCGACTTGAGGTCAATGGTAGAAAAGGAAATATCTTCGTATAAAAACTAGACAGAATGATTCTCAGAAACTCCTTTGTGATGTGTGCGTTCAACTCACAGAGTTTCACCTTTCTTTTCATAGAGCAGTTAGGAAACACTCTGTTTCTAAAGTCTGCAAGTGGATATTCAGACCTCTTTGAGGCCTTCGTTGGAAACGGGTTTTTTTCATATAAGGCTAGAGAGAAGAATTCCCAGTAACTTCCTTGTGTTGTGTGCGTTCAACTCACAGAGTTGAACTTTCATTTACACAGAGCAGATTTGAAACACTCTTTTTGTGGAATTTGCAAGTGGAGATTTCAAGCGCTTTGAGGCCAAAGGCAGAAAAGGAAATATCTTCGTTTCAAAACTAGACAGAATCATTCTCAGAAAGTGCTCTGCGATGTGTGCGTTCAACTCTCAGAGTTTAACTTTTCTTTTCATTCAGCAGTTTGGAAACACTCTGTTTGTAAAGTCTGCGCGTGGATATTTTGACCACTTAGAGGCCTTCGTTGGAAACGGGTTTTTTTCTTGTAAGGCTAGACAGAAGAATTCCCAGGAACTTCCATGTGTTGTGTACATTCAACTCACAGAGTTGAACGTTCCCTTAGACAGAGCAGATTTGAAACACTCTTTTTGTGCAATTGGCAAGTGGTGATTTCAGCCGCTTTGAGGTCAATGGTAGAAAAGGAAATATCTTCGTATAAAAACTAGACAGAATGATTCTCAGAAACTTCATTGTGACGTGTGCGTTCAACTCACAGAGTTTAACCTTTCTTTTCATAGAGCAGTTAGGAAACACTCTGTTTGTAAAGTCTGCAAGTGGATATTCAGACCTCTTTGAGGCCTTCGTTGGAAACGGGATTTCTTCCTACTGTGCTAGACAGAAGTATTCTCAGTAACTTCCTTGTGTTGTGTGTATTCAACTCACAGAGTTGAACGATCCTTTACACAGAGCAGACTTGAAACACTGTTTTTGTGGAATTTGCAAGTGGAGATTTCAAGCGCTTTGAGGCTAAAGGCAGAAAAGGAAATATCTTCGTTTCAAAACTAGACAGAATCATTCTCAGAAACTGCTCTGCGATGTGTGCGTTCAACTCTCAGAGTTTAACTTTTCTTTTCATTCATAAGTTTGGAAACACTCTGTTTGTAAAGTCTGCACGTGGATAACTTGACCACTTAGAGGCCTTCGTTGGAAACGGGTTTTTTTCATGTAAGGCTAGACAGAAGAATTCTCAGTAACTTCCTTGTGTTGTGTGTATTCAACTCACAGAGTTGAACGATCCTTTACACAGAGCAGACTAGAAACACTCTTTTTGTGGAATTTGCAAGTGGAGATTTCAGCCCCTTTGAGGTCAAAGGTAGAAAAGGAAATATCTTCGTATAAAAACTAGACAGAATGATTCTCAGAAACTCCTTTGTGATGTGTGCGTTCAACTCACAGAGTTTAACCTTTCTTTTCATAGAGCAGTTGGGAAACACTCTGTTTGTAAAGTCTGCAAGTGGATATTCAGACATCCTTGAGGCTTTCGTTGGAAACGGGATTTCTTCATATTCTGCTAGAAAGGAGAATTCCCAGTAACTTCCTTGTGTTGTGTGTGTTCAACTCACAGAGTTGAACTTTAATTTACGCAGAGCAGATTTGAAACACTCTTTTTGTGGAATTTGCATTTGGAGATTTCAAGCGCTTTGAGGCCAAAGGCAGAAAAGGAAATATCTTCGTATAAAAACTAGACAGAATCATTCTCAGAAACTGCTCTGTGATGTGTGCGTTCAACTCTCAGAGTTTAACTTTTCTTTTCATTCAGCAGTTTGGAAACACTCTGTTTGTAAAGTCTGCAAGTGGATAATTTGACCACTTAGAGGCCTTCGTTGGAAACGGGTTTTTTTCATGTAAGGCTAGACAGAAGAATTCTCAGTAACTTCCTTGTGTTGTGTGTATTCAACTCACAGAGTTGAACGATCCTTTACACAGAGCAGAATTGAAACACTGTTTTTGTGGAATTTACAAGTGGAGATTTCAGCCGCTTTGAGGTCAATGGTAGAAAAGGAAATATCTTCCTATAGAAACTAGACAGAATGATTCTCAGAAACTCCTTTGTGATGTGTGCGTTCAACTCACAGAGTTTAACCTTTCTTTTCATAGAGCAGTTAGGAAACACTCTCTTTGTAAAGTCTGCAAGTGGATATTCAGACATCTTTGAGGCTTTCGTTGGAAACGGGATTTCTTCATATTCTGCTAGACAGAAGAATTCTCAGTAACTTCCTTGTGTTGTGTGTATTCAACTCACAGAGTTGAACTTTCATTCACACAGAGCAGATTTGAAACACTCTTTTTATGGAATTTGCAAGTGGAGATTTCAAGCGCTTTGAGGCCAAAGGCAGAAAAGGAAATATCTTCGTTTCAAAACTAGACAGAATCATTCTCAGAAACTGCTCTGCGATGTGTGCGTTCAACTCTCAGAGTTTAACTTTTCTTTTCATTCAGCAGTTTGAAAACACTCTGTTTGTAAAGTCTGCACGTGGATATTTTGACCACTTAGAGGTCTTCGTTGGAAACGGGTTTTTTTCCTGTAAGGCTAGACAGAAGAATTCCCAGTAACTTCCTTGTGTTGTGTACATTCAACTCACAGAGTTGAACGTTTCCTTAGACAGAGCAGATTTGAAACACTCTTTTTGTGCAATTGGCAAGTGGTGATTTCAGCCGCTTTGAGGTCAATGGTAGAAAAGGAAATATCTTCGTATAAAAACTAGACAGAATCATTCCCACAAACTGCGTTGTGATGTGTTCGTTCAACTCACAGAGTTTAACCTTTCTTTTCATAGAGCAGTTAGGAAACAGTCTGTTTGTAAATTCTTTAAGTGGATATTCTGACATCTTGTGACCTTCGTTGGAAACGGGATTTCTTCATATTCTGCTAGACATAAGAATTCTCAGTAACTTCCTTGTGTTCTGTGTATTCAACTCACAGAGTTGAACCATCCTTTACACAGAGCAGACTTGAAACACTCTTTTTGTGGAATTTGCAAGTGGAGATTTCAGCCGCTTTGAGGTCAATGGTAGAAAAGGAAATATCTTCGTATAAAGACTAGACAGAATGATTCTCATAAACTCCTTTGTGATGTGTGCGTTCAATTCACAGAGTTTAACCTTTCTTTTCATAGAGCAGTTAGGAAACACTCTGTTTGTAAAGTCTGCAAGTGGATATTCAGACATCCTTGAGGCCTTCGTTGGAAACGGGATTTCTTCATATTCTGCTAGACAGAAGAATTCTCAGAATCTTCCTTGTGTTGTGTGTATTCAACTCACAGAGTTGAACGATCCTTTACACAGAGCAGACTTGAAACACTCTTTTTGTGGAATTTCCAAGTGGAGATTTCAGCCGCTTTGAGGTCCATGGTAGAAAAGGAAATATCTTCGTATAAAAACTAGACAGAATGATTCTCAGAAACTCCTTTGTGATGTGTGCGTTCAACTCACAGAGTTTAACCTTTCTTTCCATAGAGCAGTTAGGAAACACTCTGTTTGTAAAGTCTGCAAGTGGATATTCAGACCTCCTTGAGGCCTTCGTTGGAAACGGGATTTCTTCATATTATGCTAGACACAAGAATTCCCAGTAACTTCCTTGTGATGTGTGTGTTCAACTCACAGAGTTGAACTTTCATTTACACAGAGCAGATTTGAAACACTCTTTTTGTGGAATTTGCAAGTGGAGATTTCAAGCGCTTTGAGGCCAAAGGCCGAAAAGGAAATATCTTCGTATAAAAACTACACAGAATCATTCTCAGAAACTGCTCTGTGATGTGTGCGTTCAACTCTCAGAGTTTAACTTTTCTTTTCATTCAGCAGTTTGGAAACACTCTGTTTTTAAAGTCTGCACGTGGATAATTTGACCACTTAGAGGCCTTCGTTGGAAACGGGATTTTTCATGTAAGGCTAGACAGAAGAATTCCCAGTAACTTCCTTGTGTTGTGTACATTCAACTCACAGAGTTGAACGTTCCCTTAGACAGAGCAGATTTGAAACACTCTTTTTGTGCAATTGGCAAGTGGTGATTTCAGCCGCTTTGAGATCAATGGTAGAAAAAGAAATATCTTCGTATAAAAACTAGACAGAATCATTCGCACAAACTGCGTTGTGATGTGTTCGTTCAACTCACAGAGTTTAACCTTTCTTTTCATAGAGCAGTTAGGAAACAGTCTGTTTGTCAATTCTGTAAGTGGATATTCTGACATCTTGTGGCCTTCGTTGGAAACGGGATTTCTTCATAATCTGCTAGACAGAAGAATTCTCAGAATCTTCCTTGTGTTGTGTGTATTCAACTCACACAGTTGAACGATTGTTTACACAGAGCAGATTTGAAACACTCTTTTTGTGGAATTTGCAAGTGGAGATTTCAGCCGCTTTGAAGTCAAAGGTAGAAAAGGGAATATCTTCCTATAAAAACTAGACAGAATGATTCTCAGAAACTCCTTTGTGATGTGTGCGTTCACCTCACAGAGTTTAACCTTTCTGTTCATAGAGCAGTTAGGAAACACTCTGTTTGTAAAGTCTGCAAGTGGATATTCAGACCTCTTTGAGGCCTTCGTTGGAAACGGGATTTCTTCATATTCTGCTAGACAGAAGAATTCTCAGTAACTTCCTTGTGTTGTGTTTATTCAACTGACAGAGTTGAACTTTCATTTAGAGAGAGCAGATTTGAAACACTGTTTTTGTGGAATTTGCAAGTGGAGATTTCAAGCACTTTGGGGCCAAAGGCAGAAAAGGAAATATCTTCGTATAAAAACTAGACAGAATCATTCTCAGAAACTGCTCTGCGATGTGTGCATTCAACTCTCAGAGTTTAACTTTTCTTTTCATTCAGCAGTTTGGAAACACTCTGTTTGTAAAGTCTGCACGTGGATATTTTGACCACTTACAGGCCTTCGTTGGAAACGGGTTTTTTTCCTGTAAGGCTAGACAGAAGAATTCCCAGTAACTTCCTTGTGTTGTGTGCATTCAACTCACAGAGTTGAACGTTCCCTTAGACAGAGCCGATTTGAAACACTCTATTTGTGCAATTTGCAAGTGTAGATTTCAAGCGCTTTAAGGTCAATGGCAGAAAAGGAAATATCTTCGTCTCAAAACTAGACAGAATGATTCCCATAAACTCCTTTGTGATGTGTGCGTTCAACACACAGAGTTTAACCTTTCTGTTCATAGAGCAGTTAGGAAACACTCTGTTTGTAAAGTCTGTAAGTGGATATTCTGACATCTTGTGGCCTTCGCTGGAAACGGGATTTCTTCATATTCTGCTAGACAGAAGAATTCTCAGTAACTTCCTTGTGTTGTGTGTATTCAACTCACAGAGTTGAACGATCCTTTACACAGAGCAGACTTGAAACACACTTTTTGTGGAATTTGCAAGTGGAGATTTCAGCCGCTTTGAGGTCAATGGTAGAAAAGGAAATATCTTCGTATAAAGACTACACAGAATGATTCTCAGAAAATCTTTTGTGATGTGTGCGTTCAACTCACAGAGTTTAACTTTTCTTCTCATAGAGCAGTTAGGAAACACTCTGTTTGTAAAGTGTGCAAGTGGATATTCAGACCTCTTTGAGGTCTTCGTTGGAAACGGGATTTCTTCATATTATGCTAGACAGAAGAATTCCCAGTAACTTCCTTGTGTTGTGTGTGTTCAACTCACAGAGTTAAACTTTGATTTACACAGAGCAGATTTGAAACACTCTTTTTGTGGAATTTGCAAGTGGAGATTTCAAGCGCTTTGAGGCCAAAGGCAGAAAAGGAGATGTCTTCGTATAAAAACTAGACAGAATCATTCTCAGAAACTGCTCTGCGATGTGTGCGTTCAACTCTCAGAGTTTAACTTTTCTTTTCATTCAGCAGTTTGGAAACACTCTGTTTGTAAAGTCTGCACGTGGACATTTTGACCATTTAGAGGCCTTCGTTGGAAACGGGTTTTTTTCTTGTAAGGCTAGACAGAGAATTCCCAGTAACTTCCTTGTGTTGTGTGCATTCAACTCACAGAGTTGAACGTTCCCTTAGACAGAGCAGATTTGAAACACTCTATTTGTGCAATTTGCAAGTGTAGATTTCAAGCGCTTTAAGGTCAATGGCAGAAAAGGAAATATCTTCGTTTCAAAACTAGACAGAATCATTCCCACAAACTGCGTTGTGATGTATTCGTTCAACTCACAGAGTTTAACCTTTCTGTTCATAGAGCAGTTAGGAAACACTCTGTTTGTAAAGTCTGTAAGTGGATATTCTGACATCTTGTGGCCTTCGTTGGAAACGGGATTTCTTCATATTCTGCTAGACAGAAGAATTCTCAGTAACTTCCTTGTGTTGTGTGTATTCAACTCACAGAGTTGAACGATCCTTTACACAGAGCAGACTTGAAACACTCTTTTTGTGGAATTTGCAAGTGGAGATTTCAGCCGCTTTGAGGTCAATGGTAGAAAAGGAAATATCTTCGTATAAGAACTAGACAGAATGATTCTCAGAAACTCCTTTATGATGTGTGCATTCAACTCACAGAGTTTAACCTTTCTTTTCATAGAGCAGTTAGGAAACACTCTGTTTGTAAAGTCTGCAAGTGGATATTCAGACCTCTTTGAGGCTTTCGTTGGAAACGGGATTTCTTCATATTCTGCTAGACAGAAGAATTCTCAGAAACTTCATTGTGTTGTGTGTATTGAACTCAAAGAGTTGAACGATCCTTTACACAGTGCAGACTTGAAACACTCTTTTTGTGGAATTTGCAAGTGGAGATTTCAGCCGCTTTGAGGTCAATGGTAGAATAGGAAATATCTTCCTATAGGAACTAGACAGAGAATCTTCTCAGAAACTGCTCTGCGATGTGTGCGTTCAACTCTCAGAGTTTAACTTTTCTTTTCATTCAGCAGTTTGGAAACACTCTGTTTGTAAAGTCTGCACGTGGATAACTTGACCACTTAGAGGCCTTCGTTGGAAACGGGTTTTTTTCATGTAAGGCTAGACAGAGAATTCTCAGTAACTTCCTTGTGTTGTGTGTATTCACCTCACAGAGTTGAACGATCCTTTACACAGAGCAGACTTGTAACACTCTTTTTGTGGAATTTGCAAGTGGAGATTTCAGCCGCTTTCAAGTCAAAGGTAGAAAAGGAAATATCTTCCTATAAAAACTAGACAGAATAATTCCCACAAACTGCGTTGTGATGTGTTCGTTCAACTCACAGAGTTTAACCTTTGTTTTCATAGAGGAGTTAGGAAACAGTCTGTTTGTAAATTCTGTAAGTGGATATTGTGACATCTTGTGGCCTTCGTTGGAAACGGGATTTCTTCATATTCTGCTATACAGAAGAATTCTCAGTAACTTCCTTGTGTTGAGTGTATTCAACTCACAGAGTTGAACGATCCTTTACACAGAGCAGACTTGAAACACTCTTTTTGTGGAATTTGCAAGTGGAGATTTCAGCCGCTTTGAGGTCAATAGTAGAAAAGGAAATATCTTCGTAGAAAAACTAGGCAGAATGATTCTCAGAAAATCCTTTGTGATGTGTGTGTTCAACTCACAGAGTTTAACTTTTCTTTTCATAGAGCAGTTAGGAAACACTCTGTTTGTAAAGTCTGCAAGTGGATATTCAGACCTCTTTGAGGCCTTCGTTGGAAACGGGATTTCTTCATATTATGCTAGACAGAAGAATTCTCAGTAACTTCCTTGTGTTGTGTGTATTCAACTGACACAGTTGAACTTTCATTTAGAGAGAGCTGATTTGAAACACTGTTTTTGTGGAATTTGCAAGTGGAGATTTCAAGCGCTTTGGGGCCAAAGGCAGAAAAGGAAATATCTTCGTATAAAAACTAGACAGAATCATTCTCAGAAACTGCTGCGTGATGTGTGCGTTCAACTCTCAGAGTTTAACTTTTCTTTTCATTCAGCGGGTTGGAAACACTCTGTTTGTAAAGTCTGCACGAGGATATTTTGACCCCTTAGAGGCCTTCGTTGGAAACGGGTTTTTTTCATGTAAGGCTAGACAGAAGAATTCCCAGTAACTTCCTTGTGTTGTGTGCATTCAACTCACAGAGTTGAACGTTCCCCTAGACAGAGCAGATTTGAAACACTCTATTTGTGCAATTTGCAAGTGTAGATTTCAAGCGCTTTAAGGTCAATGGCAGAAAAGGAAATATCTTCGTTTCAAAACTAGACAGAATCATTCCCACAAACTGCGTTGTGATGTGTTCGTTCAACTCACAGAGTTTAACCTTTCTGTTCATAGAGCAGTTAGGAAACACTCTGTTTGTAAAGTCTGCAAGTGGGTATTCAGACCTCCTTGAGGACTTCGTTGGAAACGGGATTTCTTCATATTCTGCTAGACAGAAGAATTCTCAGAATCTTCCCTTGTGTTGTGTGTATTCAACTCACAGAGTTGAACGATGGTTTACACAGAGCAGATTTGAAACACTCTTTTGGTGGAATTTGCAAGTGGAGATTTCAGCCGCTTTGAGGTCAATGGTAGAAAAGGAAATATCTTCGTATAAAAACTAGACAGAGTGATTCTCAGAAACTTCTTTGTGATGTGTGCGTTCAACTCACAGAGTTTAACCTTTCTTTTCATAGAGCAGTTAGGAAACACTCTGTTTGTAAACTCTGCAAGTGGATATTCAGACCTCTTTGAGGCCTTCGTTGGAAACGGGATTTCTTCATACTATGCTAGACAGAAGAATTCCCAGTAACTTCCTTGTGTTGTGTGTGTTCAACTCACAGAGTTGAACTTTCATTTACACAGAGCAGATTTGAAACACTCTTTTTGTGGAATTTGCAAGTGGAGATTTCAAGCGCTTTGAGGCCAAAGGCAGAAAAGGAAATATCTTCGTATAAAAACTAGACAGATCATTCTCAGTAAACTGCTGCGTGATGTGTGCGTTCAAGTCTCAGAGTTTAACTTTTCTTTTCATTCAGCGGTTTGGAAACACTCTGTTTGTAAAGACTGCACGTGGATATTTTGACCACTTAGAGGCCTTCGTTGGAAACGGGTTTTTTTTCATGTAAGGCTAGACAGAAGAATTCTCAGTAACTTCCTTGTGTTGTGTGTATTCAACTCACAGTGTTGAACGATCCTTTACAAAGAGCAGACTTGAAACACTCTTTTTGTGAAATTTGCAAGTGGAGATTTCTGCCGCTTTGAGGTCAATGGTAGAATAAGAAATATCTTCCTATAGAAACTAGACAGAATGATTCTCAGAAACTCCTTTGTGATGTGTGCGTTCAACTCACACAGTTTAACCTTTCTTTTCATAGAGCAGTTAGGAAACACTCTGTTTGTAAAGTCTGCAAGTGGATATACAGACCTCTTTGAGGCCTTCGTTGGAAAGGGGATTTCTTCATATGATGCTAGACAGAAGAATTCCCAGTAACTTCCTTGTGTTGTGTGTGTTCAACTCACAGAGTTGAACTTTCATTTACACAGAGCAGATTTGAAACACTCTTTTTGTGGAATTTGCAAATGGAGATTTCATGCGCTTTGAGGCCAAAGGCAGAAAAGGAATTATCTTCGTATAAAAACTAGACAGAATCATTCTCAGAAACTGCTCTGCGATGTGTGCATTCAACTCTCAGAGTTTAATTTTTCTTTTCATTCAGCAGTTTGGAAACACTCTCTTTGTAAAGTCTGCACGTGGATATTTTGACCACTTAGAGGCCTTCGTTCGAAACGGGTTTTATTCTTGTAAGGCTAGACAGAAGAATTCGCAGTAACTTCTTTGTGTTGTGTACATTCAACTCACAGAGTTGAACGTTCCCTTAGACAGAGCAGATTTGAAACACTCTTTTTGTGCAATTGGCAAGTGGAGATTTCAAGCGCTTTAAGGTCAATGGCAGAAAAGGAAATATCTTCGTTTCAAAACTAGACAGAATCATTCCCACAAACTGCGTTGTGATGTGTTCGTTCAACTCACAGAGTTTAACCTTTCTTTTCATAGAGCAGTTAGGAAACAGTCTGTTTGTCAATTCTGTAAGTGGATATTCTGACATCTTGTGGCCTTCGTTGGAAACGGGATTTTTTCATATTCTGCTAGACAGAGGAATTCTCAGTAACTTCCTTTTTTTGTGTGTATTCAACTCACAGAGTTGAACGATCCTTTACACAGAGCAGACTTGAAACACTCTTTTTGTGGAATTTGCAAGTGGAGATTTCAGCCGCTTTGAGGTCAATGGTAGAATAGGAAATATCATCGTAGAAAAACTAGACAGAATGATTCTCAGAAACTCCTTTGTGATGTGTGCGTTCAACTCACAGTGTTTAACTTTTCTTTTCATAGAACAGTTAGGAAACACTCTGTTTGTAAAGTCTGCAAGTGGATATTCAGACCTCTTTGAGGCCTTCGTTGGAAACGGGATTTCTTCATATTCTGATAGACAGAAGAATTCTCAGTAACTTCCTTGTGTTGTGTGTATTCAACTCACAGATTTCAACGATCCTTTACACAGAGCAGACTTGAAACACTCTTTTTGTGGAATTTGCAGGTGGAGATTTCAGCCGCTTTTTGTTCAATGGTAGAATAGGAAATATCTTCCTATAGAAACTAGACAGAATGATTCTCAGAAACTCCTTTGTGATATGTGCGTTCAACTCACAGAGTTTAACCTTTCTTTTCATAGAGCAGTTAGGAAACACTCTGTTTGTAAAGTCTGCAAGTGGATATTCAGACCTCTTTGAGGCTTTCGTTGGAAACGGGATTTCTTCATATTCTGCTAGACAGAAGAATTCTCAGTAACTTCCTTGTGTTGTGTGTATTCAACTCACAGAGTTGAACGATCCTTTACACAGAGAAGACTTGAAACACTCTTTTTGTGGAATTTGCAATAGGAGATTTCAGCCGCTTTGAGGTCAATAGTAGAAAAGGAAACATCTTCGTAGAAAAACTAGACAGAATGATTCTCAGAAACTCCTTTGGGATGTGTGCGTTCAACTCACAGAGTTTAACCTTTCTTTTCATAGAGCAGTTAGGAAACACTCAGTTTGTAAAGTCTGCAAGTGGATATTAAGACCTCTTTGAGGCCTTCGTTGGAAACGGGATTTCTTCATATTCTGCTAGACAGAAGAATTCCCAGTAACTTCCTTGTGTTGTGTGTGTTCAAGTCACAGAGTTGAACTTTCATTTACACAGAGAAGATTTGAAACACTCTTTTTGTGGAATTTGCAAGTGGAGATTTCAAGCGCTTTGAGGCCAAAGGCAGAAAAGGAAATAACTTCGTTTCAAAACTAGACAGAATCATTCTCAGAAACTGCTCTGCGATGTGTGCGTTCAACTCTCAGAGTTTAACTTTTCTTTTCATTCAGCAGTTTGGAAACACTCTGTTTGTAAAGTCTACACGTGGATAACTTGACCACTTAGAGGCCTTCGTTGGAAACGGGTTTTTTTCATGTAAGGCTAGACAGAAGAATTCCCAGTAACTTCCTTGTGTTGTGTACATTCAACTCACAGAGTTGAACGTTACCTTAGACAGAGCAGATTTGAAACACTCTTTTTGTGCAATTGGCAAATGGAGATTTCAAGCGCTTTAAGGTCAATGGCAGAAAAGGAAATATCGTCGTTTCAAAACTAGACAGAATCATTCCCACAAACTGCATTGTGATGTGTTTGTTCAACTCACAGAGTTTAACCTTTCTGTTCATAGAGCAGTTAGGAAACACTCTGTTTGTAAAGTCTGTAAGTGGATATTCTGACATCTTGTGGCCTTCGTTGGAAACGGGATTTCTTCATATTCTGCTAGACAGAAGAATTCTCAGTAACTTCCTTGTGTTGTGTGTATTCAACTCACAGAGTTCAACGATCCTTTACACAGAGCAGACTTGAAACACTCTTTTTGTGGAATTTGCAAGTGGAGATTTCAGCCGCTTTGTGGTCAAAGGTAGAATAGGAAATATCTTCCTATAGAAACTAGACAGAATGATTCTCAGAAACTTCTTTGTGATGTGTGCGTTCAACTCACAGAGTTTAACTTTTCTTTTCATAGAGCAGTTAGGAAACACTCTGTTTGTAAACTCTGCAAGTGGATATTCAGACCTCTTTGAGGCCTTCGCTGGAAACGGGATTTCTTCATACTGTGCTAGACAGAAGAATTCTCAGTAACTTCATTGTGTTGTGTGTATTCAACTCACAGATTTCAACGATCCTTTACACAGAGCAGACTTGAAACACTCTTTTTCTGGTATTTGCAAGTGGAGATTTCAGCCGCTTTGAGGTCAATGGTAGAAAAGGAAATATCTTCGTATAAAAACTAGACAGAGTGATTCTCAGAAACTCCTTTGTGATGTCTGCGTTTAACTCACAGAGTTTAACCATTCTTTTCATAGAGCAGTTAGGAAACACTCTGTTTGTAAAGTGTGCAAGTGGATTTTCAGACCTCCTTGAGGCCTTCGTTGGAAACGGGATTTCTTCATATTATGCTAGACAGAAGAATTCTCAGTAACTTCCTTGTGTTGTGTGTATTCAACTCACAGAGTTGAACGATCCTTTACACAGAGCAGACTTGTAACACTCTTTTTGTGGAATTCGCAAGTGGAGATTTCAGCAGATTTGAAGTCAAAGGTAGAAAAGGAAATATCTTCCTATAAAAACTAGACAGAATGATTCTCAGAAACTCCTTTGTGATGTGTGTGTTCAACTCACACAGTTTAACCTTTCTTTTCATAGAGCAGTTAGGAAACACTCTGTTTGTAAAGTCTGCAAGTGGATATTCAGACCTCTTTGAGGCCTTCGTTGGAAACGGGTTTTTTTCATATAAGGCTAGACAGAAGAATTCTCAGTAACTTCCTTGTGTTGTGTGTATTCAACTCACAGAGTTGAATGATCCTTTACACAGAGCAGACTTGAAACACTCTTTTTGTGGAATTTGCAAGTGGAGATTTCAGCCGCTTTGTGGTCAATGGTAGAAAAGGAAATATCTTCGTATAAAGACTAGACAGAATGATTCTCAGAAACTCCTTTGTGATGTGTGCGTTGAACTCACAGAGTTTAACCTTTCTTTTCATAGAGCAGTTAGGAAACACTCTGTTTGTAAAGTCTGCAAGTGGATATTCAGACCTCTTTGAGGCCTTCGTTGGAAACGGGTTTTTTTCATATAAGGCTAGACAGAAGAATTCTCAGTAACTTCCTTGTGTTGTGTGTATTCTACTCACAGAGTTGAACGATCCTTTACACAGAGCAGACTTGAAACACTCTTTTTGTGGAATTTGCAAGTGGAGATTTTAGCCGCTTTGAGGTCAATGGTAGAAAAAGAAATATCTTCGTATAAAGACTAGACAGAATGATTCTCAGAAACTCCTTTGTGATGTGTGTGTTCAACTCACAGAGTTTAACCTTTCTTTTCATAGAGCAGTTAGTAAACACTCCGTTTATAAAGTCTGCAAGTGGATATTCAGACCCCTTTGAGGCCTTCGTTGGAAACGGCATTTCTTCATATTATGCTAGACAGAAGAATTCTCAGTATCTTCCTTGTGTTGTGTCTATTCAACTCACAGAGTTGAACGATCCTTTACACAGAGCAGACTTGAAACACCCTTTTGGTGGAATTTGCAAGTGGAGATTTCAGCCGCTTTGAGGTCAATGGTAGAATAGGAAATATCTTCCTATAGAAACTAGACAGAATGATTCTCAGAAACTCCTTTGTGATGTGTGCATTCAACTCACAGAGTTTAACCTTTCTTTTCATAGAGCAGTTAGGAAACACTCTGTTTGTAAAGTCTGCAAGTGGATATTCAGACCTCCTTGAGGCCTTCGTTGGAAACGGGATTTCCTCATATTCTGCTAGACAGAAGAATTCTCAGTAACTACCTTGTGTTGTGTGTATTCAACTCACAGAGTTGAACGATCCTTTACAGAGAGCAGACTTGAAACACTCTTTTTGTGGAATTTGCAAGTTGAGATTTCAGCCGCTTTGAGGTCAATGGTAGAATAGGAAATATCTTCCTATAGAAACTAGACAGAATGATACTCAGAAACTCCTTTGTGATGTGTGCGTTCAAGTCACAGAGTTTAACCTTTCTTTTCATAGAGCAGTTAGGAAACACTCTGTTTGTAAAGTCTGCAAGTGGATATTCAGACCTCTTTGAGGCCTTCGTTGGAAACGGGTTTTTTTCATATAAGGCTAGACAGAAGAATTCCCAGTAACTTCCTTGTGTTGTGTGTGTTCAACTCACAGAGTTGAACTTTCATTTACACAGAGCAGATTTGATACACTCTTTTTGTGGAATTTGCAAATGGAGATTTCAAGCGCTTTGAGGCCAAAGGCAGAAAAGGAAATATCTTCGTATAAAAACTAGACAGAATCATTCTCAGAAACTGCTCTGCGATGTGTGCGTTTAACTCTCAGAGTTTAACTTTTCTTTTCATTCAGCAGTTTGGAAACACTCTGTTTGTAAAATCTGCACGTGGATAATTTGACTACTTAGAGGCCTTCGTTGGAAACTGGTTTTTTTCATGTAAGGCTAGACAGAAGATTCTCAGTAACTTCCTTGTGTTGTGTGTATTCAACTCACAGAGTTGAACGATCCTTTACACAGAGCAGACTTGAAACACTCTTTTTGTGGAATTTGCAAGTGGAGATTTCAGCCGCGTTGAGGTCAATGGTAGAAAAGGAAATATCTTCGTATAAAAACTAGACAGAATGATTCTCAGAAACTCCTTTGTGATGTGTGCGTTCAACTCACAGAGTTTAACTTTTCTTTTCATAGAGCAGTTAGGAAACACTCTGTTTGTAAAGTCTGCAAGTGGATATGTCAGACCTCTTTGAGGCCTTCGTTGGAAACGGGATTTCTTCGTATTCTGCTAGACAGAAGAATTCTCAGTAACTTCCTTGTGTTGTGTGTAATCAACTGACAGAGTTGAACTTTCATTTAGAGAGAGCAGATTTGTAACACTGTTTTTGTGGAATTTGCAAGTGGAGATTTCAAGCGCTTTGGGGCCAAAGGCAGAAATGGAAATATCTTCGTATAAAAACTAGACAGAATCATTCTCAGAAACTGCTCTGCGATGTGTGCGTTCAACTCTCAGAGTTTAACTTTTCTTTTCATTCAGCAGTTTGGAAACACTCTGTTTGTAAAGTCTGCACGTGGATATTTTCACCATTTAGAGGCCTTCGTTGGAAACGGGTTTTTTTCTTGTAAGGCTAGACAGAAGAATTCCCAGTAACTTCCTTGTGTTGTGTACATTCAACTCACAGAGTTGAACGTTCCCATAGACAGAGCAGATTTGAAACACTCTTTTTGTGCAATTGGCAAGTGGAGATTTCAAGTGCTTTAAGGTCAATGGCAGAAAAGGAAATATCTTCGTTTCAAAACTAGACAGAATCATTCCCACAAACTGCGTTGTGATGTGTTCGTTCAACTCACAGAGTTTAACCTTTCTGTTCATAGAGCAGTTAGGAAACACTCTGTTTGTAAAGTCTACAAGTGGATATTCAGACCTCCTTGAGGCCTTCGTTGGAAACGGGATTTCTTCATATTCTGCTAGACAGAAGAAATCTCAGAATCTTCCTTGTGTTGTGTGTATTCAACTCACAGAGTTGAACGATCCTTTACACAGAGCAGACTTGAAACACTCTTTTTGTGGAATTTGCAAGTGGAGATTTCAGCCGCTTTGAGGTCCATGGTAGAAAAGGAAATATCTTCGTATAAAAACTAGACAGAATGATTCTCAGAAACTCCTTTGTGATGTGTACGTTCAACTCACAGAGTTTAACCTTTCTTTTCATAGAGCAGTTAGGAAACACTCTGTTTGTAAAGTCTGCAAGTGGATATTGAGACCTCTTTGAGGCGTTCGTTGGAAACGGGTTTTGTTCATATAAGGCTAGACAGAAAGAATTCTCAGTAACTTCCTTGTGTTGTGTGTATTCAACTCACAGAGTTGAACGATCCTTTACACAGAGCAGACTTGTAACACTCTTTTTGTGGAATTTGCAAGTGGAGATTTCAGCCGCTTTGAAGTCAAAGGTAGAAAAGGAAATATCTTCCTATAAAAACTACACAGTAATGATTCTCAGAAACTCCTTTGTGATGTGTGCGTTCAACTCACAGAGTTTAACCTTTCTTTTCATAGAGCAGTTAGGAAACACTCTGCTTGTAAAGTCTGCAAGTGGATATTCAGCCCTCTTTGAGGCCTTCGTTGGAAACGGGTTTTTTTCATATAAGGCTAGACAGAAGAATTCTCAGTAACTTCCCTTGTGTTGTGTGTATTCAACTGACAGAGTTGAACTTTCATTTAGAGAGAGCAGATTTGAAACACTGTTTTTGTGGAATTTGCAAGTGGAGATTTCAAGTGCTTTGGGGCCAAAGGCAGAAAACGAAATATCTTCGTATAAAAAGTAGACAGAATCATTCTCAGAAACTGCTCTGCGATGTGTGCGTTCAACTCTCCGAGTTCAACTTTTCTTTTCATTCAGCAGTTTGGAAACACTCTGTTTGTAAAGTCTGCACGTGGATAATTTGACTACTTAGAGGCCTTCGTTGGAAACGGGTTTTTTTCATGTAAGGCTAGACACAAGAATTCCCAGTAACTTCCTTGTGTTGTGTACATTCAACTCACAGAGTTGAACGTTCCCTTAGACAGAGCAGATTTGAAACACTCTTTTTGTGCAATTGGCAAATGGAGATTTCAAGCGCTTTAAGGTCAATGGCAGAAAAGGAAATATCTTCGTTTGAAAACTAGACAGAATCATTCCCACAAACTGCGTTGTGATGTGTTCGTTCAACTCACAGAGTTTAACCTTTCTGTTCATAGAGCAGTTAGGAAAAACTCTATTTGTAAAGTCTGTAAGTGGATATTCTGACATCTTGTGGCCTTCGTTGGAAACGGGATTTCTTCATATTCTGCTAGACAGAAGAATTCTCACAATCTTCCTTGTGTTGTGTGTATTCAACTCACAGAGTTGAACGATGGTTTACACAGAGCAGATTTGAAACACTCTTTTTGTGGAATTTGCAAGTGGAGATTTCAGCCGCTTTGAGGTCAATGGTAGAAAAGGAAATATCTTCGTATAAAAACTAGACAGAATGATTCTGAGAAACTACTTTGTGATGTGTGCGTTCAACTCACAGAGTTTAACTTTTCTTTTCATAGAGCAGTTAGGAAACACTCTGTTTGTAAAGCCTGCAAGTGGATATTCAGACCTCCTTGAGGCCTTCGTTGGAAACGGGATTTCTTCATATTATGCTAGACAGAAGAATTCTCACTAACTTCCTTGTGTTGTGTGTATTCAACTCACAGAGTTGAACGATCCTTTACACAGAGCAGACTTTAAACACTCTTTTTGTGGAATTTGCAAGTGGAGATTTCAGCCGCTTTGAGGTCAACGGTAGAAAAGGAAATATCTCCGTATAAAGACTAGACAGAATGATTCTCAGAAACTCCTTTGTGATGTGTGCGTTCAACTCACAGAGTTTAACTTTTCTTTTCATAGAGCAGTTAGGAAACACTCCGTTTGTAAAGTCTGCAAGTGGATATTCAGACCTCTTTGAGGCCTTCGTTGGAAACGGGATTTCTTCATATTATGCTAGACAGAAGAATTCCCAGTAACTTCCTTGTGTTGTGTGTGTTCAACTCACAGAGTTGAACTTTCATTTACACAGAGCAGATTTGAAACACTCTTTTTGTGGAATTTGCAAATGGAGATTTCAAGAGCTTTGAGGCCAAAGGCAGAAAAGGAAATATCTTCGTATAAAAACTAGACAGAATCATTCTCAGAAACTGCTCTGCGATGTGTGCGTTCAACTCTCAGAGTTTAACTTTGCTTTTCATTCAGCAGTTTGGAAACACTCTGTTTGTAAAGTCTGCACGTGGATAATTTGACCACTTAGAGGCCTTCCTTGGAAACGGGTTTTTTTCATGTAAGGCTAGACAGAAGAATTCTCAGTAACTTCCTTGTGCTGTGTGTATTCAACTCACAGAGTTGAACGATCCTTTACACAGAGTGGACTTGAAACACTCTTTTTGTGGAATTTGCAAGTGGAGATTTCAGCCGCGTTGAGGTCAATGGTAGAAAAGGAAATATCTTCGTATAAAAACTAGACAGAATGATTCTCAGAAACTCCTTTGTGATGTGTGCGCTCAACTCACAGAGTTTAAACTTTCTTTTCATAGAGCAGTTAGGAAACACTCTGTTTGTAAAGTCTGCAAGCGGATATTCAGACCTCTTTGAAGCCTTCGTTGGAAACGGGATTTCTTCATATTCTGCTAGACAGAAGAATTCCCAGTAACTTCCTTGTGTTGTGTGTGTTCAACTCACAGAGTTGAACGATCCTTTACACAGAGCAGATTTGAAACACTCTTTTTGTGGAATTTGCAAGTGGAGATTTCAAGCGCTTTGAGGCCAAAGGCAGAAAAGGAAATATCTTCGTAGAAAAACTAGACAGAATGATTCTCAGAACCTTCTTTGTGATGTGTGCGTTCAACTCACAGAGTTTAAACTTTCTTTTCATAGAGCAGTTAGGAAACACTCTGTTTGTAAACTCTGCAAGTGGATATTCAGACCTCTTTGAGGCCTTCGTTGGAAACGGGATTTCTTCATACTATGCTAGACAGAAGAATTCTCAGAAACTTCCTTGTGTTGTGTGTATTCAACTCACAGAGTTTAACGATCGTTTACACAGAGCAGACTTGAGACACTCTTTTTGTGGAATTTGTAAGTGGAGATTTCAGCCGCTTTGGGGTCAATGGTAGAAAAGGAAATATCTTCATGTAAAAACTAGACAGAATCATTCTCAGAAACTGCTCTGTGATGTGTGCGTTCAACTCTCAGAGTTTAACTTTTCTGTTCATTCAGCAGTTTGGAAACACTCTGTTTGTAAAGTCTGCACGTGGATAATTTGACCACTTAGAGGCCTTCGTTGGAAACGGGTTTTTTTCATATAAGGCTAGACAGAAGAATTCTCAGTAACTTTCTTGTGTTGTGTGTATTCAACTGACAGAGTTGAACTATCATTTAGAGAGTGCAGATTTGAAACACTGTTTTTGTGGAATTTGTAAGTGGAGACTTCAAGCGCTTTGGGGCCAAAGGCAGAAAAGGAAATATCTTCGTATAAAAACTAGACAGAATCATTCTCAGAAACTGCTCTGCGATGTGTGCGTTCAACTCTCAGAGTTTAAGTTTTCTTTTCATTCAGCAGTTTGGAAACACTCTGTTTGTAAAGTCTGCACGTGGATAATTTGACCACTTAGAGGCCTTCATTGGAAACGGGTTTTTTTCATGTAAGGCTAGACAGAATAATTCTCAGTAACTTCCTTGTGTTGTGTGTATTCAACTCACAGAGTTGAACGATCCTTTACAGAGAGCAGACTTGAAACACTCTTTTTGTGGAATTTGCAAGTGGAGATTTCAGCCGCTTTGAGGTCAATGGTAGAAAACGAAATATCTTCGTATAAAGACTAGACAGAATGATTCTGAGAAACTCCTTTGTGATGTGTGCGTTCAACTCACAGAGTTTAACCTTTCTTTTCATAGAGCAGTTAGGAAACACTCTCTTTGTAAAGTATGCAAGTGGATATTCAGACATCCTTGAAGCTTTCGTTGGAAACGGGATTTCTTCATATTCTGCTAGAAAGAAGAATTCTCAGTAACTTCCTTGTGTTGTGTGTATTCAACTCACAGAGTTGAATGATCCTTTACACAGAACAGTCTTGAAACAGTCTTTTTGTGGAATTTGCAAGTGGAGATTTCAGCCGCTTTGAGGTCAATGGTGGAATAGGAAATATCTTCCTATAGAAACTAGACAGAATCATTGTCAGAAACTGCTCTGTGATGTGTGCGTTCAACTCTCAGAGTTTAACTTTTCTTTTCATTCAGTAGTTTGGAAACACTCTGTTTGTAAAGTCTGCACGTGGATATTTTGACCACTTAGAGGCCTTCGATGGAAACGGGGTTTTTTCATTTAAGGCTAGACAGAAGAATTCCCAGTAACTTCCTTGTGTTGTGTGCATTCAACTCACAGAGATGAACGTTCCCTTAGACAGAGCAGATTTGAAACACTCTATTTGTGCAATTTGCAAGTGTAGATTTCAAGGGCTTTAAGGTCAATGGCAGAAAAGGAAATATCTTCGTTTCAAAACTAGACAGAATCATTCCCACAAACTGCGTTGTGATGTGTTCGTTCAACTCACAGAGTTTAACCTTTCTTTTCATAGAGCAGTTAGGAAACAGTCTGTTTGTCAATTCTGTAAGTGGATATTCTGATATCTTGTGGCCTTCGTTGGAAACGGGATTTCTTCATATTCTGCTAGACAGAAGAATTCTCAGAATCTTCCTTGTGTTGTGCGTATTCAACTCACAGAGTTGAACGATCCTTTACACAGAGCAGACTTGAAACACTCTTTTTGTGGAATTTGCAAGTGGAGATTTCAGCCGCTTTGAGGTCCATGGTAGAAAAGGAAATATCTTCGTATAAAAACTAGACAGAATGATTCTCAGAAACTCCTTTGTGATGTGTGCGTTCAACACACAGAGTTTAACCTTTCTTTTCATAGAGCAGTTAGGAAACACTCTGTTTGTAAAGTCTGCAAGTGGATATTCAGACCTCCTTGAGGCCTTCGTTGGAAACGGGATTTCTTCATATTATGCTAGACAGAAGAATTCTCAGTAACTTCCTTTTATTGTGTGTATTCAACTCACAGAGTTGAACGATCCTTTACACAGAGCAGATTTGAAACACTCTTTTTGTGGAATTTGCAAGTGGAGATTTCAGCCGCTTTGAGGTCAATGGTAGAAAAGGAAATATCTTCGTATAAAAATTAGACAGAATGATTCTCAGAAACTCCTTTGTGATGTGTGCGTTCAACTCACAGAGTTTAACCTTTCTTTTCATAGAGCAGTTAGGAAACACTCTGTTTGTAAAGTCTGCAAGTGGATATTCAGACCTCTTTGAGGCTTTCGTTGGAAACTGGATTTCTTCATATTCTGCTAGACAGAAGAATTCTCAGTAACTTCCTTGTGTTGTGTGTATTCAACTCACAGAGTTGAAAGATCCTTTACAGAGAGCAGACTTGAAACACTCTTTTTGTGGAATTTGCAAGTGGAGATTTCAGCCGCTTTGAAGTCAATGGTAGAAAAGGAAATATCTTCGTATAAAGACTAGAGAGAATGATTCTCAGAAACTCCTTTGTGATGTGTGTGTTCAACTCACAGAGTTTAACCTTTCTTTTCATAGAGCAGTTAGTAAACACTCTGTTTATAAAGTCTGCAATTGGATATTCAGACCCCTTTGAGGCCTTCGTTGGAAACGGGATTTCTTCATATTATGCTAGACAGAAGAATTCCCACTAACTTTCCTTGTGTTGTGTGTGTTCAACTCACAGAGTTGAACTTTCATTTACACAGAGCAGATTTGAAACACTCTTTTTGTGGAATTTGCAAGTGGAGATTTCAAGCGCTGTGAGGCCAAAGGCAGAAAAGGAAGTATGCTTCGTATAAAAACTAGACAGAATCATTCTAAGAAACTGCTCTGCGATGTGTGTGTTCAACTCTCAGAGTTTAACTTTTCTTTTCCTTCAGCAGTTTGGAAACACTCTGTTTGTAAAGTCTGCACGTGGATAATTTGACCACTTAGAGGCCTTCGTTGGAAACGGGTTTTTTTCATGTAAGGCTAGACAGAAGAATTCCCAGTAACTTCCTTGTGTTGTGTGCATTCAACTCACAGAGTTGAACGTTCCCTTAGACAGAGCAGATTTGAAACACTCTATTTGTGCAATTTGCAAGTGTAGATTTCAAGCGCTTTAAGGTCAATGGCAGAAAAGGAAATATCTTCGTTTCAAAACTAGGCAGAATGATTCTCAGAAACTCCTTTGTGATGTGTGCGTTCAACTCACAGAGTTTAACCTTTCTTTTCATAGAGCAGTTAGGAAACACTCTGTTTGTAAAGTCTGCAAGTGGATATTCAGACCTCCTTGAGGCCTCCGTTGGAAACGGGATTTCTTAATATTCTGCTAGACAGAAGAATTCTCAGTAACTTCCTTGCGTTGTGTGTATTCAACTCACAGAGTTGAACGATCCTTTACACAGAGCAGACTTGAAACACTCTTTTTGTGGAATTTGCAAGGGGAGATTTCAGCCGCTTTGAGGTCAATAGTAGAAAAGGAAATATCTTCGTATAGAAACTAGACAGAATGATTCTCAGAAACTCCTTTGTGATGTGTGCGTTCAACTCACAGAGTTTAACCTTTCTTTTCATAGAGCAGTTACGAAACACTGTGTTTTTAAACTCTGCAAGTGGATATTCAGACCTCTTTGAGGCCTTCGTTGGAAACGGGTTTCTTCATACTGTGCTAGACAGAAGAATTCTCAGAATCTTCCTTGTGTTGTGTGTATTCAACTCACAGAGTTGAACGATCGTTTACACAGAGCAGATTTGAAACACTCATTTGGTGGAATTTGCAAGTGGAGATTTCAGCCGCTTTGAGGTCAATGGTAGAAAAGGAAATATCTTCGTATAACAACTAGACAGAATGATTCTCAGAAACTCCTTTGTGATGTGTGCGTTCAACTCACAGAGTTTAACCTTTCTTTTCATAGAGCAGTTAGGAAACACTCTGTTTGTAAAGTCTGCAAGTGGATGTTCAGACCTCTTTGAGGCCTTCGTTGGAAAGGGGTTTTTTTCATATAAGGCTAGACAGAATAATTCTCAGTAAGTTCCTTGTTTTGTGTGTATTCAACTCACAGAGTTGAAGGATCCTTTACACAGAGCAGGCTTGAAACACTCTTTTTGTCGAAATTGCAAGTGGAGATTTCAGCCGCTTTGAGGTCAATGGTAGAATAGGAAATATCTTCCTATAGAAACTAGACAGAATGATTCTCAGAAACTTCTTTGTGATGTGTGCGTTCAACTCACAGAGTTTAAACCTTTCTTTTCATAGAGCAGTTAGGAAACACTCTGTTTGTAAACTCTGCAAGTGGATATTCAGACCTCTTTGAGGCCTTCTTTGCAAACGGGATTTCTTCATACTATGCTAGACAGAAGAATTGTCAGTAACTTTCCTTGTGTTGTGTGTATTCAACTCACAGAGTTGAATGATCCTTTACACAGAGCAGACTTGAAACACTCTTTATGTGGAATTTGCAAGTGGAGATTTCAGCCGCTTTGAGTTCAATGGTAGAATAGGAAATATCTTCCTATAGAAACTAGACAGAATGATTCTCAGAAACTCCTTTGTGATGTGTGCGTTCAACTCACAGAGTTTAACCTTTCTTTTCATAGAGCAGTTAGGAAACACTCCGTTTGTAAAGTCTGCAAGTGGATATTCAGACCTCTTAGAGGCCTTCGATGGAAACGGGATTTCTTCATATTCTGCTAGACAGAAGAATTCTCAGTAACTTCCTTGTGTTGTGTGTATTGAACTCACAGAGTTGAACGATCCTTTTCAGAGAGCAGACTTGAAACACTCTTTTTGTGGAATTTGCAAGTGGAGATTTCAGCCGCTTTGAGGTCAATGGTAGAAAAGGAAATATCTTCGTATAAAGACTAGACAGAATGATTCTCAGAAACTCCTTTGTGATGTGTGTGTCCAACTCACAGAGTTTAACCTTTCTTTTCATAGAGCAGTTAGGAAACACTCTGTTTGTAAAGTCTGCAAGAGGATATTCAGACCTCTTTGAGGCCTTCGTTGGAAACGGGTTTTTTCCATATAAGGCTAGACAGAAGATTTCTCAGAAACTTCGTTGTGTTGTGTGTTTTCAAATCACAGAGTTCAACGATCCTTTACACAGAGTAGACTTGAAACACTCTTTTTGTGGAATTGGCAGTGTGGAGATTTCAGCCGCTTTTAGGTCAATGGTAGAAAAGGAAATATCTTCGTATAAAAACTAGACAGAATCATTCTCAGAAACTGCTGCGTGATGTGTTCGTTCAACTCTCAGAGTTTAACTTTTCTTTTCATTCAGCGGTTTGGAAACACTCTGTTTGTAAAGTCTGCACGTGGATATTTTGACCACTTAGAGGTCTTCGTTGGAAACGGGTTTTTTTCATGTAAGGCTAGACAGAAGAATTCTCAGTAACTGCCTTGTGTTGTGTGTATTCAACTCACAGAGTTGAACGATCCTGTACACAGAGCAGACTTGAAACACTCCTTTTGTGGAATTTGCAAGTGGAGATTTCAGCCGCTTTGAGGTCAATGGTAGAATAGGAAATATCTTCCTATAGAAACTAGACAGAATGATTCTCAGAAACTCCTTTGTGATGTGTGCGTTCAACTCACAGAGTTTAACCGTTCTTTTCATAGAGCAGTTAGGAAACACTCTGTTTGTAAAGTCTGCAAGTGGATATTCAGACATCTTTGAGGCTTTCTTTGGAAACGGGATTTCTTCATATTCTGCTAGACAGAAGAATTCTCAGAAACTTCCTTGTGTTGTGTGTATTCAACTCACAGAGTTGAACGATCCTTTACTCAGAGCAGACTTGAAACACTCCTTTTGTGGAATTTGCAAGTGGAGATTCCAGCCGCTTTGAGGTCAATGGTAGAATAGGAAATATCTTCCTATGGAAACTAGACAGAAATCATTCTCAGAAAACTGCTCTGCGATGTGTGCGTTCAACTCTCAGAGTTTAACTTTTCTTTTCATTCAGCAGTTTGGAAACACTCTGTTTGTAAAGTCTGCACGTGGATATTTTGACCACTTAGAGGCCTTCGTTGGAAACGGGTTTTTTTCCTGTAAGGCTAGACAGAAGAATTCCCAGTAACTTCCTTGTGTTGTGTACATTCAACTCACAGAGTTGAACGTTCCCTTAGACAGAGCAGATTTGAAACACTCTTTTTGTGCAATTGGCAAATGGAGATTTCAAGCGCTTTAAGTTCAATGGCAGAAAAGGAAATATCTTCGTTTCAAAACTAGACAGAATCATTCCCACAAACTGCGTTGTGATGTGTTCGTTCAACTCACAGAGTTTAACCTTTCTGTTCATAGAGCAGTTAGGAAACACTCTGTTTGTAAAGTCTGTCAGTGGATATTCTGACATCTTGTGGCCTTCGTTGGAAACGGGATTTCTTCATATTCTGCTAGACAGAAGAATTCTCAGTAACTTCCTTGTGTTGTGTGTATTCAACTCACAGAGTTGAACGATCCTTTACACAGAGCAGACTTGTAACACTCTTTTTGTGGAATTTGCAAGTGGAGATTTCAGCCGCTTTGAGGTCCATGGTAGAAAAGGAAATATCTTCCTATAAAAACTAGACAGAATGATTCTCAGAAACTTCTTTGTGATGTGTGCGTTCAACTCACAGAGTTTAACCTTTCTTTTCATAGAGCAGTTAGGAAACACTCTGTTTGTAAACTCTGCAAGTGGATATTCAGACCTCTTTGAGGCCTTCGTTGGAAACGGGATTTCTTCATTCTATGCTAGACAGAAGAATTCTCAGTAACTTTCCTTGTGTTGTGTGTATTCAACTCACAGAGTTGAACGATCCTTTACACAGAGCAGACTTGAAACACTCTTTTTCTGGAATTTGCAAGCGGAGATTTCAGCTGCGTTGAGGTCAATGGTAGAAAAGGAAATATCTTCGTATAAAAACTAGACAGAATGATTCTCAGAAACTCCTTTGTGATGTGTGCGTTCAACTCACAGAGTTTAACCTTTCTTTTCATAGAGCAGTTAGGAAACACTCTGTTTGTAAAGTCTGCAAGTGGATATTCAGACCTCTTTGAGGCCTTCGTTGGAAACGGGTTTTTTTCATATACGGCTAGACAGAAGAATTCTCAGTAACTTCCTTGTGTTGTGTGTATTCAGCTGACAGAGTTGAACTTTCATTTAGAGAGAGCAGATTTGAAACACTGTTTTTGTGGAATTTGCAATTGGAGATTTCAAGCGCTTTGGGGCCAAAGGCAGAAAAGGAAATATCTTCGTAAAAAACTAGACAGAATGTTTCTCAGAAACTTCTTTGTGATGTGTGCATTCAACTCACAGAGTTTAACCTTTCTTTTCATAGAGCAGTTAGGAAACACTGTGTTTGTAAAGTCTGCAAGTGGATATTCAGACCTCTTTGAGGCCTTCGTTGGAAACGGGATTTCTTCATACTGTGCTAGACAGAAGAATTCTCAGTAACTTCCTTGTGTTGTGTGTATTCAACTCACAGAGTTGAACGATCCTTTACACAGAGCGGACAGGAAACACTCTTTTTCTGGAATTTGCAAGCGGAGATTTCAGCTGCGTTGAGGTCAATGGTAGAAAAGGAAATATCTTCGTATAAAAACTAGACAGAATGATTCTCAGGAAACTCCTTTGTGATGTGTGTGTTCAACTCACAGAGTTTAACCTTTCTTTTCATAGAGCAGTTAGGAATCACTCTGTTTGTAAAGTCTGCAAGTGGATATTCAGACCTCTTTGAGGCCTTCGTTGGAAACGGGTTTTTTTCATATAAGGCTAGACAGAAGAATTCTCAATAACTTCCTTCTGTTGTGTGTATTCAACTGACAGAGTTGAACTTTCATTTAGAGAGAGCAGATTTGAAACACTGTTTTTGTGGAATTTGCAAGTGGAGATTTCAAGCGCTTTGGGGCCAAAGGAAGAAAAGGAAATATCTTCGTATAAAAACTAGACAGAATCATTCTCAGAAACTGCAGCGTGATGTGTGCGTTCAACTCTCAGAGTTTAACTTTTCTTTTCATTCAGCGGTTTGGAAACACTCTGTTTGTAAAGTCTGCACGTGGATATTTTGACCACTTAGAGGCCTTCGTTGGAAACGGGTTTTTTTCATGTAAGGCTAGACAGAAGAATTCCCAGTAACTTCCTTGTGTTGTGTGCATTCAACTCACAGAGTTGAACGTTCCCTTAGACAGAGCAGATTTGAAACACTCTATTTGTGCAATTTGCAAGTGTAGATTTCAAGCGCTATAAGGTCAACGGCAGAAAAGGAAATATCTTCGTTTCAAAACTAGACAGAATCATTCCCACAAACTGCGTTGTGATGTGTTCGTTCAACTCACAGAGTTTAACCTTTCTTTTCATAGAGCAGTTAGGAAACAGTCTGTTTGTAAATTCTGTAAGTGGATATTCTGACATCTTGTGGCCTTCGTTGGAAACGGGATTTCTTCATATTCTGCTAGGCAGAAGAATTCTCAGTAACTTCCTTGTGTTGTGTTTATTCAACTCACAGAGTTGAATGATCCTTTACACAGAGCAGACTTGAAACACTCTTTTTGTGGAATTTGCAAGTGGAGATTTCAACCGCTTTGAGGTCAATGGTAGAAAAGTAAATATCTTCGTATAAAGACTAGACAGAATGATTCTCAGAAACTTCTTTGTGATGTGTGCGTTCAACTCACAGAGTTTAACCTTTCTTTTCATAGAGCAGTTAGGAAACCCTCTGTTTGTAAACTCTGCAAGTGGATATTCAGACCTGTTTGAGGCCTTCGTTGGAAACGGGATTTCTTCATACTATGCTAGACAGAAGAATTCCCAGTAACTTCCTTGTGTTGTGTGTGTTCAACTCACAGAGGTGAACTTTCATTTACACAGAGCAGATTTGAAACACTCTTTTTGTGGAATTTGCAAGTGGAGATTTCAAGCGCTTTGAGGCCAAAGGCAGAAAAGGAAATATCTTCGTATAAAAACTAGACAGAATCATTCTCAGAAACTGCTCTGCGATGTGTGCGTTCAACTCTCAGAGTTTAACTTTTCTTTTCATTCAGCAGTTTGGAAACACTCTGTTTGTAAAGTCTACACGTGGATAATTTGACCACTTAGAGGCCTTCGTTGGAAACGGGTTTTTTTCATGTAAGGCTAGACAGAAGAATTCTCAGTAACTTCCTTGTGTTGTGTGTATTCAACTCACAGAGGTGAACGATCCTTTACACAGAGCAGACTTGTAACACTCTTTTTGTGGAATTTGCAAGTGGAGATTTCAGCCGCTTTGAAGTCAAAGGTAGAAAAGGAAATAACTTCCTATAAAAACTAGACAGAATGATTCTCATAAACTCCTTTGTGATGTGTGCGTTCAACTCACAGAGTTTAACCTTTCTTTTCATAGAGCAGTTAGGAAACACTCTGTTTGTAAAGTCTGCAAGTGGATATTCAGACCCCTTTGAGTCCTTCGTTGGAAACGGGATTTCTTCATATTCTGCTAGACAGAAGAATTCCCAGTAACTTCCTTGTGTTGTGTGTGTTCAACTCACAGAGTTGAACTTTCATTTACACAGAGCAGATTGGAAACACTCTTTTTGTGGAATTTGCAAGTGGAGATTTCAAGCGCTTTGAGGCCAAAGGCAGAAAAGGAAATATCTTTGTATAAAAACTAGACAGAATCATTCTCAGAAACTGCTCTGCGATGTGTGCGTTCAACTCTCAGAGTTTAACTTTTCTTTTCCTTCAGCAGTTTGGAAACACTCTGTTTGTAAAGTCTGCACGTGGATAACTTGACCACTTAGAGGCCTTCGTTGGAAACGGGTTTTTTTCATGTAAGGCTAGACAGAAGAATTCTCAGTAACTTCCTTGTGTTGTGTGTATTCAACTCACAGAGTTGAACGATCCTTTACACAGAGCAGACTTGAAACACTCTTTTTGTGGAATTTGCAAGTGGAGATTTCAGCCGCTTTGAGGTCAATGGTAGAAAAGGAAACTTTCTTCGTATAAAGACTAGACAGAATGATTCTCATAAACTCCTTTGTGATGTGTGCGTTCAACTCACAGAGTTTAACCTTTCTTTTCATAGAGCAGTTAGGAAACACTCTGTTTGTAAAGTCTGCAAGTGGATATTCAGACATCCTTGAGGCCTTCGTTGGAAACGGGATTTCTTCATATTCTGCTAGACAGAAGAATTCCCAGTAACTTCCTTGTGTTGTATGTGTTCAACTCACAGAGTTGAACTTTCATTTACACAGAGCAGATTTGAAACACTCTTTTTGTGGAATTTGCAAATGGAGATTTCAAGCGCTTTGAGGCCAAAGACAGAAAAGGAAATATCTTCGTATAAAAACTAGACAGAATCATTCTCAGTAAACTGCTGCGTGATGTGTGCGTTCAACTCTCAGAGTTTAACTTTTCTTTTCATTCAGCGGTTTGGAAACACTCTGTTTGTAAAGTCTGCACGTGGATATTTTGACCACTTAGAGGCCTTCGTTGGAAACGGGTTTTTTGCATGTAAGGCTAGACAGAAGAATTCCCAGTAACTTCCTTGTGTTGTGTACATTCAACTCACAGAGTTGAACGTTCCCTTAGACAGAGCAGATTTGAAACACTCTTTTTGTGCAATTGGCAAATGGAGATTTCAAGCGCTTTATGTTCAATGGCAGAAAAGGAAATATCTTCGTTTCAAAACTAGACAGAATCATTCCCACAAACTGCGTTGTGATGTGTTCGTTCAACTCACAGAGTTTAACCTTTCTGTTCATAGAGCAGTTAGGAAACACTCTGTTTGTAAAGTCTGTAAGTGGATATTCTGACATCTTCTGGCCTTCGATGGAAACGGGATTTCTTCATATTCTCCTAGACAGAAGATTCTCAGAATCTTCCTTGTGTTGTGTGTATTCAACTCACAGAGTTGAACGATCCTTTACACAGAGCAGACTTGAAACACTCTTTTTGTGGAATTTGCAAGTGGAGATTTCAGCCGCTTTGAGGTCCATGGTAGAAAAGGAAATATCTTCGTATAAAAACTAGACAGAATGATTCTCAGAAAATCTTTTGTGATGTGTGCCTTCAACTCACAGAGTTTAACTTTTCTTCTCATAGAGCAGTTAGGAAACACTCTGTTTGTAAAGTCTGCAAGTGGATATTCAGACCTCTTTGAGGTCTTCGTTGGAAACGGGATTTCTTCATATTATGCTAGACAGAAGAATCCTCAGTAACTTCCTTGTGTTGTGTGTATTCAACTCACAGAGTTGAACGATCCTTTACACAGAGCAGACTTGAAACACTCTTTTTGTGGAATTTGCAAGTGGAGATTTCAGCCGCTTTGAGGTCAATAGTAGAAAAGGAAATATCTTCGTAGAAAAACTAGACAGAATGATTCTCAGAAACTCCTTTGTGATGTGTGCGTTCAACTCACAGAGTTTAACCTTTCTTTCCATAGAGCAGTTAGGAAACACTCTGTTTGTAAAGTCTGCAAGTGGATATTCAGACCTCTTTGAGGCCTTCGTTGGAAACGGGTTTTTTCCATATAAGGCTAGACAGAAGAATTCCCAGTAACTTCCTTGTGTTGTGTGTGTTCCACTCACAGAGTTGAACTTTCGTTTACACAGAGCAGATTTGAAACACTCTTTTTGTGGAATTTGCAAATGGAGATTTCAAGCGCTTTGAGGCCAAAAGCAGAAAAGGAAATATCTTCGTATAAAAACTAGACAGAATCATTCTCAGAAACTGCTGCGTGATGTGTGCGTTCAACTCTCAGAGTTTAACTTTTCTTTTCATTCAGCGATTTGGAAAAACTCTGTTTGTAAAGACTGCACGTGGATATTTTGACCACTTAGAGGCCTTCGTTGGAAACGGGTTTTTTTTCATGTAAGGCTAGACAGAAGAATTCTCAGTAACTTCCTTGTGTTGTGTGTATTCAACTCACAGAGTTGAACGATCCTTTAAACAGAGCAGACTTGAAACACTCTTTTTGTGGAATTTGCAATTGGAGATTTCAGCCGCTTTGAGGTCAATAGTAGAAAAGGAAATATCTTCGTAGAAAAACTAGACAGAATGATTCTCAGAAACTCCTTTGAAATGTGTGCGTTCAACTCACAGAGTTTAACCTTTCTTTTCATAGAGCAGTTAGGAAACACTCTGTTTGTAAAGTCTGCAAGTGGATATTCAGACCTCCTTGAGGCCTTCGTTGGAAACGGGATTTCTTCATATTATGCTAGACAGAAGAATTCCCAGTAACTTCCTTGTGTTGTGTGTGTTCAACTCACAGAGTTGAACTTTCACTTACACAGAGCAGATTTGAAACACTCTTTTTGTGGAATTTGCAAATGGAGATTTCAAGCGCTTTGAGGCCAAAGGCAGAAAAGGAAATATCTTCGTATAAAAACTAGACAGAATCATTCTCAGAAACTGCTCTGTGATATGTCCGTTCAACTCTCAGAGTTTAACTTTTCTTTTCATTCAGCAGTTTGGAAACACTCTGTTTGTAAAGTCTGCACGTGGATAATTTGACCACTTAGAGGCCTTCGTTGGAAACGGGTTTTTTTCATGTAAGGCTAGACAGAATAATTCTCAGTAACTTCCTTGTGTTGTGTGTATTCAACTCACAGAGTTGAAGGATCCTTTACAGAGAGCAGGCTTGAAACACTCTTTTTGTCGAATTTGCAAGTGGAGATTTCAGCCGCTTTGAGGTCAATGGTAGAATAGGAAATATCTTTTTATAGAAACTAGACAGAATGATTCTCAGAAACTCCTTTGTGATGTGTGCGTTCAACTCACAGAGTTTAACCTTTCTTTTCATAGAGCAGTTAGGAAACACTCTGTTTCTAAAGTCTGCAAGTGGATATTCAGACCTGTTTGAGGCCTTCGTTGGAAACGGGTTTTTTTCATATAAGGCTAGAGAGAAGAATTCCCAGTAACTTCCTTGTGTTGTGTGTGTTCAACTCACAGAGTTGAACTTTCCTTCACACAGAGCAGATTTGAAACACTCTTTTTGTGGAATTTGCAAGTGGAGATTTCAAGCGCTTTGAGGCCAAAGGCAGAAAAGGAAATATCTTCGTATAAAAACTAGACAGAATTATTCTCAGAAACTGCTCTGCGATGTGTGCGTTCAACTCTCAGAGTTTAACTTTTCTTTTCATTCAGCAGTTTGGAAACACTCTGTTTGTAAAGTCTGCACGTGGATATTTTGACCACTTAGAGGCCTTTGTTGGAAACGGGTTTTTTCCTGTAAGGCTAGACAGAAGAATTCCCAGTAACTTCCTTGTGTTGTGTACATTCAACTCACAGAGTTGAACGTTCCCTTAGACAGAGCAGATTTGAAACACTCTTTTTGTGCAACTGGCAAGTGGAGATTTCAAGCGCTTTAAGGTCAATGGCAGAAAAGGAAATATCTTCGTTTCAAAACTAGACAGAATCATTCCCACAAACTGCGTTGTGATGTGTTCGTTCAACTCACAGAGTTTAACTTTTCTGTTCATAGAGCAGTTAGGAAACACTCTGTTTGTAAAGTCTGTAAGTGGATATTCTGACATCTTGTGGCCTTCGTTGGAAACGGGATTTCTTCATATTCTGCTAGACAGAAGAATTCTCAGAATCTTCCTTGTGTTGTGTGTATTCAACTCACAGAGTTGAACGATGGTTTACAGAGAGCAGATTTGAAACACTCTTTTTGTGGAATTTGCAAGTGGAGATTTCAGCTGCTTTGAGGTCAATGGTAGAAAAGGAAATATCTTCGTATAAAAACTAGACAGAATGATTCTCAGAAACTCCTTTGTGATGTGTGCGTTCAACTCACAGGAGTTTAACCTTTCTTTTCATAGAGCAGTTAGGAAACACTCTGTTTGTAAAGTCTGCAAGTGGATATTCAGACCTCCTTGAGGCCTTCGTTGGAAACGGGATTTCTTCCTATTATG
Source organism: Homo sapiens (assembly GCF_000001405.40). Classification (NCBI taxonomy): domain Eukaryota; kingdom Metazoa; phylum Chordata; class Mammalia; order Primates; family Hominidae; genus Homo; species Homo sapiens. Next base: position 47,591,542 of record NC_000005.10, read on the forward strand.
CTAGACAGAAGAATTCTCAGTAACTTCCTTGTGTTGTGTGTATTCAACTCACAGATTTGAACGATCCTTTACACAGAGCAGACTTGAAACACTCTTGTTGTGGAATTTGCAAGTGGAGATTTCAGCCGCTTTGAGGTCAATGGTAGAAAAGGAAATATCTTCCTATAGAAATTAGACAGAATGATTCTCAGAAACTCCTCTGTGATGTGTGCGTTCAACTCACAGAGTTTAACCTTTCTTTTCATAGAGCAGTTAGGAAACACTCTGTTTGTAAAGTCTGCAAGTGGATATTCAGACATCTTTGAGGCTTTCTTTGGAAAAGGGATTTCTTCATATTCTGCTATACAGAAGAATTCTCAGTAACTTCCTTGTGTTGTGTGTATTCAAGTGACAGAGTTGAACTTTCATTTACAGAGAGCAGATTTGAAACACTGTTTTTGTGGAATTTGCAAGTGGAGATTTCAAGCGCTTTGGGGCCAAAGGCAGAAAAGGAAATATCTTCGTATAAAAACTAGACAGAATCATTCTCAGAAACTGCTGCGTGATGTGTGCGTTCAACTCTCAGAGTTTAACTTTTCTTTTCATTCAGCGGTTTGGAAACACTCTGTTTGTAAAGTCTGCACGTGGAAATTGTGACCACTTAGAGGCCTTCGTTGGAAACGGGTTTTTTTCATGTAAGGCTAGACAGAAGAATTCCCAGTAACTTCCTTGTGTTGTGTGCATTCAACTCACAGAGTTGAACGTTCCCTTAGACAGAGCAGATTTGAAACACTCTATTTGTGCAATTTGCAAGTGTAGTTTTCAAGCTCTTTAAGGTCAACGGCAGAAAAGGAAATATCTTGGTTTCAAAACTAGACAGAATCATTCCCACAAACTGCGTTGTGATGTGTTCGTTCAACTCACAGAGTTTAACCTTTCTGTTCATAGAGCAGTTAGGAAACACTCTGTTTGTAAAGTCTGTAAGTGGATATTCAGACATCTTGTGGCCTTCGTTGGAAACGGGATTTCTTCATATTCTGCTAGACAGAAGAATTCTCAGTAACTTCCTTGTGTTGTGTGTATTCAACTCACAGAGTTGAACGATCCTTTACACAGAGGAGACTTGAAACACTCTTTTTGTGGAATTTGCAAGTGGAGATTTCAGCCGCTTTGAGGTCAATGGTAGAAAAGGAAAAATCTTCGTATAGAAACAAGACAGAATGATTCTCAGAAACTCCTTTGAGATGTGTGTGTTCAACTCACAGAGTTTAACCTTTGTTTTCATAGAGGAGTTAGGAAACACTCTGTTTGTAAAGTCTGCAAGTGGATATTCAGACCTCTTTGAGGCCTTCGTTGGAAACGGGTTTTTTTCATATAAGGCTAGACAGAAGAATTCTCAGTAACTTCCTTGTCTTGTGTGTATTCAACTCACAGAGTTGAACGATCCTCTACACAGAGCAGACTTGTAACACTCTTTTTGTGGAATTTGCAAGTGGAGATTTCAGCCGCTTTGAAGTCAAAGGTAGAAAAGGAAATATCTTCCTATAAAAACTAGACAGAATGATTCTCAGAAACTCCTTTGTGATGTGTGCGTTCAACTCACAGAGTTTAACCTTTCTTTTCATAGAGCAGTTAGGAAACACTCTGTTTGTAAAGTCTGCAAGTGGATATTCAGACATCCTTGAGGCTTTCGTTGGAAACGGGATTTCTTCATATTCTGTTAGAAAGAAGAATTCTCAGTAACTTCCTTGTGTTGTGTGTATTCAACTGACAGAGTTGAACTTTCATTTAGAGAGAGCAGATTTGAAACACTGTTTTTGTGGAATTTGCAAGTGGAGATTTCAAGCGCTTTGGGGCCAAAGGCAGAAAAGGAAATATCTCCGTATAAAAACTAGACAGAATCATTCTCAGAAACTGCTCTGTGATGTGTGCGTTCAACTCTCAGAGTTTAACATTTCTTTTCATTCAGCAGTTTGGAAACACTCTGTTTGTAAAGTCTGCACGTGGATAATTTGACCACTTAGAGGCCTTCGTTGGAAACGGGTTTTTTTCATGTAAGGCTAGACAGAAGAATTCTCAGAAACTTCCTTGTGTTGTGTGTATTCAACTCACAGAGTTGAACGATCGTTTACACGGAGCAGACTTGAGACACTCTTTTTGTGGAATTTGCAAGTGGAGATTTCAGCCGCTTTGAGTTCAATGGTAGAATAGGAAATATCTTCATATAAAAACTAGACAGAATGATTCTCAGAAACTCCTTTCTGATGTGTGCGTTCAACTCACAGAGTTTAAACTTTCTTTTCATAGAGCAGTTAGGAAACACTCTGTTTGTAAAGTCTGCAAGTGGATATTCAGACCTCTTTGAGGCCTTCGTTGGAAACGGGATTTCTTCATATTATGCTAGACAGAAGAATTCTCAGAAAATTCCTTGTGTTGTGTGTATTCAACTCACAGAGTTGAACGATCCTTTACAGAGAGCAGACTTGAAACACTCTTTTTGTGGAATTTGCAAGTGGAGATTTCAGCCGCTTTGAGGTCAATGGTAGAATAGGAAATATCTTCCTATAGAAACTTGACAGAATGATTCTCAGAAACTACTTTGTGATGTGTACGTTCAACTCACAGAGTTTAACCTTTGTTTTCATAGAGCAGTTAGGAAACACTCTGTTTGTAAAGTCTGCAAGTGGATATTCAGACCTCTTTGAGGCCTTCGTTGGAAACGGGTTTTTTTCATATAAGGCTAGACAGACGAATTCTCAGTAACTTCCTTGTGTTGTGTGTATTCAACTCACAGAGTTGAACGATCCTTTACACAGAGCAGACTTGAAACACTCTTTTTGTGGAATTTGCAAGTGGAGATTTCAGCCGCTTTGAGGTCAATGGTAGAATAGGAAATATCTTCCTATAGAAACTAGACAGAATGATTCTCAGAAACTCCTTTGTGCTGTGTGCGTTCAACTCACAGAGTTTAACCTTTCTTTTCATAGAGCAGTTAGGAAACTCTCTGTTTGTAAAGTCTGCAAGTGGATATTCAGACATCTTTGAGGCTTTCGTTGGAAACGGGATTTCTTCATATTCTGCTAGACAGAAGAATTCTCAGTAACTTTCCTTGTGTTGTGTGTATTCAACTCACAGAGTTGAACGATCCTTTACACAGAGCGGACAGGAAACACTCTTTTTCTGGAATTTGCAAGCGGAGATTTCAGCTGCGTTGAGGTCAATGGTAGAAAAGGAAATATCTTCGTATAAAAACTAGACAGAATGATTCTCAGAAACTCCTTTGTGATGTGTGCGTTCAACTCACAGAGTTTAACCTTTCTTTTCATAGAGCAGTTAGGGAACACTCTGTTTGTAAAGTCTGCAAGTGGATATTCAGACCGCTTTGAGGCCTTCGTTGGAAAGGGGATTTCTTCATATTCTGCTAGACAGAAGAATTCTCAGTAACTTCATTGTGTTGTGTGTATTCAACTCACAGATTTCAACGATCCTTTACACAGAGCAGACTTGAAACACTCTTTTTGTGGAATTTGCAAGTGGAGATTTCAGCCTCTTTGAGGTCAATGGTAGAATAGGAAATATCTTCCTATAGAAACCAGACAGAATGATTCTCATAAACTCCTTTGTGATGTGTGCGTTCAACTCACAGAGTTTAACCTTTCTTTTCATAGAGCAGTTAGGAAACACTCTGTTTGTAAAGTCTGCAAGTGGATATTCAGACCTGCTTGAGGCCTTCTTTGGAAAAGGGATTTCTGCATATTATGCTAGACAGAAGGAATTCTCAGTAACTTCCTTGTGTTGTGTGTATTCAACTGACAGAGTTGAACTTTCATTTAGAGAGAGCAGATTTGAAACACTGTTTTTGTGGAAGTTGCAAGTGGAGATTTCAAGCGCTTTGGGGCCAAAGGCAGAAAAGGAAATATCTTCGTATAAAAACTAGACAGAATGATTCTCACAAACTCCTTTGTGATGTGTGTGTTCAACTCACAGAGTTTAACCTTTCTTTTCATAGAGCAGTTAGTAAACACTCTGTTTATAAAGTCTGCAAGTGGATATTCAGACCTCCTTGAGGCCTTCGTTGGAAACGGGATTTCTTCATATTATGCTAGACAGAAGAATTCCCAGTAACTTCCTTGTGTTGTGTGCATTCAACTCACAGAGTTGAACGTTCCCTTAGACAGAGCAGATTTGAAACACTCTATTTGTGCAATTTGCAAGTGTAGTTTTCAAGCTCTTTAAGGTCAACGGCAGAAAAGGAAATATCTTCGTTTCAAAACTAGACAGAATGATTCTCAGAAACTCCTTTGTGATGTGTGCGTTCAACTCACAGAGTTTAACCTTTCTTTTCATAGAGCAGTTAGGAAACACTCTGTTTGTAAAGTCTGCAAATGGATATTCCGACCTCCTTGAGGGCTTCGTTGGAAACGGGATTTCTTCATATTCTGCTATACAGAAGAATTCTCAGAAACTTCATTGTGTTGTGTGTTTTCAACTCACAGAGTTCAACGATCCTTTACACAGAGTAGATTTGAAACACTCTTTTTGTGGAATTGGCAGGGTGGAGATTTCAGCCGCTTTGCGGTCAATGGTAGAAAAGGAAATATCTTCGTATAAAAACTAGACAGAATGATTCTCAGAAACTCCTTTGTGATGTGTGCGTTCAACTCACAGAGTTTAACCTTTCTTTTCATAGAGCAGTTGGGAAACACTCTGTTTGTAAAGTCTGCAAGTGGATATTCAGACATCCTTGAGGCTTTCGTTGGAAATGGGATTTCTTCATATTCTGCTAGAAAGAATAATTCTCAGTAACTTCCTTTTGTTGTGTGTATTCAACTCACAGAGCTGAACGATCCTTTACAGAGAGCAGACTTTAAACACTCTTTTTGTGGAATTTGCAAGTGGAGATTTCAGCCGCTTTGAGGTCAATGTTAGAATAGGAAATAACTTCCTATAGAAACTAGACAGAATGATTCTCAGAAACTCCTTTGTGATGTGTGCGTTCAACTCACAGAGTTTAACTTTTCTTTTCATAGAGCAGTTAGGAAACACTGTGTTTGTAAAGTCTGCAAGTGGATATTCAGACCTCTTTGAGGCCTTCGTTGGAAACGGGATTTCTTCATATTATGCTAGACAGAAGAATTCTCAGTAAATTCCTTGTGTTGTGTGTATTCAACTCACAGAGTTGAACGATCCTTTACACAGAGCAGACTTGAAACACTCTTTTTGTGGAATTTGCAAGTGGAGATTTCAGCCGCTTTGAGGTCAATGGTAGAATAGGAAATATCTTCCTATAGAAAATAGACAGAATGATTCTCAGAAACTCCTTTGTGATGTGTGTGTTCAACTCACAGAGTTTAACCTTTCTTTTCATAGAGCAGTTAAGAAACACTCTGTTTGTAAAGTCTGCAAGTGGATATTCAGACCTCCTTGAGGCCTTCGTTGGAAACGGGATTTCTTCATATTCTGCTAGACAGAAGAATTCCCAGTAACTTCCTTGTGTTGTGTGTGTTCAACTCACAGAGTTGAACTTTCATTTACACAGAGCAGATTTGAAACACTCTTTTTGTGGAATTTGCAAGTGGGGATTTCAAGCGCTGTGAGGCCAAAGGCAGAAAAGGAAATATCTTCTTATAAAAACTAGACAGAATCATTCTCAGAAACTGCTGCGTGATGTGTGCGTTCAACTCTCAGAGTTTAACTTTTCTTTTCATTCAGCGGTTTGGAAACACTCTGTTTGTAAAGTCTGCACGTGGAAATTTTGACCACTTAGAGGCCTTCGTTGGAAACGGGATTTTTTCATGTAAGGCTAGACAGAAGAATTCCCAGTAACTTCCTTGTGTTGTGTGCATTCAACTCACAGAGTTGAACGTTCCCTTAGACAGAGCAGATTTGAAACACTCTATTTGTGCAATTTGCAAGTGTAGTTTTCAAGCTCTTTAAGGTCAACGGCAGAAAAGGAAATATCTTCGTTTCAAAACTAGACAGAATCATTCCCACAAACTGCGTTGTGATGTGTTCGTTCAACTCACAGAGTTTAACCTTTCTGTTCATAGAGCAGTTAGGAAACACTCTGTTTGTAAAGTCTGTAAGTGGATATTCTGACATCTTGTGGCCTTCGTTGGAAACGGGATTTGTTCATATTCTGCTAGACAGAAGAAGTCTCAGTAACTTCCTTGTGTTTTGTGTATTCAACTCACAGAGTTGAACGATCCTTTACACAGAGCAGACTTGAAACACTCTTTTTGTGGAATTTGCAACTGGAGATTTCAGCCGCTTTGAGGTCAATGGTAGAATAGGAAATATCTTCCTATAGAAACTAGACAGAATGATTCTCAGAAACTCCTTTGTGATGTGTGCGTTCAACTCACAGAGTTTAACCTTTCTTTTCATAGAGCAGTTAGGAAACACTCTGTTTGTAAAGTCTGCAAGTGGATATTTAGACATCTTTGTGGATTTCGTTGGAAACGGGATTTCTTCATATTCTGCTATACAGAAGAATTCTCAGAAACTTCCTTGTGTTGTGTGTATTCAACTCACAGAGTTCAACGATAGTTTACACAGAGCAGACTTGAAACACTCTTTTTGTGTAATTTGCAAGTGGAGATTTCAGCCGCTTCGAGGTCAATGGTAGAAAAGGAAATATCTTCGTATAAAAACTAGACAGAATCATTCTCAGAAACTGCTCTGCGATGTGTGCGTTCAACTCTCAGAGTTTAACATTTCTTTTCATTTAGCAGTTTGGAAACACTCTGTTTGCAAAGTCTGCACGTGGATAATTTGACCACTTAGAGGCCTTCGTTGGAAACGGGTTTTTTTCATGTAAGGCTAGACAGAAGAATTCCCAGTAACTTCCTTGTTTTGTGTACATTCAACTCACAGAGTTGAACGTTCCCTTAGACAGAGCAGATTTGAAACACTCTTTTTGTGCAATTGGCAAATGGAGATTTCAAGCGCTTTAAGGTCAATGGCAGAAAAGGAAATATCTTCGTTTCAAAACTAGACAGAATCATTCCCACAAACTGCGTTGTGATGTGTTCGTTCAACTCACAGAGTTTAACCTTTCTGTTCATAGAGCAGTTAGGAAACACTCTGTTTGTAAAGTCTGTAAGTGGATATTCTGACATCTTGTGGCCTTCGTTGGAAACGGGATTTCTTCCTATTCTGCTAGACAGAAGAATTCTCAGTAACTTCCCTGTGTTGTGTGTATTCAACTCACAGAGTTGAACGATCCTTTACAGAGAGCAGACTTGAAACACTCTTTTTGTGGAATTTGCAAGTGGAGATTTCAGCCGCTTTGAGGTCAATGGTAGAATAGGAAATATCTTCCCATAGAAACTAGACAGAATGATTCCCACAAAATCCTTTGTGATGTGTGCGTTCAACTCACAGAGTTTAACCTTTCTTTTCATAGAGCAGTTAGTAAACACTCTGTTTATAAAGTCTGCAAGTGGATATTCAGACCCCTTTGAGGCCTTCGTTGGAAACGGGATTTCTTCATATTATGCTAGACAGAAGAATTCTCAGTAACTTCCTTCTGTTGTATGTATTCAACTGACAGAGTTGAACTTTCATTTAGAGAGAGCAGATTTGAAACACTGTTTTTGTGGAATTTGCAAGTGGAGATTTCAAGCGCTTCGGGGCCAAAGGCAGAAAAGGAAATATCTTCGTATAAAAACTAGACAGAGAATCATTCTCAGAAACTGCTCTGCGATGTGTGCGTTCAACTCTCAGAGTTTAACTTTTCTTTTCATTCAGCAGTTTGGAAACACTCTGGTTGTAAAGTCTGCACGTGGATAACTTGACCACTTAGAGGCCTTCGTTGGAAACGGGTTTTTTTCCTGTAAGGCTAGACAGAAGAATTCCCAGTAACTTCCTTGTGTTGTGTGCATTCAACTCACAGAGTTGAACGTTCCCTTAGACAGAGCAGATTTGAAACACTCTATTTGTGCAATTTGCAAGTGTAGATTTCAAGCGCTTTAAGGTCAATGGCAGAAAAGGAAATATCATCGTTTCAAAACTAGACAGAATCATTGCCACAAACTGCGTTGTGATGTGTTCGTTCAACTCACAGAGTTTAACCTTTCTGTTCATAGAGCAGTTAGGAAACACTCTGTTTGTAAAGTCTGTAAGTGGATATTCTGACATCTTGTAGCCTTCTTTGGAAACGGGATTTCTTCATATTCTGCTAGACAGAAGAATTCTCAGTAACTTCCTTGTGTTGTGTGTATTCAACTCACAGAGTTGAACGATCCTTTACACAGAGCAGACTTGAAACACTCTTTGTGTGGAATTTGCAAGTGGAGATTTCAGCCGCTTTGAGGTCAATGGTAGAATAGGAAATATCTTCGTATAAAGACTAGACAGAATGATTCTCAGAAACTCCTTTGTGATGTGTGCGTTCAACTCACAGAGTTTAACTTTTCTTTTCATAGAGCAGTTAGGAAACACTCTTTTTGCAAAGTCTGCAAGTGGATATTCAGACCTCTTTGAGGCCTTCGTTGGAAACGGGATTTCTTCATATTATGCTAGACAGAAGAATTCCCAGTAACTTCCTTGTGTTGTGTGTGTTCAACTCACAGAGTTGAACTTTCATTTACACAGAGCAGATTTGAAACACTCTTTTTGTGGAATTTGCAAGTGGAGATTTCCAGCGCTTTGAGGCCAAAGGCAGAAAAGGAAATATCTTCGTTTCAAAACTAGACAGAATCATTCTCAGAAACTGCTGCGTGATGTGTGCGTTCAACTCTCAGAGTTTAACTTTTCTTTTCATTCAGCGGTTTGGAAACACTCTGTTTGTAAAGTATGCACGTGGATATTTTGACCACTTAGAGGCCTTCGTTGGAAACGGGTTTTTTGCATGTAAGGCTAGACAGAAGAATTCCCAGTAACTTCCTTGTGTTGTGTGTGTTCAACTCACAGAGTTGAACGTTCCCTTAGACAGAGCAGATTTGAAACACTCTATTTGTGCAATTGGCAAGTGGTGATTTCAGCCGCTTTGGGGTCAATGGTAGAAAAGGAAATATCTTCGAATAAAAACTAGACAGAATCATTCCCACAAACTGCGTTGTGATGTGTTCGTTCAACTCACAGAGTTTAACCTTTGTGTTCATAGAGCAGTTAGGAAACACTCTGTTTGTCAAGTCTGTAAGTGGATATTCTGACATCTTGTGGCCTTCGTTGGAAACGGGATTTCTTCATATTCTGCTAGACAGAAGAATTCTCAGTAACTTCCTTGTGTTGTGTGTATTCAACTCACAGAGTTGAATGATCCTTTACACAGAGCAGACTTGAAACACTCTTTTTGTGGAATTTGGAAGTGGAGATTTCAGCCGCTTTGAGTTCAATGGTAGAATAGGAAATATCTTCCTATAGAAACTAGACAGAAATGATTCTCAGAAACTCCTTTGTGATGTGTGCGTTCAACTCACAGAGTTTAACCTTTGTTTTCATAGAGCAGTTAGGAAACACTCTGTTTGTAAAGTCTGCAAGTGGATATTCAGACCTCCTTGAGGCCTTCGTTGGAAACGGGATTTCTTCATATTATGCTAGACAGAAGAACTCCCAGTAACTTCCTTGTGTTGTGTGTGTTCAACTCACAGAGTTGAACTTTCATTTACACAGAGCAGATTTGAAACACTCTTTTTGTGGAATTTGCAAGTGGAGATTTCAAGCGCGTTGAGGCCAAAGGCAGAAAAGGAAATATCTTCGTTTAAAAACTAGACAGAATGATTCTCAGAAACTCCTTTGTGATGTGTGCGTTGAACTCACAGAGTTTAACCTTTCTTTTCATGGAGCAGTTAGGAAACACTCTGTTTGTAAAGTCTGCACGTGGATACTTGGACTTCTTTGAGGCCTTCGTTGGAAACGGGTTTTTTTCATGTAAGGTTAAACAGAAGAATTCCCAGTAACTTCCTTGTGTTGTGTGCATTCAACTCACAGAGTTGAACGTACCTTAGACAGAGCAGATTTGAAACACTCTATTTGTGCAATTTGCAAGTGTAGATTTCAAGCGCTTTAAGGTCAATGGCAGAAAAGGAAATATCTTCGTTTCAAAACTAGACAGAATGATTCTCAGAAACTTCATTGTGACGTGTGCTTTCAACTCACAGAGTTTAACCTTTCTTTTCATAGAGGAGTTAGGAAACACTCTGTTTGTAAAGTCTGCAAGTGGATATTCAGACCTCTTTGAGGCCTTCGTTGGAAACGGGATTTCTTCATACTGTGCTAGACAGAAGAATTCTCAGTAACTTCCTTGTGTTGTGTGTATTCAACTCACAGAGTTGAACGATCCTTTACACAGAGCGGACTTTAAACACACTTTTTGTGGAATTTGCAAGTGGAGATTTCAGCCGCATTGAGGTCAATGGTAGAAAAGGAAATATCTTCGTATAAAAACTAGACAGAATGATTCTCAGAAACTTCTTTGTGATGTGTGCGTTCAACTCACAGAGTTTAACCTTTCTTTTCATAGAGCAGTTAGGAAACACTCCGTTTGTAAAGTCTGCAAGTGGATATTCAGACCTCTTTGAGGCCTTCGTTGGAAACGGGATTTCTTCATACTATGCTAGACAGAAGAATTCCCAGTAACTTCCTTGTGTTGTGTGTGTTCAACTCACAGAGTTGAACTTTCATTTACACAGAGCAGATTTGAAACACTCTTTTTGTGGAATTTGTAAATGGAGATTTCAAGCGCTTTGAGGCCAAAGGCAGAAAAGGAAATATCTTCGTATAAAAACTAGACAGAATCATTCTCAGAAACTGCTCTGTGATGTGTGCGTTCAACTCTCAGAGTTTAACTTTTCTTTTCATTCAGCAGTTTGGAAACACTCTGTTTGTAAAGTCTCCACGTGGATATTTGGACTTGTTTGAGGCCTTCGTTGGAAAAGTGTTTTTTTCATGTAAGGCTAGACAGTAGAATTCCCAGTAACTTCCTTGCGTTGTGTACATTCAACTCACAGAGTTGAACGTTCCCTTAGACAGAGCAGATTTGAAACACTCTTTTTGTGCAATTGGCAAGTGGAGATTTCAAGCGCTTTAAGGTCAATGGCAGAAAAGGAAATATCTTCGTTTCAAAACTAGACAGAATCATTCCCACAAACTGCGTTGTGATGTGTTCGCTCAACTCACAGAGTTTAACCTTTCTGTTCATAGAGCAGTTAGGAAACACTCTGTTTGTAAAGTCTGTAAGTGGATATTCTGACATCTTGTGGCCTTCGTTGGAAACGGGATTTCTTCCTATTCTGCTAGACAGAAGAATTCTCAGTAACTTCCTTGTGTTGTGAGTATTCAACTCACAGAGTTGAACGATCCTTTACACAGAGCGGACTTGAAACACTCGTTTTGTGGAATTTGCAAGTGGAGATTTCAGCCGCTTTGAGGTCAATGGTAGAAAAGGAAATATCTTCGTATAAAAACTAGACAGAATTATTCTCAGAAACTCCTTTGTGATGTGTGCGTTCAACTCACAGAGTTCAACCTTTCTTTTCATAGAGCAGTTGGGAAACACTCTGTTTGTAAAGTCTGCAAGTGGATATTCAGACTTCTTTGAGGCCTTCGTTGGAAGCGGGATTTCTTCATATTCTGCTAGACAGAGTAATTCTCAGTAACTTCCTTGTGTTGTGTGTATTCAACTGACAGAGTTGAACTTTCATTTAGAGAGAGCAGATTTGAAACACTGTTTTTGTGGAATTTGCAAGTGGAGATTTCAAGCGCTTTCGGGCCAAAGGCAGAAAAGGAAATATCTTCGTATAAAAACTAGACAGAATCATTCTCAGAAACTGCTCTGCGATGTGTGCGTTCAACTCTCAGAGTTCAACTTTTCTTTTCATTCAGCAGTTTGGAAACACTCTGTTTGTAAAGTCTGCACGTGGATAATTTGACCACTTAGAGACCTTCGTTGGAAACGGGTTTTTTTCATGTAAGGCTAGACAGAAGAATTCCCACTAACTTCCTTGTGTTGTGTGCATTCAACTCACAGAGTTGAACGTTCCCTTAGACAGAGCAGATTTGAAACAGCCTATTTGTGCAATTTGCAAGTGTAGATTTCAAGCGCTTTAAGGTCAACGGCTGAAAAGGAAATATCTTCCTTTCAAAACTAGACAGAATCATTCCCACAAACTGCGTTGTGATGTCTTCGTTCAACTCACAGAGTTTAACCTTTCTTTTCATAGAGCAGTTAGGAAACAGTCTGTTTGTAAATTCTGTAAGTGGATATTCTGACATCTTGTGGCCTTCGTTGGAAACGGGATTTCTTCATATTCTGCTAGACAGAAGAATTCTCAGTAACTTCCTTGTGTTGTGTGTATTCAACTCACAGAGTTGAACTATCCTTTACACAGAGCAGACTTGAACCAAACTTTTTGTGGAATTTGCAAGTGGAGATTTCAGCCGCTTTGAGGTCAATGGTAGAATAGGAATTATCTTCCTATAGAAACTAGACAGAATGATTCTCAGAAACTCCTTTGTGATGTGTGCGTTCAACTCATAGAGTTTATCCTTTCTTTTCATAGAGCAGTTAGGAAACACTCTGTTTGTAAAGTCTGCAAGTGGATATTCAGACATCCTTGAGGCTTTCGTTGGAAACGGGATTTCTTCATATTCTGCTAGAAAGAAGAATTCTCAGCAACTTCCTTGTGTTGTGTGTATTCAACTCACAGAGTTGAACGATCCTTTACACAGAGCAGACTTGAAACACTCTTTTTGTGGAATTTGCAAGTGGAGATTTCAGCCGCTTTGAGGTCAATGGTAGAATAGGAAATATCTTCCTAAAGAAACTAGACAGAATGATTCTCAGAAACTCCTTTGTGATGTGTGCGTTCAACTCACAGAGTTTAACCTTTCTTTTCATAGAGCAGTTAGGAAACACTCTGTTTGTAAAGTCTGCAAGTGGATATTCAGACCTCCTTGAGGCCTTCGTTGGAAACGGGATTTCTTCATATTCTGCTAGAAAAAAGAATTCTCAGTAACTTCCTTGTGTTGTGTTTATTCAAATCACAGAGTTGAATGATCCTTTACACAGAGCAGACTTGAAACACTCTTTTTGTGGAATTTGCAAGTGGAGATTTCAGCCGCTTTGTGGTCAATGGTAGAAAAGGAAATATCTTCGTATAAAGACTAGACAGAATGATTCTCAGAAACTCCTTTGTGATGTGTGCGTTCAACTCACAGTGTTTAACCTTTCTTTTCATAGAGCAGTTGGGAAACACTCTGTTTGTAAAGTCTGCAAGTGGATATTCAAACTTCTTTGAGGCCTTCGTTGGAAGCGGGATTTCTTCATATTCTGCTAGACGGAAGAATTCTCAGTAACTTCCTTGTGTTGTGTGTATTCAACTCTCAGAGTTGAACGATCCTTTACAGAGAGCAGACTTGAAACACTCTTTTTGTGGAATTTGCAAGTGGAGATTTCAGCCGCTTTGAGGTCAATGGTAGAATAGGAAATATCTTCCTATAGAAACTAGACAGAATGATTCTCAGAAACTCCTTTGTGATGTGTGCGTTCAACTCACAGAGTTTACCCTTTCTTTTCATAGAGCAGTTGGGAAACACTCTGTTTGTAAAGTCTGCAAGTGGATATTCAGACCTCCTTGAGGCTTTCGTTGGAAACGGGATTTCTTCATATTCTGCTAGAAAGAATAATTCTCAGTAACTTCCTTGTGTTGTGTGTATTCAACTCACAGAGTTGAACGATCCTTTACAGAGAGCAGACTTGAAACACTCTTTTTGTTGAATTTGCAAGTGGAGATTTCAGCCGCTTTGAGGTCAATGGTAGAAAAGGAAACTATCTTCGTATAAAGACTAGACAGAATGATTCTCAGAAACTCCTTTGTGATGTGTGCGTTCAACTCACAGAGTTTAACCTTTCTTTTCATAGAGCAGTTGGGAAACACTCTGTTTGTAAAGTCTGCAAGTGGATATTCAGACATTCTTGAGGCTTTCGTTGGAAACGGGATTTCTTCATATTCTGCTAGAAAGAAGAATTATCAGTAACTTCCTTGTGTTGTGTGTATTCAACTCACAGAGTTGAACGATCCTTTACACAGAGCAGTCTTGAAACACTCTTGTTGTGGAATTTGCAAGTGGAGATTTCAGCCGCTTTGAGGTCAATGGTAGAAAAGGAAATATCTTCGTATAAAAACTAGACAGAATGATTCTCAGAAACTCCTTTGTGATGTGTGCAGTTCAACACACAGAGTTTAACCTTTCTTTTCATAGAGCAGTTAGGGAACACTCTGTTTGTAAAGTCTGCAAGTGGATATTCAGACCTCTTTGAGGCCGTCGTTGGAAACGGGATTTCTTCATATTATGCTAGACAGAAGAATTCTCAGTAACTTCCTTGTGTTGTGCGTATTCAACTCACAGAGTTGAACGATCCTTTACACAGAGCAGACTTGAAACACTCTTTTTGCGGAATTTGCAACTGGAGATTTCAGCCGCTTTGAGGTCAATGGTAGAATAGGAAATATCTTCCTATAGAAATTAGACAGAATGATTCTCAGAAACTCGTTTGTGATGTGTGCGTTCAACTCACAGAGTTTAACCTTTCTTTTCATAGAGCAGTTAGGAAACACTCTGTTTGTAAAGTCTGCAAGTGGATATTCAGTCCTCTTTGAGGCCTTCGTTGGAAACGGGGTTTTTTCATATAAGGCTAGACAGAAGAATTCTCAGTAACTTTCCTTGTGTTGTGTGTATTCAACTCACACAGTTGAACGATCCTTTACACAGAGCAGACTTGTAACACTCTTTTTGTGGAATTTGAAAGTGGAGATTTCAGCCGCTTTGAAGTCAAAGGTAGAAAAGGAAATATCTTCCTATAAAAACTAGACAGAATGATTCTCAGAAACTCCTTTGTGATGTGTGTGTTCAACGCACAGAGTTTAACCTTTCTTTTCATAGAGCAGTTAGTAAACACTCTGTTTATAAAGTCTGCAAGTGGATATTCAGACCCCTTTGAGGCCTTCGTTGGAAACGGGATTTCTTCATATTATGCTAGACAGAAGAATTCTCAGTAACTTCCTCGTGTTGTGTGTATTCAACTCACAGAGTTGAATGATCCTTTACACAGAGCAGACTTGAAACACTCTTTTTGTGGAATTTGCAAATGGAGATTTCAGCCGCTTTGAGGTCAATGGTTGAAAAGGAAATATCTTCAAATAAAAACTAGACAGAATGATTCTCAGAAACTCCTTTGTGATGTGTGCGTTCAACTCACAGAGTTTAACCTTTCTTTTCATAGAGCAGTTAGGAAACACTCTGCTTGTAAAGTCTGCAAGTGGATATTCAGCCCTCTTTGAGGCCTTCGTTGGAAACGGGTTTTTTTCATATAAGGCTAGACGAGAAGAATTCCCAGTAACTTCCCTTGTGTTGTGTGTGTTCAACTCACAGAGTTGAACTTTCATTTACACAGAGCAGATTTGAAACACTCTTTTTGTGGAATTTGCAAGTGGAGATTTCAAGCGCTTTGAGGCCAAAGGCAGAAAAGGAAATATCTTCGTATAAAAACTTGACAGAATCATTCTCAGAAACTGCTCTGCGATGTGTGCGTTCAACTCTCAGAGTTTAACTTTTCTTTTCATTCAGCAGTTTGGAAACACTCTGTTTGTAACGTCTACACGTGAATAATTTGACCACTTAGAGGCCTTCGTTGGAAACGGGTTTCTTTCATGTAAGGCTAGACAGAAGAATTCCCAGTAACTTCCTTGTGTTGTGTGCATTCAACTCACAGAGTTGAACGTTCCCTAGACGGAGCAGATTTGAAACACTCTATTTGTGCAATTTGCAAGTGTAGATTTCAAGCGCTTTAAGGTCAATGGCAGAAAAGGGAATATCTTCGTTTCAAAACTAGACAGAATGATTCTCAGAAACTCCTTTGTGATGTGTGCGTTCAACTCACAGAGTTTAACCTTTCTGTTCATAGAGCTGTTAGGAAACACTCTGTTTGTAAAGTCTGCAAGTGGATATTCAGATCTCCTTGAGGCCTTCGTTGGAAACGGGATTTCTTCATATTCTGCTAGACAGAAGAATTCTCAGTAACTTCCTTGTGTTGTGTGTATTCAACTCACAGAGTTGAATGATCCTTTACACAGAACAGTCTTGAAACACTCTTTTTCTGGAATTTGCAAGTGGAGATTTCAGCCGCTTTGAGGTCAATGGTAGAATAGGAAATATCTTCCTATAGAAACTAGACAGAATGATTCTCAGAAACTCCTTTGTGATGTGTGCGTTCAACTCACAGAGTTTAACCTTTCTTTTCATAGAGCAGTTAGGAAACAATCTGTTTGTAAAGTCTGCAAGTGGATATTCAGACATCTTTGAGGCTTTCGTTGGAAACGGGATTTCTTCATATTCTGCTAGACAGCAGAATTCTCAGTAACTTCCTTGTGTTGTGTGTATTCAACTCACAGAGTTGAACGAACCTTTACACAGAGCAGACTTGAAACACTCTTTTTGTGGAATTTGCAAGGGGAGATTTCAGCCGCTTTGAGGTCAATAGTAGAAAAGGAAATATCTTCATATAGAAACTAGACATAATGATTCTCAGAAACTCCTTTGTGATGTGTGCGTTCAACTCACAGAGTTTAACCTTTCTTTTCATAGAGCAGTTAGGAAACACTCTGTTTGTAAAGTCTGCAAGTGGATATTCAGACCTCCTTGGGGCCTTCGTTGGAAACGGGATTTCTTCATATTATGCTAGACAGAAGAATTCTCAGTAACTTCCTTGTGTTGTGTGTATTCAACTCACAGAGTTGAACGATCCTTTACACAGAGCCGACTTGAAACACTCTTTTTGTGGAATTTGCAAGTGGAGATTTCAGCCGCTTTGAGGTCAATGGTAGAAAAGGAAATATCTTCGTATAAAGACTAGACAGAATGATTCTCAGAAACTCCTTTGTGATGTGTGCGTTCAACTCACAGAGTTTAACCTTTCTTTTCATAGAGCAGTTAGGAAACACTCTGTTTGTAAAGTCTGCAAGTGGATATTCAGACCTCCTTGAGGCCTTCCATGGAAGCGGGATTTCTTCATGTTCAGCTAGACAGAAGAATTCTCAGTAACTTCCTTGTGTTGTGTGTATTCAACTCACAGAGTTGAACGATCCTTTACACAGAGCAGACTTGAAACACTCTTTGTGGAATTTGCAATTGGAGATTTCAGCCGCGTTGAGGTCAATGGTAGAAAAGGAAATATCTTCGTATAAAAACTAGACAGAATGATTCTCAGAAACTCCTTTGTGATGTGTGTGTTCAACTCACAGAGTTTAACCTTTCTTTTCATAGAGCAGTTAGGAAACACTCTGTTTGTAAAGTCTGCAAGTGGATATTCAGACCTCCTAGAGGCCTTCGTTGGAAACGGGATTTCTTCATATTCTGCTAGTCAGAAGAATTCTCAGTAACTTCCTTGTGTTGTGTGTATTCAACTCACAGAGTTGAATGATCCTTGACACAGAGCAGACTTGAAACACTCTTTTTGTGGAATTTGCAAGTGGAGATTTCAGCCGCTTTGAGGTCAATGGTAGAAAAGGAAATATCTTCATATAAAAATTAGACAGAAGGATTCTCAGAAACTCCTTTGTGATGTGTGCGTTCAACTCACAGAGTTTAACCTTTCTTTTAATAGAGCAGTTAGGAAACACTCTGTTTGTAAAGTCTGCAAGTGGATATTCAGACCTCTTTGAGGCCTTCGTTGGAAACGGGTTTTTTTCATATAAGGCTGGACAGAAGAATTCCCAGTAACTTCCTTGTGTTGTGTGCATTCAACTCACAGAGTTGAACGTTCCCTTAGACAGAGCAGATTTGAAACACTCTATTTGTGCAATTTGCAAGTGTAGATTTCAAGCACTATAAGGTCAATGGCAGAAAAGGAAATATCTTCGTTTCAAAACTAGACAGAATCATTCCCACAAACTGCGTTGTGATGTGTTCGTTCAACTCACAGAGTTTAACCATTCTATTCATAGAGCAGTTAGGAAACACTCTGTTTGTAAAGTCTGTAAGTGGATATTCTGACATCTTGTGGCCTTCGTTGGAAACGGGATTTCTTCATATTCTGCTAGACAGAAGAATTCTCAGCAACTTCCTTGTGTTGTGTGTATTCAACTCACAGAGTTGAACGATCCTTTACACAGAGCAGAATTGAAACACTGTTTTTGTGGAATTTGCAAGTGGAGATTTCTGCCGCTTTGAGGTCAATGGCAGAAAAGGAAATATCTTCCTATAGAAACTAGACAGAATGATTCTCAGAAACTCCTTTGTGATGTGTGCGTTCAACTCACAGAGTTTAACCTTTCTTTTCATAGAGCAGTTAGGAAACACTCTGTTTGTAAAGTCTGCAAGTGGATATTTAGACCTCTCTGAGGCCTTCGTTGGAAACGGGATTTCTTCATATTCTGCTAGACAGAAGAATTCCCAGTAACTTCCTTGTGTTGTGTGTGTTCAACTCACAGAGTTGAAATTTCATTTAAACAGAGCAGATTTGAAACACTCTTTTTGTGGAATTTGCAAGTGGAGATTTCAAGCGCTTTGAGGCCAAAGGCAGAAAAGGAAATATCTTCCTATAAAAACTAGACAGAATCATGATCAGAAACTGCTCTGCGATGTGTGCGTTCAACTCTCAGAGTTTAACTTTTCTTTTCATTCAGCAGTTTGGAAACACTCTGTTTGTAAAGTCTGCACGTGGATAATTTGACCACTTAGAGGCCTTCGTTGGAAACAGGTTTTTTTCATGTAAGGCTAGACAGAAGAATTCCCAGTAACTTCCTTGTGTTGCGTACATTCAACTCACAAAGTTGAACGTTCCCTTAGACAGAGCAGATTTGAAACACTCTTTTTGTGCAATTGGCAAGTGGAGATTTCAAGCGCTTTAAGGTCAATGGCAGAAAAGGAAATATCTTCGTTTCAAAACTAGACAGAATCATTCCCACAAACTGCGTTGTGATGTGTTCGTTCAACTCACAGAGTTTAAACTTTCTTTTCATAGAGCAGTTAGGAAACAGTCTGTTTGTAAATTCTGTACGTGGATATTCTGACATCTTGTGGCCTTCGTTGGAAACGGGATTTCTTCATATTCTGCTAGACAGAAGAATTCTCAGTAACTTCCTTGTGTTGTGTGTATTCAACTCACAGAGTTGAACGATCGTTTACACAGAGCAGACTTGAAACACTCTTTTTGTGGAATTTGCAAGTGGAGATTTCAGCCGCTTTGAGGTCAATGGTAGAAAAGGAATTATCTTCGTATAAAAACTAGACAGAATGGTTCTCAGAAACTCCTTTGTGATGTGTGCGTTTAACTCACAGAGTTTAACCTTTCTTTTCATAGAGCAGTTAGGAAACACTCTGTTTGTAAAGTCTACAAGTGGATATTCAGACCTCTTTGAGGCCTTCGTTGGAAACGGGTTTTTTTCATATAAGGCTAGACAGAAGAATTCTCAGTAACTTCCTTGTGTTGTGTGTATTCAACTCACAGAGTTGAACGATCCTTTACACAGAGCAGACTTGAAACACTCTTTTTGTGGAATTTGCAAGTGGAGATTTCAGCCGCTTTGAGGTCAATGGTAGAAAAGTAAATATCTTCGTATAAAAACTAGACAGAATGATTCTCAGAAACTCCTTTGTGATGTGTGCGTTCAACTCACAGAGTTTAACCATTCTTTTCATAGAGCAGTTAGGAAACACTCTGTTTGTAAAGTCTGCAAGTGGATATTCAGACCTCCTTGAGGCCTTCGTTGGAAACGGGATTTCTTCCTATTATGCTAGACAGAAGAATTCTCAGTAACTTCCTTGTGTTGTGTGTATTCAACTCACAGAGTTGAACGATCCTTTACACAGAGCAGAGTTGAAACACTCTTTTTGTGGAATTTGCAAGTGGAGATTTCAGCCGCTTTGAGGTCAATAGCAGAAAAGGAAATATCTTCGTAGAAAAACTAGACAGAATGATTCTCAGAAACTCCTTTGTGATGTGTGCGTTCAACTCAAAGAGTTTAACCTTTCTTTTCGTAGAGCAGTTAGGAAACACTCTCTTTGTAAAGTCTGCAAGTGGATATTCAGACCTCTTTGAGGCCTACGTTGGAAACGGGATTTCTTCATATTATGATAGACAGAAGAATTCTCAGAAACTTCCTTGTGTTGTGTGCATTCAACTCACAGAGTTGAACGATCCTTTACACAGAGCAGATTAGAAACATTCTTTTTGTGGAATTTGCAAGCGGAGATTTCAGCCGCTTTGAGGTCCATGGTAGAAAAGGAAATATCTTCGTATAAAAACTAGACAGAATGATTCTCAGAAACTTCATTGTGATGTGTGCGTTCAACTCACAGAGTTTAACCTTTCTTTTCATAGAGCAGTTAGGAAACACTCTGTTTGTAAACTCTGCAAGTGGATATTCAGACCTCTTTGAGGCCTTCTTTGGAAACGGGATTTCTTCATACTGTGCTAGACAGAAGAATTCTCAGTAACTTCCTTGTGTTGTGTGTATTCACCTCACAGAGTTGAACGATCCTTTACACAGAGCAGACTTGAAACACTCTTTTTGTGGAATTTGCAAGTGGAGATTTCAGCCGCTTTGAGGTCAATGGTAGAATAGGAAATATCTTCCTATAGAAACTAGACAGAACGATTCTCAGAAACTCCTTTGTGATGTGTGCGTTCAACTCACAGAGTTTAACCTTTCTTTTCATAGAGCAGTTAGGAAACACTCTGTTTGTAAAGGCTGCAAGTGGATATTCAGACCTCTTTGAGGCCTTCGTTGGAAACGGGATTTCTTCCTATTCTGCTAGACAGAAGAATTCTCAGTAACTTCCTTGTGTTGTGTGTATTGAACTCACAGAGTTGAACGATCCTTTACACAGAGCAGACTTGAAACACTCTTTTTGTGGAATTTGCAAGTGGAGATTTCAGCCGCTTTGAGGTCAATAGTAGAAAAGGAAATATCTTCGTATAAAGACTAGACAGAATGATTCTGAGAAACTCCTTTGTGATGTGTGCGTTCAACTCACACACTTTAACCTTTCTTTTCATAGAGCAATTAGGAAACACTCTGTTTGTAAAGTCTGCAAGTGGATATTCAGACCTCTTTGAGGCCTTCGTTGGAAGCGGGATTTCTTCATATTCTGCTAGACAGAAGAATTCCCAGTAACTTCCTTGTGTTGTGTGTGTTCAACTCACAGAGTTGAACTTTCATTTACACAGAGCAGATTTGAAACACTCTTTTTGTGGAATTTGCAAATGGAGATTTCAAGCGCTTTGAGGAAAAAGGCAGAAAAGGAAATGTCTTCGTTTCAAAACTAGACAGAATGATTCTCAGAAACTCCTTTGTGATGTGTGCGTTCAACTCACAGAGTTTAACTTTTCTTTTCATAGAGCAGTTAGGAAACACTCTGTTTGTAAAGTCTGCAAGTGGATATTCAGACCTCCTTGAGGCCTTCTTTGGAAACGGGATTTCTTCATATTCTGCTAGACAGAAGAATTCTCACTAACTTCCTTGTGTTGTGTGTATTCAACTCACAGAGTTGAACGATCCTTTACAAAGAGCAGACTTGAAACACTCTTTTTGTAGAATTTGCAAGTGTAGATTTCAGCCGCTTTGAGGTCAATGGTAGAAAAGGAAATATCTTCGTATAAAGACTAGACAGAATGATTCTCAGAAACTCCTTTGTGATGTGTGCGTTCAACTCACAGAGTTTAACTTTTCTTTTCATAGAGCAGTTAGGAAACACTCTGTTTGTAAAGTCTGCAAGTGGATATTCAGACCTCCTTGAGGCCTTCGTTGGAAACAGGATTTCTTCATATTCTGCTAGACGGAAGAATTCTCAGTAAATTCCTTGTGTTGTGTGTATTCAACTCACAGAGTTGAACGATCCTTTACAAAGAGCAGACTTGAAACACTCTTTTTGTGGAATTTGCAAGTGGAGATTTCAGCCGCTTTGAGGTCAGTAGTAGAAAAGGAAATATCTTCGTAGAAAAACTAGACAGAAATGATTCTCAGAAACTCCTTTGTGATGTGTGTGTTCAACTCACAGAGTTTAACCTTTCTTTTCATAGAGCAGTTAGGAAACACTCTGTTTCTAAAGTCTGCAAGTGGATATTCAGACCTCTTTGAGGCCTTCGTTGGAAACGGGTTTTTTTCATATAAGGCTAGACAGAAGAATTCCCTGTAACTTCCTTGTGTTGTGTGTATTCAACTGACAGAGTTGAACTTTCATTTAGACAGAGCAGATTTGAAACACTCTTTTTGTGGAATTTACAAGTGGAGATTTCAAGCGCTTTGAGGCCAAAGGCAGAAAAGGAAATATCTTCGTATAAAAACTAGACAGAATCATTCTCAGAAACTCCTTTGTGATGTGTGCGTTCAACTCTCAGAGTTTAACTTTTCTTTTCATTCAGCGGTTTGGAAACACTCTGTTTGTAAAGTCTGCACGTGGAAATTTTGACCACTTAGAGGCCTTCGTTGGAAACGGGTTTTTTTCATGTAAGGCTAGACAGAAGAATTCCCAGTAACTTCCTTGTGTTGTGTGCATTCAACTCACAGAGTTGAACGTTCCCTTAGACAGAGCAGATTTGAAACACTCTATTTGTGCAATTTCCAAGTGTAGATTTCAAGCGCTTTAAGGTCAATGGCAGAAAAGGAAATATCTTCGTTTCAAAACTAGACAGAATCATTCCCACAAACTGCGTTGTGATGTGTTCGTTCATCTCACAGAGTTTAACCTTTCTTTTCATAGAGCAGTTAGGAAACAGTCTGTTTGTAAATTCTGTAAGTGGATATTCTGACATCTTGTGGCCTTCGTTGGAAACGGGATTTCTTCATATTCTGCTAGACAGAAGAATTCTCAGTAACTTCCTTGTGTTGTGTGTATTCAACTCACAGAGTTGAACGATCCTTTACACAGAGCAGACTTGAAACACTCTTTTTGTGGAATTTGCAAGTGGAGATTTCAGCCGCTTTGAGGTCAATAGTAGAAAAGGAAATATTTTCGTAGAAAAACTAGACAGAATGATTCTCAGAAACTCCTTTGTGATGTGTGCGTTCCACTCACAGAGTTTAACCTTTCTTTTCATAGAGCAGTTAGGAAACACTCTGTTTGTAAAGTCTGCACCTGGATATTTGGACTTCTTTGAGGCCTTCGTTGGAAACGGGTTTTTTTCATGAAAGGCTAGACAGAAGAATTCCCAGTAACTTCCTTGTGTTGTGTGTGTTCAACTCACAGAGTTGAACTTTCATTTACACAGAGCAGATTTGAAACACTCTTTTTGTGGAATTTGCAAATGGAGATTTCAAGCGCTTTGAGGAAAAAGGCAGAAAAGGGAATATCTTCGTATAAAAACTAGACAGAATCATTCTCAGAAAGTGCTCTGCGATGTGTGCGTTCAACTCTCAGAGTTTAACTTTTCTTTTCATTCAGCAGTTTGGAAACACTCTGTTTGTAAAGTCTGCACGTGGATAATTTGACCACTTAGAGGCCTTCGTTGGAAACGGGTTTTTTTCATGTAAGGCTAGACAGAAGAATTCCCAGTAACTTCCTTGCGTTGTGTACATTCAACTCACAGAGTTGAACGTTCCCTTAGACAGAGCAGATTTGAAACACTCTTTTTGTGCAATTGGCAAGTGGAGATTTCAAGCGCTTTAAGGTCAATGGCAGAAAAGGAAATATCTTCGTTTCAAAACTAGACAGAATCATTCCCACAAACTGCGTTGTGATGTGTTCGTTCAACTCACAGAGTTTAACCTTTCTTTTCATAGAGTAGTTAGGAAACAGTCTGTTTGTAAATTCTGTACGTGGATATTCTGACATCTTGTGGCCTTCGTTGGAAACGGGATTTCTTCATGTTCTGCTAGACAGAAGAATTCTGAGAATCTTCCTTGTGTTGTGTGTATTCAACTCACAGAGTTGAACGATGGTTTACACAGAGCAGATTTGAAACACTCTTTTTGTGGAATTTGCAAGTGGAGATTTCAGCCGCTTTGAGGTCAATGGTAGAAAAGGAAATATCTTCGTATAAAAACTAGACAGAATGATTCTCATAAACTCCTTTGTGATGTGTGCGTTCAAATCACAGAGTTTAACTTTTCTTTTCATAGAGCAGTTAGGAAACACTCTGTTTGTAAAGTCTGCAAGTGGATATTCAGACCTCTTTGAGGCCTTCGTTGGAAACGGGATTTCTACATATTATGCTAGACAGAAGAATTCCCAGTAACTTCCTTGTGTTGTGTGTGTTCAACTCACAGAGTTGAACTTTCATTTACACAGAGCAGATTTGAAACACTCTTTTTGTGGAATTTGCAAGTGGAGATTTCAAGCGCTTTGAGGCCAAAGGCAGAAAAGGAAATATCTTCGTATAAAAACTAGAGAGAATCATTCTCAGAAACTGCTCTGTGATGTGTGCGTTCAACTCTCCGAGTTTAACTTTTCTTTTCATTCAGCAGTTTGGAAACACTCTGTTTGTAAAGTCTGCACGTGGATAATTTGACCACTTAGAGGCCTTGTTTGGAAACGGATTTTTTTTCATGTAAGGCTAGACAGAAGAATTCCCAGTAACTTCCTTGTGTTGTGTACATTCAACTCACAGAGTTGAACGTTCCCTTAGACAGAGCAGATTTGAAACACTCTTTTTGTGCAATTGGCAAGTGGTGATTTCAGCCGCTTTGAGGTCAATGGTAGAAAAGGAAATATCTTCGTATAAAAACTAGACAGAATCATTCCCACAAACTGCGTTGTGATGCGTTCGTTCAACTCACAGAGTTTAACCTTTCTGTTCATAGAGCAGTTAGGAAACACTCTGTTTGTAAAGTCTGTAAGTGGATATTCTGACATCTTGTGGCCTTCGTTGGAAACGGGATTTCTTCATATTCTGCTAGACAGAAGAATTCTCAGAATCTTCCTTCAGTTGTGTGTATTCAACACACAGAGTTGAACGATGGTTTACACAGAGCAGATCTGAAACACTTTTTGTGGAATTTGGAAGTGGAGATTTCAGCTGCTTTGAGGTCAATGGCAGAAAAGGAAATATCTTCGTATAAAAACTAGACAGAATGATTCTCAGAAACTCCTTTGTGATGTGTGCGTTCAACTCACAGAGTTTAACCTTTCTTTTCATAGAGCAGTTAGGAAACACTCTGTTTGTACAGTCTGCAAGTGGATATTCTGACCTCCTTGAGGCCTTCGTTGGAAAAGGGATTTCTTCATATTCTGCTAGACAGAAGAATTCCCAGTAACTTCCTTGTGTTGTGTGTGTTCAACTCACAGAGTTGAACTTTCATTTACACAGAGCAGATTTGAAACACTCTTTTTGTGGAATTTGCAAGTGGAGATTTCAAGCGCTTTGAGGCCAAAGGCAGAAAAGGAAATATCTTCGTATAAAAACTAGACACAATCATTCTCAGAAACTGCTCTGTGATGTGTGCGTTCAACTCTCAGAGTTTAACTTTTCTTTTCATTCAGCAGTTTGGAAACACTCTGTTTGTAAAGTCTGCACGTGGATAATTTGACCACTTAGAGGCCTTCGTTGGAAACGGGTTTTTTTCATGTAAGGCTAGACAGAAGAATTCCCAGTAACTTCCTTGTGTTGTGTACATTCAACTCACAGAGTTGAACGTTCCCGTAGACAGAGCAGATTTGAAACACTCTTTTTGTGCAATTGGCAAGTGGAGATTTCAAGCGCTTTAAGGTCAATGGCAGAAAAGGAAATATCTTCGTTTCAAAACTAGACAGAATCATTCCCACAAACTGCGTTGTGATGTGTTCGTTCAACTCACAGAGTTTAACCTTTCTGTTCATAGAGCAGTTAGGAAACACTCTGTTTGTAAGGTCTGCAAGTGGATATTCAGACCTCCTAGAGGCCTTCGTTGGAAACGGGATTTCTTCATATTCTGCTAGACAGAAGAATTCCCAGTAACTTCCTTGTGTTGTGTGTGTTCAACTCACAGAGTTGAACTTTCATTTACACAGAGCAGATTTGAAACACTCTTTTTGTGGAATTTGCAAGTGGAGATTTCAGCTGCTTTGAGGTCCATGGTAGAAAAGGAAATATCTTCGTATAAAAACTAGACAGAATGATTCTGAGAAACTCCTTTCTGATGTGTGCGTTCAACTCACAGAGTTTAACCTTTCTTTTCATAGAGCAGTTAGGAAACACTCTGTTGGTAAAGTCTGCAAGTGGATATTCAGACCTCCTTGAGGCCTTCGTTGGAAACGGGATTTCTTCATATTATGCTAGACAGAAGAATTCTCAGTAACTTCCTTGTGTTGTGTGTATTCAACTGACAGAGTTGAACTTTCATTTAGAGAGAGCAGATTTGAAACACTGTTTTTGTGGAATTTGCAAGTGGAGATTTCAAGCGCTTTGGGGCCAAAGGCAGAAAAGGAAATATCTTCATATAAAAACTAGACAGAATCATTCTCAGAAACTGCTCTGTGATGTGTGCGTTCAACTCTCAGAGTTTAACTTTTCTCTTCATTCAGCAGTTTGGAAACACTCTGTTTGTAAAGTCTGCACGTGGATAATTTGACCACTTAGAGGCCTTCGTTGGAAACGGGTTTTTTTCATGTAAGGCTAGACAGAAGAATTCCCAGTAACTTCCTTGTGTTGTGTACATTCAACTCACAGAGTTGAACGTTCCCTTAGACAGAGCAGATTTGAAACACTCTTTTTGTGCAATTGGCAAGTGGTGATTTCAGCCGCTTTGAGGTCAATGGTAGAAAAGGAAATATCTTCGTATAAAAACTAGACAGAATGATTCTCAGAAACTTCACTGTGACGTGTGCGTTCAACTCACAGAGTTTAACCTTTCTTTTCATAGAGCAGTTAGGAAACACTCTGTTTGTAAACTCTGCAAGTGGATATTCAGACCTCTTTGAGGCCTTCGTTGGAAACGGGATTTCTTCATACTGTGCTAGACAGAAGAATTCTCAGTAACTTCCTTGTGTTGTGTGTATTCAACTCACTGAGTTGAACGATCCTTTACACAGAACATACTAGAAACACTCTTCTTGTGGAATTTGCAAGTGGAGATTTCAGCCGCTTTGAGGTCAATGGTAGAATAGGAAATATCTTCGTATAAAAATTAGATAGAATGATTCTCAGAAACTCCTTTGTGATGTGTGTGTTCAACTCACACAGTTTAACCTTTCTTTTCATAGAGCAGTTAGTAAACACTCTGTTTATAAAGTCTGCAAGTGGATATTCAGACCCCTTTGAGGCCTTCGTTGGAAACGGGGTTTCTTCATATTCTGCTAGACAGAAGAATTCCCAGTAACTTCCTTGTGTTGTGTGTGTTCAACTCACAGAGTTGAACTTTCATTTAGACAGAGCAGATTTGAAACACTCTTTTTGTGGAATTTGCAAATGGAGATTTCAAGCGCTTTGAGGCCAAAGGCAGAAAAGGAAATATCTTCGTATAAAAACTAGACAGAATCATTCTCAGAAACTGCTCTGCGATGTGTGCGTTCAACTCTCAGAGTTTAACTTTGCTTTTCATTCAGCAGTTTGGAAACACTCTGTTTGTAAAGTCTGCACGTGGATAATTTGACCACTTAGAGGCCTTCGTTGGAAACGGGTTTTTTTCATGTAAGGCTAGACAGAAGAATTCCCAGTAACTTCTATGTGTTGTGTGCATTCAACTCACAGAGATGAATGTTCCCTTAGACAGAGCAGATTTGAAACACTCTATTTGTGCAATTTGCAAGTGTAGATTTCAAGCGCTTTAAGGTCAATGGCAGAAAAGGAAATATCTTCGTTTCAAAACTAGACAGAATAATTCCCACAAACTGCGTTGTGATGTGTTCGTTCAACTCACAGAGTTTAACCTTTCTTTTCATAGAGCAGTTAGGAAACACTCTGTTGGTAAATTCTGTAAGTGGATATTCTGACATCTTGTGGCCTTCGTTGGAAACGGGATTTCTTCATATTCTGCTAGACAGAAGAATTCTCAGTAACTTCCTTGTGTTGTGTGTATTCAACTCACAGAGTTGAACGATCCTTTACAGAGAGCAGACTTGAAACAGTCTTTTTGTGGAATTTGCAAATGGAGATTTCAGCCGCTTTGAGGTCAATGGTAGAAAAGGAAATATCTTCGTATAAAGACTAGACAGAATGATTCTCAGAAACTCCTTTGTGATGTGTGCAGTTCAACTCACAGAGTTTAACCTTTCTTTTCATAGAGCAGTTAGGAAACACTCTGTTTGTAAAGTCTCCAAGTGGATATTCAGACCTCTTTGAGGCCTTCGTTGGAAACGGGTTTTTTTCATATAAGGCTAGACAGAAGAATTCTCAGTAACTTCCTTGTCTTGTGTGTATTCAACTCACAGAGTTGAACGATACTTTACACAGAGCAGACTTGAAACCCACCTTTTGTGGAATTTGCAAGTGGAGATTTCAGCCGCTTTGAGGTCAATGGTAGAATACGAAATATCTTCCTATAGAAACTAGACAGAATGATTCTCAGAAACTCCTTTGTGATGTGTGCGTTCAACTCACAGAGTTTAACCTTTCTTTTCATAGAGCAGTTAGGAAACACTCTGTTTGTAAAGTCTGCAAGTGGATATTCAGAGCTCCTTGAGGCCTTCGTTGGAAATGGGATTTCTTCATATTATGCTAGACAGAAGAATTCTCAGTAACTTCCTTGTGTTGTGTGTATTCAACTGACAGAGTTGAACTTTCATTTAGAGAGAGCAGATTTGAAACACTGTTTTTGTGGAATTTGCAAGTGGAGATTTCAAGCGCTTTGGGGCCAAAGGCAGAAAAGGAAATATCTTCGTATAAATACTAGACAGAATCATTCTCAGAAACTGCTGCGTGATGTGTGCGTTCAACTCTCAGAGTTTAACTTTTCTTTTCATTCAGCGGTTTTGGAAACACTCTGTTTGTAAAGTCTGCACGTGGAAATTTTGACCACTTAGAGGCCTTCGTTGGAAACGGGTTTTTTTCATGTAAGGCTAGACAGAAGAATTCCCAGTAACTTCCTTGTGTTGTGTACATTCAACTCACAGAGTTGAACGTTCCCTTAGACAGAGCAGATTTGAAACACTTTTTTTGTGCAATTGGCAAGTGGAGATTTCAAGCGCTTTAAGGTCAATGGCAGAAAAGGAAATATCTTCGTTTCAAAACTAGACAGAATCATTCCCACAAACTGCGTTGTGATGTGTTCGTTCAACTCACAGAGTTTAACCTTTCCGTTCATAGACCAGTTAGGAAACACTCTGTTTGTAAAGTCTGTAAGTGGATATTCTGACATCTTGTGGCCTTCGTTGGAAACGGGATTTCTTCATATTCTGCTAGACAGAAGAATTCTCAGAAACTTCCTTGTGTTGTGTGTTTTCAACTCACAGAGTTCAACGATCCTTTACACAGAGGAGACTTGAAACACTCTTTTTGTGGAATTTGCAAGTGGAGATTTCAGCCGCTTTGAGGTCAATGGTAGAATAGGAAATATCTTCCTATAGAAACTAGACAGAATGATTCTCAGAAACTTCTTTGTGATGTGTGTGTTCAACTCACAGAGTTTAACCTTTCTTTTCATAGAGCAGTTAGGAAACACTCTGTTTGTAAACTCTGCAAGTGGATACTCAGACCTCTTTGAGGCCTTCGTTGGAAACGGGATTTCTTCATACTATGCTAGACAGAAGAATTCTCAGTAACTTCCCTTGTGTTGTGTGTATTCAACTGACAGAGTTGAACTTTCATTTAGAGAGAGCAGATTTGAAACACTGTTTTTGTGGAATTTGCAAGTGGAGATTTCAAGCGCTTTGGGGCCAAAGGCACAAAAGGAAATATCTTCGTATAAAAACTAGACAGAATCATTTTCAGAAACTGCACTGCGATGTGTGCGTTCAACTCTCAGAGTTTAACTTTTCTTTTCATTCAGCAGTTTGGAAACACTCTGTTTGTAAAGTCTGCACGTGGATAATTTGACCACTTAGAGGCCTTCGTTGGAAACGGGTTTTTTTCATGTAAGGCTAGACAGAAGAATTCTCAGTAACTTCCTTGTGTTGTGTGTATTCAACTCACAGAGTTGAACGATCCTTTACACAGAGCAGACTTGAAAGACTCTTTTTGTGGAATTTGCAAGTGGAGATTTCAGCCGCTTTGAGGTCAATAGTAGAAAAGGAAATATCTTCGTAGAAAAACTAGACAGAATGATTCTCAGAAACTCCTTTGTGATGTGTGTGTTCAACTCACAGAGTTTAACCTTTCTTTTCATAGAGCAGTTAGGAAACACTCTGTTTGTAAAGTCTGCAAGTGGATAATCAGACCTCTTTGAGGCCTTCGTTGGAAACGGGATTTCTTCATATTATGCTAGACAGAAGAATTCCCAGTAACTTCCTTGTGTTGTGTGTGTTCAACTCACAGAGTTGAACTTTCATTTACACAGAGCAGATTGGAAACACTCTTTTTGTGGAATTTGCAAGTGGAGATTTCAAGCGGTTTGAGGCCAAAGGCAGAAAAGGAAATATCTTCGTATAAAAACTAGACAGAATCATTCTCAGAAACTGCTCTGCGATGTGTGCGTTCAACTCTCAGAGTTTAACTTTTCTTTTCATTCAGCAGTTTGGAAACACTCTGTTTGTAAAGTCTGCACGTGGATATTTTGACCACTTAGAGGCCTTCGTTGGAAACGGGTTTCTTTCCTGTAAGGCTAGACAGAAGAATTCCCAGTAACTTCCTTGTGTTGTGTGCATTCAACTCACAGAGTTGAACGTTCCCTTAGACAGAGCAGATTTGAAACACTCTATTTGTGCAATTTGCAAGTGTAGATTTCAAGCGCATTAAGGTCAATGGCAGAAAAGGAAATATCTTCGTTTCAAAATTAGACAGAATCATTCCCACAAACTGCGTTGTGATGTGTTCGTTCATCTCACAGAGTTTAACCTTTCTTTTCATAGAGCAGTTAGGAAACAGTCTGTTTGTAAATTCTGTAAGTGGATATTCTGAGCATCTTGTGCCCTTCATTGGAAACGGGATTTCTTCATGTTCTGCTAGACAGAAGAATTCTCAGTAACTTCCTTGTGTTGTGTGTATTCAAATCACAGAGTTCAACGATCCTTTACACAGAGCAGACTTGAAACACTCTTTTTGTGAAATTTGCAAGTGGAGATTTCAGCCGCTTTGAGTTCAATGGTAGAATAGGAAATATCTTCCTATAGAAACTAGACAGAATGATTCTCAGAAACTCCTTTGTGATGTGTGCGTTCAACTCACAGAGTTTACCCTTTCTTTTCATAGAGCAGTTAGGAAACACTCTGTTTGTAAAGTCTGCAATTGGATATTCAGACATCCTTGAGGCTTTCGTTGGAAACAGGGATTTCTTCATATTCTGCTAGAAAGAAGAATTCTCAGTAACTTCCTTGTGTTGTGTGTATTCAACTGACAGAGTTGAACGATCCTTTACACAGAGCAGACTTGAAACACTCTTTTTGTGGAATTTGCAAGGGGAGATTTCAAGCGCTTTGGGGCCAAAGGCAGAAAAGGACATATCTTCGTATAAAAACTAGACAGAATCATTCTCAGAAACTGCTCTGCGATGTGTGCATTCAACTCTCAGAGTTTAATTTTTCTTTTCATTCAGCAGTTTGGAAACATTCTCTTTGTAAAGTCTGCACGTGGATATTTTGACCACTTAGAGGCCTTCGTTGGAAACGGGTTTTATTCTTGTAAGGCTAGACAGAAGAATTCCCAGTAACTTCCTTGTGTTGTGTACATTCAACACACAGATTTGAACGTTCCCTTAGACAGAGCTGATTTGAAACACTCTTTTTGTGCAATTGGCAAGTGGAGATTTCAAGCGCTTTAAGGTCAATGGCAGAAAAGTAAATATCTTCGTTTCAAAACTAGACAGAATCATTCCCACAAACTGCGTTGTGATGTGTTCGTTCATCTCACAGAGTTTAACCTTTCTTTTCATAGAGCAGTTAGGAAACACTGTGTTTGTAAATTCTGTAAGTGGATATTCTGACATCTTGTGGCCTTCGTTGGAAACGGGATTTCTTCATATTCTGCTAGACAGAAGAATTCTCAGTAACTTCCTTGTGTTGTGTGTATTCAACTCACAGAGTTGAACGATCCTTTACACAGAGCAGACTTGAAACACTCTTTTTGTGGAATTTGCAAGTGGAGATTTCAGCCACTTTGATGTCAATGGTAGAAAAGGAAATATCTTCGTATAAAGACTAGACAGAGTGATTCTCAGAAACTCCTTTGTGATATCTGCGTTCAACTCACAGAGTTCAACCTTTCTTTTCATAGAGCAGTTAGGAAACACTCTGTTTGTAAAGTCTGCAATTGGATATTGAGACCTCCTTGAGGCCTTCGTTGGAAACGGGATTTCTTCATATTCTGCTATACAGAAGAATTCTCAGAAACTTCCTTGTGTTGTGTGTATTCAACTCACAGAGTTGAACGATCCTTTACACAGAGCAGACTTGAAACACTCTTTTTGTGGAATTGGCAAGTGGAGATTTCAGCTGCTTTGAGGTCAATGGTAGAAAAGGAAATATCTTCGTATAAAAACTAGACAGAATGATTCTCAGAAACTCCTTTGTGATGTGTGCGTTCAACTCACAGAGCTTAACCTTTTTTTTCATAGAGCAGTTGGGAAACACTCTGTTTGTAAAGTCTGCAAGTGGATATTCAGACCTCCTTGAGGCCTTCGTTGGAAACGGGATTTCTTCATATTATGCTAGACAGAAGAATTCTCAGGAACTTCCTTGTGTTGTGTGTATTCAACTCACAGAGTTGAACGATCCTTTACACAGAGCAGACTTGAAACACTCTTTTTGTGGAATTTGCAAGTGGAGATTTCAGCCGCTTTGAGTTCAATGGTAGAATAGGAAATATCTTCCTATAGAAAGTACACAGAATGATTCTCAGAAACTCCTTTGTGATGTGTGCGTTCACCTCACAGAGTTCAACCTTTCTTTTCATAGAGCAGTTGGGAAACACTCTGTTTGTAAAGTCTGCAAGTGGATATTCAGACTTCTTTGAGGCCTTCGTTGGAAGCGGGATTTCTTCATATTCTGCTAGACAGAAGAATTCTCAGTAACTACCTTGTGTTGTGTGTATTCAACTGACAGAGTTGAACTTTCATTTAGAGAGAGCAGATTTGAAACACTGTTTTTGTGGAATTTGCAAGTGGAGATTTCAAGCGCTTTGGGGCCAAAGGCAGAAAAGGAAATATCTTCGTATAAAAACTAGACAGAATCATTCTCAGAAACTGCTGCGTGATGTGTGCGTTCAACTCTCAGAGTTTAACTTTTCTTTTCATTCAGCGGTTTGGAAACACTCTGTTTGTAAAGTCTGCACGTGGAAATTTTGACCACTTAGAGGCCTTCGTTGGAAACGGGTTTTGTTCATGTAAGGCTAGACAGAAGAATTCCCAGTAACTTCCTTGTGTTGTGTGCATTCAACTCACAGAGTTGAACGTTCCCTTAGACAGAGCAGATTTGAAACACTCTATTTGTGCAATTTGCAAGTGTAGTTTTCAAGCTCTTTTAGGTCAACGGCAGAAAAGGAAATATCTTGGTTTCAAAACTAGACAGAAATCATTCCCACAAACTGCGTTGTAATGTGTTCGTTCAACTCACAGAGTTTAACCTTTCTGTTCATAGAGCAGTTAGGAAACACTCTGTTTGTAAAGTCTGTAAGTGGATATTCTGACATCTTGTGGCCTTCGTTGGAAACGGGATTTCTTCATATTCTGCTAGACAGAAGAATTCTCAGTAACTTCCTTGTGTTGTGTGTATTCAACTCACAGACTTGAACGATCCTTTACACAGAGCAGACTTGAAACACTCTTTTTGTGGAATTTGCAAGTGGAGATTTCAGCCGCTTTGAGGTCAATGGTAGAAAAGGAAATATCTTCGTATAAAAACTAGACAGAATGATTCTCAGAAACTTCTTTGTGATGTGTGCGTTCAACTCACAGAGTTTAACCTTTCTTTTCATAGAGCAGTTAGGAAACCCTCTGTTTGTAAACTCTGCAAGTGGATATTCAGACCTCTTTGAGGCCTTCGTTGGAAACGGGATTTCTTCATACTATGCTAGACAGAAGAATTCTCAGTAACTTCCTTGTGTTGTGTGTATTCAACTGACACAGTTGAACTTTCATTTAGACAGAGCAGATTTGAAACACTCTTTTTGTGGAATTTGCAATTGGAGATTTCAAGCGCTTTGAGGCCAAAGGCAGAAAAGGAAATATCTTCGTATAAAAACTAGACAGAATCATTCTCAGAAACTGCTGCGTGATGTGTGTGTTCAACTCTCAGAGTTTAACTTTCCTTTTCATTCAGCGGTTTGGAAACACTCTGTTTGTAAAGTCTGCACGTGGATATTTTGACCACTTAGAAGCCTTCGTTGGAAACGGGTTTTTTTGTATGTAAGGCTAGACAGAAGAATTCCCAGTAACTTCCTTGTGTTGTGTGCATTCAACTCACAGAGTTGAACGTTCCCTTAGACAGAGCAGATTTGAAACACTCTATTTGTCCAATTTGCAAGTGTAGATTTCAAGCGCTTTAAGGTCAACGGCAGAAAAGGAAATATCTTCGTTTCAAAACTAGACAGAATCATTCCCACAAACTGCGTTGTGATGTGTACGTTCAACTCACAGAGTTTAACCTTTCTGTTCATAGAGCAGTTAGGAAACATTCTGTTTGTAAAGTCTGTAAGTGGATATTCTGACATCTTGTGGCCTTCGTTGGAAACGGGATTTCTTCATATTCTGCTAGACAGAAGAATTCTCAGTAACTTCCTTCTGTTGTGTGTATTCAACTCACAGAGTTGAACGATCCTTTACACAGAGCAGATTTGAAACACTCTTTTTGTGGAATTTGCAAGTGGAGATTTCAGCCGCTTTGAAGTCAAATGTAGAAAAGGAAATATCTTCCTATAAAAACTAGACAGAATGATTCTCAGAAACTCCTTTTTGATGTGTGCGTTCAACTCACAGAGTTTAACCTTTCTTTTCATAGAGCAGTTAGGAAACACTCTGTTTGTAAAGTCTGCAAGTGGATATTCAGACCTCTTTGAGGCCTTCGTTGGAAACGGGTTTTTTTCATATAAGGCTAGACAGAAGAATTCCCAGTAACTTCCTTGTGTTGTGTGTGTTCAACTCACAGAGTTGAACTTTCATTTACACAGAGCAGATTTGAAACACTCTTTTTGTGGAATTTGCAAGTGGAGATTTCAAGCGCTTTGGGGCCAATGGCAGAAAAGGAAATATCTTCGTATAAAAACTAGACAGAAATCATTCTCAGAAACTGCTCTGCGATGTGTGCGTTCAACTCTCAGAGTTTAACTTTTCTTTTCATTCAGCAGTTTGGAAACACTCTGTTTGTAAAGTCTGCACGTGGATATTTTGACCACTTAGAGGCCTTCTTTGGAAACGGGTTTTTTTCATGTAAGGCTAGACAGAAGAATTCCCAGTAACTTCCTTGTGTTGTGTATATTCAACTCACAGAGTTGAACGTTCCCTTAGACAGAGCAGATTTGAAACACTCTTTTTGTGCAATTGGCAAGTGGAGATTTCAAGCGCTTTAAGGTCAATGGCAGAAAAGGAAATATCTTCGTTTCAAAACTAGACAGAATGATTCTCAGAAACTCCTTTGTGATGTGTGCGTTCAACTCACAGAGTTTAACCTTTCTTTTCATAGAGCAGTTAGGAAACACTCTGTTTGTAAAGTCTGCAAGTAGATATTCAGACCTCCTTGAGGCCTTCGTTGGAAACGTGATTTCTTCATATTATGCTAGACAGAAGAATTCTCAGTAACTTCCTTGTGTTGCGTGTATTCAACTCACAGATTTGAACGATCCTTTACAAAGAGCAGACTTGAAACACTCTTTTTGTGGAATTTGCAAGTGGAGATTTCAGCCGCTTTGAGGTCAATGGTAGAATAGGAAATATCTTCCTATAGAAACTAGACAGAATGATTCTCAGAAACTCCTTTGTGATGTGTGCGTTCAACTCACAGAGTTTAACCTTTCTTTTCATAGAGCAGTTAGGAAACACTCTGTTTGTAAAGTCTGCACGTGGATATTTGGACTTCCTTGAGGCCTTCGTTGGAAACGGTTTTTTTTTCATGTAAGGCTAGACAGAAGAATTCTCAGTAACTTCCCTTGTGTTGTGTGTATTCAACTGACAGAGTTGAACTTTCATTTGGAGAGAGCAGATTTGAAACACTGTTTTTGTGGAATTTGCAAGTGGAGATTTCAAGCGCTTTGGGGCCAAAGGCAGAAAAGGAAATATCTTCGTATAAAAACTAGACAGAATCATTCTCAGAAACTGGCTCTGCGATGTGTGCGTTCAACTCTCAGAGTTTAACTTTTCTTTTCATTCAGCAGTTTGGAAACACTCTGTTTGTAAAGTCTGCACGTGGATATTTTGACCACTTAGAGGCCTTCGTTGGAAACGGGTTTCTTTCCTGTAAGGCTAGACAGAAGAATTCCCAGTAACTTCCCTTGTGTTGTGTACATTCAACTCACAGAGTTGAACGTTCCCTTAGACAGAGCAGATTTGAAACACTCTTTTTGTGCAATTGGCAAGTGGAGATTTCAAGCGCGTTGAGGTCAATGGCAGAAAAGGAAATATCTTCGTTTCAAAACTAGACAGAATCATTCCCACAAACTGCGTTGTGATGTGTTCGTTCAACTCACAGAGTTTAACCTTTCTTTTCATAGAGCAGTTAGGAAACAGTCTGTTTGAAAATTCTGTAAGTGGATATTCTCACATCTTGTGGCCTTCGTTGGAAACGGGATTTCTTCATATTCTGCTAGACAGAAGAATTCTCAGTAACTTCCTTGTGTTGTGTTTATTCAACTCACAGAGTTGAATGATCCTTTACACAGAGCAGACTTGAAACACTCTTTTTGTGGAATTTGCAAGTGGAGATTTCAGCCGCTTTGAGGTCAATAGTAGAAAAGGAAATATCTTCGTAGAAAAACTAGACAGAATGATTCTCAGAAACTCTTTTGTGATGTGTGCGTTCAACTCACAGAGTTTAACATTTCTGTTCATAGAGCCGTTAGGAAACACTCTGTTTGTAAAGTCTGCAAGTGGATATTCACACCTCCTTGAGACCTTCGTTGGAAACGGGATTTCTTCATATTCTGCTAGACAGAAGAATTTTCAGTAACTTCCTTGTGTTGTGTGTATTCAACTGACAGAGTTGAACTTTCATTTAGACAGAGCAGATTTGAAACACTCTTTTTGTGGAATTTGCAAGTGGAGATTTCAAGCGCTTTGAGGCCAAAGGCAGAAAAGGAAATATGTTCGTATAAAAACTAGACAGAATCATTCTCAGAAACTGCTCTGCGATGTGTGTGTTCAACTCTCAGAGTTTAACTTTTCTTTTCCTTCAGCAGTTTGGAAACACTCTGTTTGTGAAGTCTGCACGTGGATATTTTCACCACTTAGAGGCCTTCGTTGGAAACGGGTTTTTTTCCTGTAAGGCTAGACAGAAGAATTCCCAGTAACTTCCTTGTGTTGTGTACATTCAACTCACAGAGTTGAACGTTCCCTTAGACAGAGCAGATTTGAAACACTCTTTTTGAGCAATTGGCAAATGGAGATTTCAAGCGCTTTAAGGTCAATGGCAGAAAAGGAAATATCTTCGTTTCAAAACTAGACAGAATGATTCTCATAAACTCCTTTGTGATGTGTGCGTTCAACTCACAAAGTTTAACTTTTCTTTTCATAGGGCAGTTAGGAAACACTCTGTTTGTAAAGTCTGCAAGTGGATATTCAGACCTCTTTGAGGCCTTCGTTGGAAACGGGATTTCTTCATATTATGCTAGACAGAAGAATTCTCAGTAACTTCCTTGTGTTGTGTGTATTCAACTCACAGAGTTGAACGATGCTTTACACAGAGCAGACTTGAAACATTCTTTTTGTGGAATTTGCAACTGGAGATTTCAGCCGCTTTGAGGTCAATGGTAGAATAGGAAATATCTTCCTATAGAAACTAGACAGAATGATTTTGAGAAACTCCTTTGTGATGTGTGCGTTCAACTCACAGAGTTTAACCTTTCTTTTCATAGAGCAGTTAGGAAACACTCTGTTTGTAAAGTCTGCAAGTGGATATTCAGACATCCTTGAGGCTTTTGTTGGAAACGGGATTTCTTCATATTCTGCTAGAAAGAAGAATTCTCAGAAACTTCCTTCTGTTGTGTGTTTTCAACTCACAGAGTTGAACGAACCTTTACACAGAGTAGACTTGAAACACTCTTTTTGTGGAATTGGCAAGTGGAGATTTCAGCCGCTTTGAGGTCAATGGTAGAAAAGGAAATATCTTCGTATAAAAACTAGACAGAATAATTCTCAGAAACTCCTTTGTGATGTGTGCGTTCAACTCACGGAGTTTAACCTTTC
Organism: Homo sapiens; assembly: GCF_000001405.40. NCBI lineage: Eukaryota > Metazoa > Chordata > Mammalia > Primates > Hominidae > Homo > Homo sapiens. Next base: position 47,629,860 of record NC_000005.10, read on the forward strand.
TTTTCATAGAGCAGTTAGGAAACACTCTGTTTGTAAAGTCTGCAAGTGGATATTCAGACCTCTTTGAGGCCTTCGTTGGAAACGGGATTTCTTCATATTATGCTAGACACAAGAATTCCCAGTAACTTCCTTGTGTTGTGTGTGTTCAACTCACAGAGTTGAACTTTCATTTACCCAGAGCAGATTTGAAACACTCTTTTTGTGGAATTTGCAAGTGGAGATTTCAAGAGCTTTGAGGCCAAAGGCAGAAAAGGAAATATCTTCGTATAAAAACTAGACAGAATCATTCTCAGAAACTGCTCTGCGATGTGTGCGTTCAACTCTCAGAGTTTAACTTTTCTTTTCATTCAGCAGTTTGGAAACACTCTGTTTGTAATGTCTGCACGTGGATAATTTGACCACTTAGAGGCATTCGTTGGAAACGGGTTTTTTTCATGTAAGGCTAGACAGAAGAATTCCCAGTAACTTCCTTGTGTTGTGTGCATTCAACTCACAGAGTTGAACGTTCCCTTAGACAGAGCAGATTTGAAACACTCTATTTGTGCAGTTTGCAAGTGTAGATTTCAAGCGCTTTAAGGTCAATGGCAGAAAAGGAAATATCTTCGTTTCAAAACTTGACAGAAATCATTCCCACAAACTGCGTTGTGATGTGTGCGTTCAACTCAAAGAGTTTAACCTTTCTTTTCATAGAGCAGTTAGGAAACACTCTGTTTGTAAAGTCTGCAAGTGGATATTCAGACCTCCTTGAGGCCTTCGTTGGAAACGGGATTTCTTCATATTCTGCTAGACAGAAGAATTCTCAGTAACTTCCTTGTGTTGTGTGTATTCAACTCACAGAGTTGAATGATCCTTTACGCAGAACAGACTTGAAACACTCTTGTTGTGGAATTTGCAAGTGGAGAATTCAGCCGCTTTGAGTTCAACGGTAGAATAGGAAATATCTTCCTATAGAAACTAGACAGAACGATTCTCAGAAACTCCTTTGTGATGTGTGCGTTCAACTCACAGAGTTTAACCTTTCTTTTCATAGAGCAGTTAGGAAGCACTCTGTTTGTAAAGTCTGCAAGTGGATATTCAGACCTCTTTGAGGCCTTCGTTGGAAACGGGATTTCTTCCTATTCTGCTAGACAGAAGAATTCTCAGTAACTTCCTTGTGTTGTGTGTATTCAAATGACAGAGTTGAACTTTCATTTAGAGAGAGCAGATTTGAAACACTGTTTTTGTGGAATTTGCAAGTGAAGATTTCAAGCGCTTTGGGGCCAAAGGCAGAAAAGGAAATATCTTCGTATAAAAACTAGACAGAATCATTCTCAGAAACTGCTCTGTGATGTGTGCGTACAACTCTCAGAGTTTAACTTTTCTTTTCATTCAGCAGTTTGGAAACACTCTGTAAAGTCTGCACGTAGATATTTTGACCACTTAGAGGCCTTCGTTGGAAACGGGTTTTTTTCATGTAAGGCTAGACAGAAGAATTCCCAGTAACTTCCTTGTGTTGTGTGCATTCAACTCACAGAGTTGAACGTTCCCTTAGACAGAGCAGATTTGAAACACTCTATTTGTGCAATTTGCAAGTGTAGATTTCAAGCGCTTTCAGGTCAATGGCAGAAAAGGAAATATCTTCGTTTCAAAACTAGACAGAATCATTCCCACAAACTGCGTTGTGATGTGTTCGTTCAACTCACACAGCAGTTAGGAAACCAACTCACCTTTCTTTTCATAGAGCAGTTAGGAAACACTCTGTTGGTAAATTCTGTAAGTGGATATTCTGACATCTTGTGGCCTTCGTTGGAAACGGGATTTCTTCATATTCTGCTAGACAGAAGAATTCTCAGTAACTTCCTTGTGTTGTGTGTATTCAACTCACAGAGTTGAACGATCCTTTACACAGAGCAGACTTTAAACACTCTTTTTGTGGAATTTGCAAGTGGAGATTTCAGCCGCTTTGAGGTCAATAGTAGAAAAGGAAATATCTTCGTAGAAAAACTAGAAAGAATGATTCTCAGAAACTCCTTTGTGATGTGTGTGTTCTACTCACAGAGTTTAACCTTTCTTTTCATAGAGCAGTTAGTAAACACTCTGTTTGTAAAGTCTGCAAGTGGATATTCAGACCCCTTTGAGGCCTTCGTTGGAAACGGGATTTCTTCATATTATGCTAGACAGAAGAATTCTCAGTAACTTCCTTGTGTTGTGTGTATTCAACTGACAGAGTTGAACTTTCATTTAGAGAGAGCAGATTTGAAACACTGTTTTTGTGGAATTTGCAAGTGGAGATTTCAAGCGCTTTGGGGCCAAAGGCAGAAAAGGAAATATGTTCGTATAAAAACTAGACAGAATCATTCTCAGAAACTGCTCTGCGATGTGTGAGTTCAACTCTCAGAGTTTAACTTTGCTTTTCATTCAGCAGTTTGGAAACACTCTGTTTGTAAAGTCTGCACGTGGATATTTTGACCACTTAGAGGCCTTCGTTGGAAACGGGTTTTTTTCATGTAAGGCTAGACAGAAGAATTCCCAGTAACTTCCTTGTGTTGTGTACATTCAACTCACAGAGTTGAACGTTCCCTTAGACAGAGCAGATTTGAAACACTCTTTTTGTGCAATTGGCAAGTGGAGATTTCAAGCGCTTTGAGGTCAATGGCAGAAAAGGAAATATCTTCGTTTCAAAACTAGACAGAACGATTCTCAGAAACTCCTTTGTGATGTGTGCGTTCAACTCACAGAGTTTAACCTTTCTTTTCATAGAGCAGTTAGGAAACACTCTGTTTGTAAAGTCTGCAAGTGGATATTCAGACCTCTTTGTGGCCTTCGTTGGAAACGGGATTTCTTCATATTCTGCTAGACAGAAGAATTCTCAGTAACTTCCTTGTGTTGTGTGTATTCAACTCACAGAGTTGAACGATCCTTTACACAGAGCAGACTTGAAACACTCTTTTTGTGGAATTTGCAAGTGGAGATTTCAGCCGCTTTGAGGTCAATAGTAGAAAAGGTAATATCTTCGTAGAAAAACTAGACAGAATGATTCTCACAAACTCCTTTGTGATGTGTGTGTTCAACTCACAGAGTTTAACCTTTCTTTTCTTAGAGCAGTTAGGAAACACTCTCTTTGTAAAGTCTGCAAGTGGATATTCAGACCTCTTTGAGGCCTTCGTTGGAAACGGGTTTTTTTCATATAAGGCTAGACAGAATAATTCTCAGTAACTTCCTTGTGTTGTGTGTATTCAACTGTCAGAGTTGAACGATCCTTTACAGAGAGCAGACTTGAAGCACTCTTTTTGTGGAATTTGCAAGTGGAGATTTCAGCCGCTTTGAGGTCAATGGTAGAATAGGAAATATCTTCCTATAGAAACTAGACAGAATGATTCTCAGAAACTCCTTTGTGATGTGTGCGTTCAACTCACAGAGTTTAACTTTTCTTTTCATAGAGCAGTTAGGAAACACTCTGTTTGTAAAGTCTGCAAGTGGATATTCAGACGTCTTTGAGGCCTTCGTTGGAAACGGGATTTCTTCATATTATGCTAGACAGAAGAATTCTCAGTAACTTCCTTGTGTTGTGTGTATTCAACTCACAGAGTTGAACGATGCTTTACACATAGCAGACTTGAAACACTCTTTTTGTGGAATTTGCAAGTGGAGATTTCAGCCGCTTTGAGGTCAATGGTAGAAAAGGAAATATCTTCGTATAAAGACTAGACAGAATGATTCTCAGAAACTCCTTTGTGATGTGTGCGTTCAACTCACAGAGTTTAACCTTTCTTTTCATAGAGCAGTTAGGAAACACTCTGTTTGTAAAGTCTGCAAGTGGATATTCAGACCTCTTTGAGGCCTTCGTTGGAAACGGGTTTTTTTCTTATAAGGCTAGACAGAAGAATTCTCAGTAACTTCCTTGTGTTGTGTGTATTCAACTCACAGAGTTGAACGATCCTTTACACAGAGCAGACTTGAAACACTCTTTTTCTGGAATTTGCAAGCGGAGATTTCAGCTGCGTTGAGGTCAATGGTAGAAAAGGAAATATCTTCGTATAAAAACTAGACAGAATGATTCTCAGAAACTCCTTTGTGATGTGTGCGTTCAACTCACAGAGTTTAACCTTTCTGTTCATAGAGCAGTTAGGAAACACTCTGTTTGTAAAGTCTGCAAGTGGATATTCAGACCTCTTTGAGACCTTCGTTGGAAACGGGATTTCCTCATATTCTGCTAGACAGAAGAATTCCCAGTAACTTCCTTGTGTTGTGTGTGTTCAACTCACAGAGTTGAACTTTCATTTACACAGAGCAGATTTGAAACACTCTTTTTGTGGAATTTGCAAGTGGAGATGTCAAGCGCTTTGAGGCCAAAGGCAGAAAAGGAAATATCTTCGTATAAAAACTAGACAGAATCATTCTCAGAAACTGCTGCGTGATGTGTGCGTTCAACTCTCAGAGTTTAACTTTTCTTTTCATTCAGCGGTTTGGAAACACTCTGTTTGTAAAGTCTGCACGTGGATATTTTGACCACTTAGAGGCCTTCGTTGGAAACGGGTTTTTTGCATGTAAGGCTAGACAGAAGAATTCTCAGTAACTTCCTTGTGTTGTGTGTATTCAACTCACAGAGTTGAACGTTCCCTTAGACAGAGCAGATTTGAAACACTCTATTTGTGCAATTTGCAAGTGTAGTTTTCAAGCTCTTTAAGGTCAACGGCAGAAAAGGAAATATCTTCGTTTCAAAACTAGACAGAATCATTCCCGCAAACTGCGTTGTGATGTGTTCGTTCAACTCACAGAGTTTAACCTTTCTGTTCATAGAGCAGTTAGGAAACACTCTGTTTGTAAAGTCTGTAAGTGGATATTCTGACATCTTGTGGCCTTCGTTGGAAACGGGATTTCTTCATATTCTGCTAGACAGAAGAATTCTGAGAAACTTCCTTGTGTTGTGTGTTTTCAACTCACAGAGTTGAACGATGCTTTACACAGAGTAGACTTGAAACACTGTTTTTGTGTAATTTGCAAGTGGAGATTTCAGCCGCTTTGAGGTCAATGGTAGAAAAGGAAATATCTTCGAATAAAAACTAGACAGAATGATTCTCAGAATCTTCTTTGTGATGTGTGCGTTCAACTCACAGAGTTTAACCTTTCTTTTCATAGAGCAGTTAGGAAACACTCTGTTTGTATACTCTGCAAGTGGATATTCAGTCCTCATTGAGGCCTTCGTTGGAAACGGGATTTCTTCATACTATGCTAGACAGAAGAATTCCCAGTAACTTCCTTGTGTTGTGTGTGTTCAACTCACAGAGTTGAACTTTCATTTACACAGAGCAGATTTGAAACACTCTTTGTGTGGAATTTGCAAGTGGAGATTTCAAGCGCTTTGAGGCCAA